>NC_000016.10:18486486-18789516 GCF_000001405.40 Homo sapiens
GAATTCAAGTTTCCTGAAGCCCAGTTGCATCCCTGCCCTGCCCTGGGCTCTGAGAGACAGTTGCCGAAGCTAGTGTTAAAGTGAACTAAATATGGCCTGAGTGGGACTTCGTACTTCTATAGTTGAGTCCTTGTGGACAAATTGCAACCTAGCTTAATAGGTAGACAAGATTGAAAACCTAACTTAGGAGTATGCGCCTGTAACAATAGCTGAGTCTTGGCCAATCCCAGAGGCCGTAGTTCAACCGCTCATACGCTGCTGAGTGTTCAAACTGTACTCAAATAAGGCAAACGCCAACTTGTAACAATCCAGCCATTCTGTACTTCACTTCTGATTTCTGTACATCATTTCCCTTCTTTTGTCCATAAATCTTCTTCCACCACGTGGCTGCGCTGGAGTCTCTATGAATCTGCTGTGATTCTGGGGTCTGCCCAATTCGCGAATCATTCATTGCTCAATTAAACTACTTTAAATTTAATTCAGCTGAGATTTTCTTTTATCACTAATTTGAGCTGGTTTTCTAATGTTTGCAAATGGGAGGGCTGACTAATATAACACTGCTCCAAATATTAACGTCTTTCTCCCAACCCATCACCCAGGCAGAAGTGGTCCAGCCTGGGCAACCCTAGGAGGAGGCTAGCTCTCCTCTAGGAAGGCTTAGGATGCAGCCAGTGGGCAGTAACTGGCTCACTGTCCCCTGCAACTGAAATCAGAACTGGTTCCAGAAACCAAGTTGACCCCCAACCAGTCTTTCCCAAAATATGGCTCTATGCCCATCTCTGGTCAGGCTGGGCTGTTTTCCTGGACAGAGAAGTCTCAGACAAGCAGGCAGTGGTTAGTGGGCTGTGCCCAGGCTGAGAACATTTCCCAGAGAAGATGGCATCTCTGGCAGTCCCTTAAAGCCAGCAGAGGCCAAGTCATGTCCAAGAGGCCAAAAGGCCCAATATGGTGGAGACAGTATACAGTCCCCATGAATAAGGGATGCTGATGCCTTCCCTATGTACCAGGTAGTCACTGCCTGAGGGGCCCAGAGCAGCAGGAGGGCAGAGCCAGCCTGGGCAGGGGCACTGGGCCGGAAGTGGGGCTCACATCCTCAGCACACACACACACACACACACACACACACACACAAGCGAATGCACACACACACACACAAATGCACGCACACACAGATAGGTGCATTCAAACATCACATACACGTGTACATTCCTTGCAAAATCAACTTCTGCTGATAGCACAACAAACAATGGGGCCACAGTGTGGCATGGAGGAAACCCTGGAGTCTGATCTCATTTTTTTTTTTTTGCATCTGTCAGGGGATAAAGATATTTGATAAAAATCCTTGAGTCACATCCCCACCAGGTCCCTGCCTACCTGTAGACCCCATCAAGCCAGCTCCATGGCCCTTCAGATACCGCCTCACTGGGTCCCCAGGGATTGACCTCAGTCCTGGAAATGCAGAAATATCTGTATCTGTCACAGCTGAGACTGGCGGCCTTCCGCCGGCTTTCCTGGAGGCAGAGCTGGAGACAGGGACTTGGGTGGATGTGGTTTTTGTTTTTGTTTTGAAAGGGGCTTTCAGGAGAAGGGAGGTGAGGACTACAGGATGCAGAAGGGGACAGAGCAGAGTGAGAATGTGGTCCCTTAAAGTCCCGCCTTGACCTATCCCACGAGCAGCAGAGAGCACGCCACAGGATCGTCCCCACCGTGGGGCAGGGACCAGCCATTCACGTTGCTGTATCAGTTAGTCACTGGGCCATTACTGGGCATGGCATCCCATCCCAGGCAATGTGGCTCCCATCTGAGGGTGATTCTCTAGAGAAGGACAGCTGTGAGCTCTCAGCAGGTGAGGCTCCAAAAGCAGCTATACCAGTCTAGACCTCAGGGGAAGGGGGAATTCATCTCTAGGCAGGGATGATTTTCATAACATTGAACTCTTGACATGCAGGAGCACCGACCAATCAGAACAGACACGGTGACCAAACAGGCACAGCCACACCAGTGGATACCAGCGGAATGTCCACGCTGCCTCTGCGAAGGGACAGTCCCATGAGCCAAGCCCTAGACCAGCTGTTCTGGGAGCACTGCATCATTGCACTGAATTCTCACAACCGCCCCATAATGCTGGGACCATCCCCATTTTCTTGCCCAACAGCCTCCGTCTCATAGACACTAGGCGGCTCTCCCAGGGTCACACGGTCCAGTCAATAACGGGCAGAACTCGCACTCCGATCTGTCTGGCTCCAAAGCTGCTAAAAATTTTCTACTTGGCCTCACTGGCTTGACAAAGATAAAAAAGAAGGCAAGTCCTTCTTTCCAAGAGATGCTGAGGTCCCTCGGTGACACTAGGTCATGATTTTATCATGTTCAGAGGGCAATGAAAGGGACAGAAAACAAGCGATGTGTGATCTCCTGTCATGTCAAGAGACGCTGTTTTCAAAGAAACGTACGTTTCGCAGAATCAATACGCTGTGGGGCCTCAGAAAGCAGAGGCAGACACACGGCCCCAACCCGTGCACGTGAGAGCCCTGTTACAAGAGACGGCAGAAATTAAACTGAATCACCTGGAGCAAGTACATTGTAAATGTTCAATATTAATGACCCACCTCGGCCCCAAAGAAGAGAGCGTTGGGCTTTGTCCAGCTGTGTGCTCTGTTGTTAAAAGACCACCTTGTGGCCAGGCACGGTGGCTCACACCTGTAATCCCAGCGCTTTGGGAGGCCAAAGCAGGTGGATCACCTGCGGTCAGGAGTTCGAGACCAGCCTGGTCAACATAGTGAAACCCCGTCGCTACTAAAAATACAAAAATTTGCTGGATGTGGTGGCTGGCGCCTGTAATCCTAGCTACTCGGGAGGTTGAGGCAGGAGAATCGCTTGAACCTGGGAGGCGGAGGTTGCAGTGAGCCAAGATCACGCCATTGCACTCCAGCCTGGGCGACAAGACTGAAACTCCGTCTCAAAAACAAACAAACAAACAAACAACAACAGAAAACAATTTGTGCCTTAATGGGCATTCCTTTCCCTTCTTGCTAAGGGATGAGATGATGGCAGAACTTGTGGCCACTGTCCTGGAGGTTGACAAGCTTTTTCTGTAAAGTGCTAGATAATAAATATTTTGTGGGCCACACGATCTCTGGTGCAACTACTCAACACTGCCATTGTCATGCAAATGTAGCCATAGATGATAATAAATGAATGGGTGTGACTGTGTTCCAATAAAACTTTATTTATAAAACAGACAGCTGGCCAGAGTTGGGCAATGGGCAGTAGTTTGCCCCCCACTCCCCGCCCATCCGTCCTATTCCTTGGCTTTTTTGGGTACATCAAGGAGTGCAGTCTGGATGCTGGGCTATTTTATGGCCACTGGGCATAACCTTAACCTGGGCCTTTTGTCTGTTAACCTGGGTCAGTGGCTACGGTGAAGGTCGGGCAACCAAGGTTTAGATGGCTCAGTACACATTCACGCCCACAAACCAAACCAGGAAAAAGATGTGCTAAGTTGAGCATATGACACTGTTGGTACTCAAATGGTTTGTTTTTTTTTTTAAATAAATGTTTAAGTAAATTTTTTATTTTAGAACAGTTTTAGAAAAATGGTGAAAGCAGTACAGAGAGTTTCCATGTACCCCATAGCTTGATGCATTATGAACTAAAGTCCATACTTTTTTTAGGGGGGTGGGGACAGGGTCTTGCTCGTCACCTAGGCTGGAGTGTGGTGGTGTGATCATAGTTCATGGCAGCCTCAACCCTCCACCTCCCCTGGCTCAAGCGATCCTCCATCTCAGCCTCCCAAGTAGCTGGAAATACAGGTGCCTGCTACCATCCCCAGAGAATTTGTTTTTGTTTGTTTGTTTGTTGTTTGTTTGTTGAGACAGGGTCTCACTCTCATTGCCCATGCTGGTATACAGTGGCACAATCACGGGTCACTTGCAGCCTTGACTTCCCGGACTCAAGTGATCCTCCCATCTCAGCCTCCCGAGTAGCTAGGACTACAGGTGCACACCACAAGCCTGGCTAATTTTTTGTATTTTTTGTAGAGATGGGGTTTCGCCATGTCGCCCAGGCTGGTCTTGAACTCCTGGGCTCAACCCATCCGCCGGCCTCGGCCTCACAAAGTGCTAGGGTTACAGGCGCGAGCCACCGTGCCTGGCCACCTAAAGTCCATAGTTGATTCTGATTGCCTTAGTTTTTGCTTAATGTCCTTTTTCTGTTCCAGGATACCACATGGAGCATTTTGAGGAGTGCTGGCCAGGTATTTTGTAGAATGTTCCTCAACTGGGATTTGGCAGATGCTTCTCATCCTTAGTCTTGGCTTGTGTGTGTTTTGAGGAGGAGGACCACAGAGCTTAAGAATCATTCTCAGCACTCTGTATCAGGCACGCATTCTCTCAAGATGACTTGCCGCTATTGAAGTTGACTTTGATCACCTGGCTGAGGTAGTCTGTCCGTGTTCTCCACTGTAAAGTTACTCTCTCCTCTCTTTTCACACTGTACTCTTTGGAAGAGAGTCACTATGCACAGCCCACACTTAGGATGTGGGAAGTCCGCTCCACCTCCTTGACGATGGAATAGCTATATAAATTACCTGGGGCCGGGCACGGTGGCTCACACCTGTCATCCCAGCACTTGAATGGGAGGCCGAGGAGGGTGATCACTTGAGGTCAGGAGTTTGAGACCAACCTGGTCAACATGGTGAAACCCCGCCTCTACTAAAAATACAAAAAATTAGCCGAGTGTGGCAGCGCATGCCTGTGATCCCAGCTACTCGGGAGGCTGAGGCACAAGAATCGCTTGAACCTGGGAGGTGGAGGTTGCAGTAAGCCAAGATTACATCACTGCACTCCAACCTGGGCAACAGAGCAAGACCCTGTGTAAAAAAAAAAAATTAAATAAAAATAAATAAATAATCTGGAATTCTTCTGCCTGGGAGATTTGTCTCTTCTCTCTTATCTGATCATTTATAGCAGTATGGAATCATGGGTATTTATTCTTTGAATTCTAATCCAATAGTACTTTTTTGGGGCTCAAATTGTTCTGGCTTTGACCCCTGGGAGCTTTTCCACTGGCTCCTGTGTCCCTCTGAGATGCCCCATCACTGCAGCAGTTTCATTTTGTTTCATTTAGCGCCTCCTCACCCTGTGACCCTACAAGATGCTTCAGGTTCTTCTTATCTATTTCCTCCCTCGGTCCTAGGATCGACATTTGTTCAAGAAGCCTGGTTCCTTTTACTGGAGAATGGTGTTTATTGGAGAACAGAGACCTGGGCACCAGAGGTTTGTTGCTACTGGGGTATCCTTGCTTCTAGGCTCTCTTCGCTGACAGCCAGGATTAGTAATGTGTGTCTTACTAATTTGTGTATATGCACATATCCATAAATATTTCTCTATGTAGCCATCTGTATCTATATTGAGCTAAACATGTGTTCATACTGATGCCTGCCACTCTAATCCACTGCCACATGGATCACTCTAGCCTTGCCTCCTTTGCCGACCTGTAAACCTCCCGCCCCCCACCCCATCTATTACTTAATGAATTTCAGTAAGCATGTGAGGTGGGTGGTTATGGAAACCATTTTTGACCTATATATAAGATGACAGTTTCGTCTGATTTCTCCTAAATAGAAGACGAGTGTGAAATGGTAACATGGTGTCCGTAGGAGTCATATGGATGGACCATGGCCAACCATATTATTAAGGAATATTCATGCATTCATCCATCCATCCATCCATCCATCCATCCATCCATTCATTCACCAGTGAATGAGTAAAGCATTAGGTATTCACCACACTGTCCTCTCCTGGACTTCCCCCTACCTCACGGGCCACTTCCTCTCTGTCTCTTGGGCAGGGCCCTCCTCGCCCATCCTCTGAAGGTTGCACTGTCCCAGGGCTTGGCCCCCAGCCCTCTCCTTTTCTCAGTCTTCATAAGGATACCTATTATTCAATCCCGTGGCCTCATCTGTCATCCAAAAACACTCCCAGCTCACCACGTCTCATCTCCAGCCGTGATTTCTCACCCAGGCTGCAGACTCGGGTGTCTGATAAGCATCTCAAACTCACGATGGCCAAAACAGAAGTCTCAATTTACCTACACATTTCAGTGGTTCAGCTAGAAACAAACGATTCACTTATCGTTGATTCCTCCCTTCCCTCACCTCCTGTATTAAATACATCAGCAAGACCTTTCTGCTCTATCTCTGAAGCATAGCCCCAAGCTCACCACTTCCTGCCACTGTTACTTCCATCACCCCAATCCAAGCCATTGCTGTCTTTTGCCTAAACCAACACAACGTCCTCTTTGCTTCTCTCCCTAAATTCATTCTTGCTTCCCAATAATCCAATCTCCTCAAAATTTAAAGAAGCAATTGTTTAAAAACATACATCAGATCACTCCCCTTTCCCTACTTAAACCCTCCAATGCCTTCTGTTGCCATTAGAATAAAATCTAAACTCCTTTCCAGGGCACCCACATGACCCGGTCCCTGCCATCGTTCTCATCTCTTCCTCTCAATCACTTGACTCTGGCCACCCTGGCCTCTTTGCTATTCCTGAAACTCAGGGAGCTCATTTCCTCCTGGGGGCCTTTGCAATTATGGTCCCCTCTGCCTGGGCAGCTCTTCCCCCAGATCTTTGCATAACTGGCCCTTCCCCTCCTCAGGTCTCAGCTCAGATGCTGCCTCCTCAGAGAGACCTTCCATGATACCAATCATCCTCTGTCACATTGCCTTGTTCTGCTTCTTTTCTTCGTAACGCCTGGCATTATCCAACAACTTCTAATGTGTGTGTTTACCTTTCGTCCTCCATCAGCACTGTGCTCCTAAGAGCTGAGGCTCGGTCTCTCTCACACCACTAAACCCCCAGTATGCCAAGCAGCACCCAGCACAGGGGAGATGCTCAGTTAATACTTGTTGAATGAATTAATGATGCTCCCCCTAAAACTAAACTTTACAAAGCACCCACTAGACAACAGGTTAGAAAACATTTTCTAGGCCAGGCGCAGTGGCTCACACCTGTAATCCCAGCACTTTGGGAGGCTGAGGCAGGCAGATCATCTGAGGTCGGGGTTTGAGACCAGCCTGGCCAACATGGTAAAGCCCTGTTTCTACTAAAAATGCAAAAATTAGCCAGGCTTGGTGGCAGGCGCCTATAATCCCAGCTACTAGGGAGGCTGAGGCACGATAATCATTTGAACCCAAGAGGCGGAGGTTGCAGTGAGCTGAGATCACACCACTGCACTCCAGCCTGGGTGACAGAGAAAGACCCCATCTCAAAAACAACAACAACAACAACAAAATGTCTTCTGTAAAGACCCAGATAGCAAGTATTTTAGGCTTTTTAGGCTACCTGGTCTTTGCCACAACTACTTACATCTGGCACTGTCAGGCAAAAGCAGCCATAATCTGCAAATGAATGGGCATGGCTGTGTGCTCATAACACTTTATTTATAAAACAAGAACAGTGGGCCATAGTTTGCTAACCCCTGCACTAGCCCAGTCTAAGTCTTGAATATCATCTGTGTAATTAATTCACAGTGAGGAGTTCTCCACTGTAATAATTACTCATTCCATGAATGCATGCCACTCAGGTGAGGCGTTCTTGAAACTCTGAGAGGCAAGAAGCAAAATGTTCTTTCTCCATACCCAGGCACACTCCAGTCTGTGAAAAGGAAGCAAGAGAGGCAGGCTGCAAGTTTGATCACTGGGTGGCTGCTAGCCACCTCTCCCCCTCAGCTCCAAGAGCAGAAACAGGATGAAAACGCAGCAGCTGCCGGCTTCTGTCCTCTTGCCAGCTGCCTCTCTTGCAAGACTAGACAGGGAGGGGCAGCCGCCAGTCTCCGGAGGCACAGACTGCACAGAATTGAGGATCACTTGTTCCAATGCATTCATCTTATCTTACAAAATCTTCAAATTCCAAAAAGCACACGTAAGAAGGGCTGCTGTTTCATTCACACAGTGAAATATTGTGCATCTGAAAGAATATGTAGATGGGTGGCATCTTCAACAACCCCAGGATCACAGACGTTTAAATTTCACCCCTTCTACTGCTGTAAGGCACAGCAGAAGGAGTGTAATTTAAACGTCTGTGATCCTGGCTGGGCGTGGTGACTCTTGCCTGTAATCCCAACACTTAGGGAGCCCAAGGTGGGAGGATTGCTTGAGCTCAGGAGTTCAAGACCAGCCTGGGCAACCTAGTGAGAGCTCATCTCTACAAAGATTTTTTTTAAAAAAATTAGCCAGGTGTGGTGGTGCACTCCTGTAGTCCCAGCTACTCAGCAGGCTGAGGCACGATGATCCCTTGACCCTGGGAGATCAAGGCTGCAGTGAGCTGTGATGGTGCCATTGTACTCCAGCCTGGGGAACAGAACAAGAACCCATCTAAAAAAAAAAAAAGAAAGAAAAGTTCATATTCCAACCAAGATCTCACCATTACATCATCAAGCATAAACACCTGCCCCCACTGAAAAAGTACAGAGGAAGGCAGTCATATAATATCTTCCCTCCTGACCTCACCAAGTTCCAGGGCAGGAAGAGTCTCGCCACCCCAGCACACAGTAGGCCCACTGGAAAATGAGTGCTCCCTTCTCTAGGCATTTCATTGTCATGGTCATAAAGTCAGGTTCATTTTTCTAATGAAAGAGAAAGCCAAAAATGGAGGCTGATTTTTTTCTTTTTTCTTTTTTTTTTTTTTTAGTCTCACTCTGTCGCCAGGCTAGAGTGCAATGGTGCGATCTCGGCTCACTGCAACCTCCGACTCCCTGGATCAAGTGATTCTCCTGTCAGCCTATCGAGTGGCTGGGACTACAGGCGCCCACCACCACACCTAGCTAATTTTTGTAGTTTTAGTAGAGACAGGGTTTCACCATATTGGCCAGGATGGTCTCGATCTCTTGACCTCATGATCTGCCCATCTCAACCTCCCAAAGTGCTGGGATTACAGGCATGAGCCACCACACCGGGCCTGGAGGGTGATTTTGACCAGGCCTTCTCAAGTTTTGGAAGGAAGTGGAGCTGACTTCTCTTCTGTTGCTTTTGCCCACCCAGGATCACTTATTCCTCTGGGTAATACAGCACCCCAGGCACAGGGGCCGCCTGTCACATGAGCGTGGGCATGGCTCATGTGCGGCCAGGCCCCAGTGATTCTGCAAAGGTTGCCCATAAGTCCTTCCCCCGCCCCAGGACTGGCATATTGATGTGGTGGGATGGAAGCTGTCCTTCTGCTGGGTCTGCAGATGGGGGCAATGTAAAGCCTGACATTGCCGGATGATGTCAGAAGCGGAACCCATAGGCAAAAGCCAGCTTTCCAGCACTCCACTCTCAGTTTCCTGCCATCTCCACTTCTGTGGATGTGTGCCCGGCATCTGCCTCTGCCCCTGCCTCTGAGAGCAGTGACTGAGCAAACAGTCCTGGACCTGGTTGAAAGGATGGGCCTGTCTGTTTCTAGCAGAGTGGTCTTTCAGAAAGCTGATTCCTGAAAGTTGGCATCAAGGGAAGCAGAGCCAGGAGGTGGAAATTGAGACTGGGTCCCGCTATGCATGAAGCCAGAGACTCTTGGATTTCTCCGTTACTTGACCAGAGGAATGCCCCATTTTGCTCAAGCTAGTTGGAGTTGGATTTCTGTTACTTGAAACCAAGAGAGCCTTAACTAATACACAACTAGAAATGCATCCATGGTCACTGCCCATTCATGTGACAGACATTTATTGAGCACTATTCCAGTTACCTAATGTTGCATGAGTTACCCCAAAACTTAGAGGCTTAATTCAGTCGTATAAGATATTCACAGATCCCGTGGGTCAAGAATTTGGGAAGACACTGTAGGTTGAACTTTGTTCTCTGCTTTGTCTTTCTTGGAAAGAGAGGACACAGCTTGAAGTCATTACTGATTTGGGACTGTATGTAATGCATATCTGTGCTTCATTGTCACTGTGTTTTTAAGTTTTCTAAACTTAAAACAGCTCATTTTCGGGGGACATAAAGAACCTGGGAAGAGCTCAGCTGGGCAGCACTGACCTGGGGTCTCTTGAGTGGTGGAAGTCAGATGTCATCTGCAGTTGCACTCACCAGAAGGCTTGACCGGGGCGGGGAAATTCACTTCCAAGCTGGCTCACTCACGTGGTGGCAAGCTGTACATGCTGGGGGCCAGGGGCCTCACCCCTCCCCACGAGGCTGCCTGAGCACCCTCACGCAAGGCAGTTGGCTTCCCGAGAGCCAAAGTGCAATGCCTGTTACGACCTAGCCCGAGAAGTCACACATCATCACTCACTTCCACCACTTCCCACTGGTCGCACAGAGCCAGCCTGATTCAGTGTGGGAGGGGACCACACACAAAGGCAGTGTGCATCCCTGGGGGCCATCCTGAGGCTGGCTGTGTACCACAAACACCCGCCACATGCCAGGGACTGGACACACAGCCTTTGACCCCCACTGAACATCAGCCTAAACAGAAGGCAACCAAGCAAACCTTATCCCCCAAACTCTTTCCAACTCCTCCCTTAGGACGGCCCCTGCTTTTAAGTAAAGGGAATCGTGCCGAATAATTGTTCCTATTAAGGAACTAGATCTCAGGGTTTGGTCATGCAGCTCTTTGGTTACAGAAACAACGCTGATGAAATAATCGAAGGTCCTCCACCATTCTCACCCCCAGCCATGACCCCGTCCACTGCACACAGTGCTCCACGTCACTGTGCCTTTCCTAACTTTACTACAGCTTATACCTGCCTCTCCTGTACAACATCCACGTGACATCCATCTCTAAACCTCTGAGTCATCCCTAGACAAGCTGGCATGTGACTACATCATCTCATTTCATACATCAAGGGCAGGAAAACATGGTGGTTAAGAACTCTTGGACCTGGGTTCAAACCCCTGCTCTGCCACTTGACAGCTGCAAGATTGTTCAGCCTCAGTTTCTTTCTCTGAAAAATGGGGCTGGAAGCATACCTACTTCATGAACTCATGAAGCATCCACATGCATGCAAGGGCACGGCACAGCGCCCGGCACACAGTAGCTCAAGAAAGGCTGGTTGTGCCTGCTGGTGTGCTTGATCCAGAGAGGCAATCACTCATTTGCTTTTTCCTTATTTCCTGAATCTTTGTTTCTCACATTTAGGCCATTAGAGTTAAGCAGAAGGACTGCCTCTTCCTCCAGCCATCTCACCAGTCCTTCCACATACACATGCACAAACACACACACACACACACAAACACACACACACACACGTTCTCATGCTACCTTCGGCCCTTCCCATCTCCTGTAACCCCAGAAAAGAAGACCGAGTTGAAGCCGTTGCCTTAGAATGGCACTGCCCTGGCCAGGTGTGGTGACTCATGCCTATAATCTCAGCACTTTGGGAGGTTGAGGCAGAAGGATCACTTAAGGCCAAGAGTTCAAGACCAGCCTGGTCAACATAGCCGAGACCCTGTCTCTACAGAAAAATCAAATCAAATAAAAAGCTTTTAATTAAAAAAGAATGGCACCGTCCTAAAGCTCCTGAGGTGTCCTCATCAAGGATTTATGGTTGTTTTTACGGCCACTTTAATAGGCAGAAATGTGCACAGAGCAGAGTTCCCCAAGAATCTGCCATCTTAGACCATTTTGTTTTTTAAATACCTCAGCAAACAAGTCTGTCTCATATGACTTTTGTCCCATTCCAAGTCTAATAACAGCCCGGGTGCGGTGGCTCACGCCTGTAATCCCAGCACTTTGGGAGGCCAAGGTTGATGAATCACCTGAGGTAGGGAGTTCAAGACCAGCCTGGACAACATGGTGAAACCCCGTATCTACTAAAAATACAAAAAATTAGGCGAGCGTGGTGGTGGGCACCTGTAATCCCAGCTACTCGGGAGGCTGAGGCAGGAAATCGCTTGAAACCGGGAGGCAGAGGTTGCAGTGAGCCGAGATCACGCCACTGCACTCCAGCCTGGGCCACAAGAGCGAAACTCAAAAAAAAAAAAAAAGAATCTAATAACATTAATGTTTACTTCTCACAGGAGGATCAGAGGACTTCTGTCCTGAGATTGCCAGAAAAATGATGAACAGAAAATTATACACAACCGAACAGGCCCAACTTTCAAATGGACTGAGAATGACCCACACAAGTTCCACCGAGGCCAAGGGTGACCTGCAGCCAGCGACAGGGAAAGACTGCCACTTACTGGCGGCCTCCGGAACTGGAAGGAGTGTACTGACAATTGTATCTTTCGCAAGCTCTTAACCTTTATACCGTCAATAAAAACCCCATTAACATTTAAAAGGGATGTTTCTGGGTGTCCACTTGGAATAAGAGTTGGAAAACACTCCAAGAAATGGATCCTGTATTAATATCACATCTGTCCCAGATCTCCAACACTGTTCACTTTCCTTCCACGGTGCCAACACCAAGCTAGCTGATAGGTGGGAACAGGGCAGCTCTGCGGTTGGCCCCCAAGAGCCAGGGAGTCCCCCAAGCTGACCCCCTGGGGTGGCAGTGGCACCTAACAAGAACTTCCACCTTGTTTTCCCTCTCTCTGTTTTGTCCTTTTGGACTCTGCTCACGCATCACATCCAGAAAGTTCCCTAAGCTCTCCAGTGGGATGAGAACTCTGCTCTGTGCTCCTGTGGTCCTCCATGTTCCTCCACCTGGAGGCCCTCGGCTCCCTGCATTACCCCTGTCTACTTACTGACTTGCCTTCTACCCAGTGATGGGCCATGTGCTGTGAGGGCACACACTGTGTGCCCATCTATTCATTCCTCTGTGCGTGCGTTCATTCATTCCTTACTGAATGCCCACCAAGTGCCAAGCATTGGGGTACGAAGAACAAGGCAGACGGGGCCTCCCTGGCCTCTTCCAGCTCGCTGTAGAGTGTTGTCTACCCTACTCATCCTCACATACCCATGCCTGTCCTATGTGGCACTCAATAAATGTCGGATGGATGGATGTGTCCCCTCCTTCAATATCACTTAATTCACTTGATGACTTCCTGTGAGGATTAAGTTTAGCTGTTAAAATGCTGTGACTTCCTCTGGATCTCTGATGCAAGCCGGCAACGTTTAAGCCTCACCCGGCCGACGTAGGCATTTTGTTTGGCCAAAGTGTGTGGTTTTCTTAAAAAAACACTGCATTTGTGGCTAACATTTAAAATTGGGAAAATTTCACGTAAATCTTTGTTTTTCTGGCTTCTCTAGAAAAATGAACGCACATTTCTGCACAGCAGGGGTGAGCCAGAGCTGAGTCCCTAAGCTTCCCTTAGACGTGGTGGGCACACTTCAACTTGCCACAACCTCCACTATCTCCGATTTCTCTATCACTGACGCCAAAAGCTGCTGGGGACCATGTTGGCTGAGCTCGTGTTTTTCCTGCCCCAGCCAGCTTCACTCAGGACTCTGACTTGCTCTACATTTGGCTCAACTGAAGACTCCCGGGGGTTACGTGCATGTCATCCAAGAAATACATCTATGATGAGCTACAACACAAATGAATGGGCCATTTTATTGATTTTTACCTCCTAATAGTGGATACAGGTTGCCGTGGTTTCCAGCAGGATCTCAGATGCAAAGGGAAGTGAAGAAAACAGATGAATCCCTAGGGTACCCCGCCATGGAACCAAACACCACATCAACTGGAACTCTTCTTGCAAACGAAGGCTGAAGATCAAGAATGACATTCTCACACCACAGCACAGCTTAAATACTTCTTTGACAAAAATAATAATAAATTATATTTGACTCAGAAAATAAATTCTGTTCAGCAGAGTGACAGGAGGGTCCATTCATTGCATTGCACGAGGGGCTCTACGGAGGGGTGAGGATGGGTGCAGGATGCCACAGTGACAAGGGACATGGGGTGCGGGCCCAGCAGCACAGGCTGAAGTTAGCTGACGCATGCTTTTGGCTTTTATCCCACGGGCGGGTAGTGGCCGGACCCCTGGCTGTGGCCTGTCCCAAGTGAGACTGCAACTGTCCCCTTCCTCCTCACGTCCGCCTTGTCTTCTGTTTCTTGGCTTGTCTCTTTGCATCTTCTGGGCCGCTATTGTCAGAGGCTGCCTGGCCGAGCGCGCCGACTCCCTGTAGCCGGCTTGTCAACTGCAGCAGCAAAGGAATGAGCTAGAAAAGAGAGAAAGTGTGAGAGAGAGGGGTACAAAGAGGAGGCTTTTGCCAGATGAACAGCGGAGCCTCACTTCTCAACACACCTTCTTCAGACATGATCAGCAGCTGCCACGTGCTAATGGGTGGGTTTCAGTTCAAACGAGGCAGGCCTCTTACTAATGAGTCCCCAGGGATGGGCTGGCCTCTCTCCGGGCCTAATATGTCCCTAGAGGTGTTCCAGGTTTAAGGATTAGGAGATGTTACAGAAGTTTACAGCCTTGAAAGGAGACCTAAGTCTGGACTTGAGGCCTTCACGGGCCCTCCCGACCCGGAAATGTGATTTCTGTGACCCTGGACATCCCTCTGCTATCACTCCTGCAGCTGTGAGGACTCGCTCTCCCTGACATGCCCGCCATCTCCTGAGGCCTCTGGATTTCCTACCTTGTCATGGTTGTAACCGGCCAGCAGAACCAGCAGCGTCAATGGCAGGGCAATGTAGGATCCTTGTGCGATGTCCTGTTCAGGCAGCTTCCTCTGCAAACACCGAGAGCCCCATCACTCCTCACCAAGGCCACAAGCTTGTCCATCATCCACAATGCCACAGCCACCACCCACCCAGCCTTCCAAAGTGGCCACTTGAGGACACCCAGGGGCCCTCATGATCCAAATTCCTTCTATCCAAAGGAAGGAACCAAAGTGATTTGGATGTATTTTCCCATGAATCCTCTTCTGCCCAAAGCTTCACTATTTGCTTCTGAAACTCAGGGACAAAGAGATTCCAATGACAAGGCATTCCTCAGCCTCTGGACCCTCCTCCCAACTGAGGAAATGAAGAGATGCAGCTATCAGAGAGTCTTGGTGGTTGAAAAGCAACTGGGTCTCAGTTTGTTGAGTCCCAGCAACATGCAGGGACTTAGTCCTACAAGGATGTATCAAGAACCTACAGTTCTAGACCCAGGGCACACAGTGATGGGCAGCTATTCCCAGCCAGTACGGTCTAGTGAGGAAGCAAAGCAGGCACTGCTACTAGCATCCCTGTGGCCATTCTCCCTTTCTCCCAATAGAACCCCCAACTTTTATCTGGGCCACCGACAATATAGATCACCTTTTCCAGCCTTCCCTGCAGCAGGCGCAGCCCTGGAACTAAATTTTGGCCAATGGTACAGGAACAGAAGCGGTAAGTGCCACACCCTGGCTGGACCCTAGGGAAGTGGTGTGCCCTCCCTTTTGCTGGGTAGACAGCATTTGGCCAATTGCCCCATTTTGGAGAAAAGCAATGCACTGGAACAGCACAATGAGACAGAAGGGGCCTGGGTCCCCTGACGCCTTGGAGCTACCAGACTATCTCTGCACTGGTCACTCCTGGACACTTGACATGAGACAGACATTTCCATCTTGCTAAAGCCCCTGAAATGCTGGGTTCTAAAGCATCAAGTGAACCTATATCCCATTGGCCCACTCTACTCTCATAAAGGAAGCAAATAAATGGAAGGAGAACTTCCCAATAATGATAAAAACAAGTTAATGAGCCAGAGCAGTGTTCTCAGTGTAGGATACCGGGACTCCTCTCGCAGAGGTTCCCGAGGCCACAGCTATTTTCAGCCAATAGTAAGATGTGATGTGCCTTTTCCGCCCTCTTTCATTCGCAAGCACACAGTGGACTTTTCCAGAGACTACGCACCCTGATGTCATCACGCCCACAGCTAACGGAATGTGTAGCTTGTGAGTTCTTGCGTTTTCAACATCTCGGTTTTAATTACTAATATGATAAATATACACAGAGATAATCCATGCAAACTCAAACTCTTTAAAATCCTCAATAATTTTTAACAGTATAAAGGGGTCCTGCAACCAACCCATCCGAGAACTGCTGGGCTAGAGAGTGACTGTGGGGGCCGCTGTACCTGGGATGCCCTTTCATAAATGAAAGAATAAGGGCAGGAACAGATTTCCATCAACAACTGCCTACTCCTGTATCTCTGGACATCTCTTAGAACCCAACCCATTTTTCCACTGAAGTAAACACTTACTTAAAAGTTTAATTCAGGCCAGGTGCAGTGGCTCACGCCTGTAATCCCAGCACTTTGGGAGGCTGAGGTGGGCAGATCACCTGAGGTCAGGAGTTTGAGAACAGCCTGGCCAGCATGGTGAAACCCCGTCTCTATAAAAATACAAAATTAGCCAGAAGTGGTGGTGCATGCCTGTAATTCCAGCTACTCAGGAGGTGAGAATCACTTGAACCCGGGAGGCAGAGGTTGCAGTGGGCCAAGATCGTGCCACTGCACTCCAGCAGGGGCAACAAAGCAAGACTCTGTCTCAGAAAAAAATAATAATGAATAAATAAATAAAAGTTTAATTCAGCAGGAATTAAGAGTGATTCAGTCTAGGCTCAGGTCCCAGGCCTCACTGGGTAAACTCAGGCAACCACGTTGAGACTCAGTTTACTCAACTATGACATGGAGATCATATGAACAACACCCACTGGGGGTGGATGCTGTGAAACTTGATGAAAGGAGTATGTGAAATGCTCAGCAGGGCATGGAATACTGAGTAAAATCCAGTCGCGAGGCTGTGGGCAGTCACATCAACAAAGAAGGAAACCAATGTGCTTACAAAGCCCCCGTGAACATGCAATGCTGAGCCACTCATCACGCGGAGGGCAGAACGAGGTGGAAACCATGTGGCTTGAGACAAACTGCCTCACTTGAGTCCTGGTTCTGCTAACACTCAGTAAGTGACTCAATCTTTCTGGGCTTCTGTGAAAATGGGAGGAATGGCACACCTGCTTGAAGGCTTGTTGTGAGGATCAACCTGTGAGGGCCCTGTACGGGGTGGCACAGAGTGGGCGCTCTCTTCATTCAACACTTGGCCCTGCTCGGGAATCCAAGCCCCAGCAGGCACAGCTTTTTTTTTTTTTTTTAATTATACTTTAAGTTTTAGGATATATGTGCACAATGTGCAGGTTAGTTACATAGGTATACAGGAAGGGGAACATCACACACCAGGGCACAGTTTCTTACATTCTCAGAAGTGACAGGCAGCAGCTACGAGGCTGGGCTGCTCGGCCACCACCAAGCAGTGTCTCCACATTCCTGCCACTGGCTCCCAGGTGTGTCCCTGAGCCCGGATGAGTTGTCTGCTAGGGGCCCCTGAGAATGTCACTGCCTGCAGCTATCAACGGCCTTCACAGAAGCCTCTCCCAGCAACTGGGCCACAATGCAGCCCCAAGCAAAGGTAAGTGGTTCTTGTATATGCTTATCTTTCTGGCACTTTCTTTTTTTTTTTTTTTTTTGAGACAGTCTTGCTCTGTCGCCCAGGCTGGAGTGCACTGGGGCTATCTTAGCTCACTACAAACTCTGCATCCCAGGTTCACAATTCTCCTGCCACAGCCTCTCGAGTAGCTGGGATTACAGGTGCGTGCTACCACGCCTGGCTAATGTTTGTATTGTTAGCAGAGATGGGGTTTCACTTTCACCACATTGCCCAGGCTGGTCTCGAACTCCTGACCTCAAATGATCTGCCCACCTCAGCCTCCTAAAATGCTGGGATTACAGGCGTGAGCCACCACACCTAGCCCTCTCCAGCACTTTCTAACCAGGTCTCTACTGTGAGTAACAAGGAAGTGTTTCCTCGTGGGTCATGAGAAAAACTCTCTTGTTCAGGTAAGATCATATTTACAGGCTCACTGAGCATGAATCACTCTTCACAGAAGCCCAGAATCAGCAGCAGAGCTCTGCTCAAGCCCTAGCACTGCTCCACGTGAGCTGGTGACCTTGGGCTGCTCACATCTCCTTCTAGGTTCCCATCTTCTCATCTCTAAATGAAAGGTAATTCCTGTCCACCTTCCATGCAGGATGGCGTTTGAAAAGCATGAAATGGTAACTGGATAGCATGTGGAAAAAGACAATCTGGAGCCATACTTCACATCTATACCAGGAAAAACTCCAAATGGATAGAGAGATTTAAATGTAAAAACAGAAACTATAAAAGTCTGCCTGAAAAAAACACGATAAATTCCTGTAAAAGCTGGGAATGAAGAAAACCTTCCTATGACTCTAAAATCCAGAAGCAATAAGAAAAAATCAACACATTTAACACAGAAATAAAGTAAATCTTTGCAGAAACCAAGTGAAAAGATAAATGACAAATTGGGAAAAATATGTACAACAAACATTACAAAGGGTTAATATTCCTAGTATACAAAGAGCTGAAAATGGTTGAAAAAGACCAAAAATTCTATAGAAAAATAGGTTAAATAGTTCACAGAAAATACAAATGGCTCTTAACCACATGAAAAGAGAGAAATGCAATTAGAAGTACAGTGAGATAATATCACTTCTCATCTATAAGCCTGCAAAAATTGAAAAATTTGACAAAATACTCTGTTGGGGAAAAAAGGGTACTCATTCACTGCTGGCGGGAATATAAAACAGTAAAACCCCCATGGATGGGAAATGGCCGTATCAATCAAAATTCCGTATGCATTTACCCTTTGACTCAGCAATTCCACTTCTGGGAGTCTATTCCAAAGAGAGACTGACGAACACTCAAAAACATGCATGCGTAAGGCAATTCATTAAAGGGTTATGTGTAATAGCAGAAAACCAGTAACAACACAAACGCCCCTCAACCAGGGGCTAACTGAATATCCTACATGTAGTGCCAGGATCTGAATGTGTCTGTGCCTACGTAATTCATAGGTTGAACCCTAATCCATAATGTGATAGTGTCAAGAGGACACCCTTTTTAGGAGGTGATTAAGTCAGGGATTAATGCCCCGTAAGAGTGGCCTGAGGGAACTTGTTTGCCCCTTTCCGCCTTGTGGGGACACAGCTAGGTGGCACCATCTATGAAGCAGACAGCAAGTCCTCGCCAGACCCCAAATCTGCCAATGCCTTGATCTTGGACTTCCCAGCCTCTAGTACTGTAAGAAATAAATGTTTGTTGTTTATAAGTTACCCAGTCTAAGATACAAAATAGCAGCCCAAATGGCCTAAGACACACGGTATATCCACACAGAGGAATGCTGTGTCGTTATCAAAAAAGGAAAAAGGAGGATCGGAGGATATTGTTCCACTTACAGTTACATCTTTTGAAAACAATAAAGTTCTTATTCTGCCCACTGAAAAGGCCTAGAAGCAACAACCAACACAGTAGCTATGAGGCCAGATTTTTGTTTTTAATGCAGACTCCTGTGCTACACTTTCACCCCGTCAAGTTCAGAATCAGCAGTCCTGAGGCTGAGCCCTGGACTCTGTTTTTGCTATTGCTGATGTGTCTGTTTAATCATCAGGTGACAATACTGCATCTGAGCTTTAGGAATCACTAAACAATTTTATCAAGAAGGTAAAAGATACGTGTATGTTTTGTTTGTTCCACTGTTCCAGCCTATCGGATACAGGACAGACCGTATGCAACAGATACACATATTGCAAATAGTAAGGGCCACATATTGCAATGAATTAAGCGATAAGTTAAGTTTCTTTTAACCCACAGGTATTCTGTCCATCTGTTGTTGGTTTTTTTTTCCTTGCAATTTATTTGTCAAACAAATCAGGCTCCAGGTGGTTGTCCTGCATCCCTGTGGAGTCATTTGCGTGCTCCTGGGTCCTCCCTATTTCCTGTAAAGTAGCAGTTGGTTCTAGGGGTTTGCGTGGCCATGTACCATGTGCTCCCTCATGGAGAAGCACACGCCACACCAGCGATAGTGGTGTCCCTCCTCCCCCAAAATCATTCCTGAGCCACCGATCTAAACAATTACACTGCTCTTATTACCAGTTTCCTCCTCAAAGGGAATCGCAGGCATCAGTGCTCAGAAAAGCTAAAAACAATCTGGGGAAGCCCAGAATCCAGAAGGCAGAATGAGAAAGTGACCCAATGCCAGGAGCCCTTTAAATATCTGCCCTGCAACCTGCGACCTGGAGCACAGGTTGTATGGACATGCCTTCTTTCGCCACCCCATGGATTGTTTTGTTTTGTTTTGTTTTGTTTTGTTTTGTTTCTTCTGGAGAAAGGGTCTCACTCTGTTACCCAAGCTGGAGTGCAGGGGCATGATCATGGCTCATCGAGGCCTCAACCTCCCAGGCTCAAGTGATCCTCCCACCTCAGCCTCCTGAGTAGCCGGGACTATAGGTGCGTTCCACCACGCCCGGTTAATTTTTGTATTTTTTGTAGAGTTGGGGTTTTACCGTATTGCCTAGGCTGGTCTGAAACTCCCGGGCTCAAGAGATCCACCAGCCTTGGCCTCCCAAAGTGCTGGGATTACAGGCGTGAGCCACCAAACCCAGCCCATGGATTTTTTTTTAACTCCCTCTTTTACTTACCGTGGGATTAAAAATCAAGGTGATGTGTTTATGGTAGCCCACTGCGGTGAAAGAAACTTGAGGCAAGATGTAGTCATACTGGGATCTGGGGAGTGTGGAGTCCAGAAGCACAACATAGTTCTGTGCACACATGGGAAGAAGTTATTTTTATAAGGACAGCTCTGGCAAAGCAAATGAAAACTAAAACCTAACGTATGGCTGTGATGTAAAGAACTTTATGTTTTTAAAGAAATCCCCAAGACTACACATCCAAACCAAGGTTGCTGCCTTCAAAGTATCAACCTCAGCGGGCTATTCCATCAGTGGCGGGCATGTGTCCCCAGTGTCTCTGAGACTGTGGCTTCTGATAAGGCTGTCAGAGCCTGCAGCCTTTTTATGAGTACCCAACCTTGACAATTACGGTCCTCTGAGGATCTGACTTTATGAAACACAAAAAATTATTATGAGCCAATTCTGATGAGGGAGGTACGTGATACAACTGAGGATCCACAACGGGGCTGACTTCTAAGGGACGATGCTTGAGAGGCTCGTAAGCTGGCAAATCCTAAAAATACAGCATCCCTGGAACGGCACCAGGGGCAGCCACAGCTCTGTGTGCTGAGCACCGACCAGCTGCCAGGCACCATGCACATTGCATGAGGCCCGCGGCTGCTTTGCTTTCTACCACTGGCAAGGTCGGGATCATCACCCCGTCTTATAGACGAGGAAAGTCAAGCACGAAGAGACTAAGAGTAACTTGCCCAAGGTCACTCAGCTAAGAAGGCTGCCACACATCTATGAAGGCTCTGAACTCAGGGGAAGTGTGACCCCAAAGCCCAAGATGTTTCCGCATCGCTGTAGGAAGTGACTATTTCAACACCCCTGGAGAAAGAGGAGGAGAAAATTCCGTGACAGCCTGTTTCATTATTTCGCAGCCATTTTCCACAGAGAAAGGCCAGAGTAGATCATCTTCACGGCAGGTGGTAAGGAGCCAGGAGAGGAAACGTCACCCTCTAGGCTCACACTTGACATCCTCAGGCTAAGACCACCAGAAAAGAACCAAATTCTTTGCAAAGTTTGCACTCCCCACACCAACTACAAGTTAGCTCTGTCCAAATAGAATTGATAATAAGCACTTTATAATCAGTAAATGACGGCCAGAATAATGGCTGAAAACTTCCCAGTTCCAAGGAGGGAGACATCCAGATTCATGGAACCCAAAGGACACTGAAAAGGTGGAGCTGCAAGTGTTCTACACGACACACGTTATAATCAGATTATCAAAGACAGAGAGAACGTTCAAAGCAGCAAGAGAAAAGCAACTCATCTCATTCAAGGGATCCCCCATCATGAGGAAACTGTATTTCCCTAAACTCAATAGCAGAATGTTAAAATAGAGGAATTTTTAAAAATTACAAGGCATTTTTAAAAGTGGACTTCTTAGCAGGAAAGCATGGGGTGATATGTTCAAAGTGCAAGAGTCGATCATGCCCAACAGTAGGCCTTGGTTAAATAAATCATCGCGTTTCCTAGTTTATGGACTACTGTCCATAAAAATCATAGTATGAAAGATTTGGCCAGGCACGGGGGCTCACGCCTGTAATCTCAGCACTTTGGGAGGCCGAGGCAGGTGGATCACGAGGTCAGGAGATCAAGACCATCCTGGCTAACATGGTGAAACCCCGTCTCTACTAAAAATACACAAAAAAAAAAATTAGCCGGGTGTGGTGGCGCACGCCTGTAGTCCCAGCTACTTCGGAGGCTGAGGCAGGAGAATGGTGTGAACCCAGGAGGCGGAGCTTGCAGTGAGCCCAGATTGCGCCACTGCACTCCAGCCTGGGCGACAAGGCGAGACTCCGTCTCAAAAAAAAAAAAAAAAGAAAGATTTGATGATGAGGAACAGATTTGTGATAAATTCTTCATTGAAAAGCATGGATTACAAAACAATGTACAAAACAGTGTCAGTTTTGAATTATTAAAATAAATGTCTATTTATATTTATACATGCATGCGCACACGTGCCTGAAAAAAGACCCAAAGGATACCAATCACCATGTTAGCAGTGGCTATTTCTGGATGATGGGCTTATGTCTTCTTTTTCCCAAAATCTCCTGCCATGAATATGTATTCTTTTTGTAAACAGAAAAACAATGAAGAAAAAATAATCCCTACAGAACCCAACCTCTTTTGATTCAGAGAGCGCATTTCTGCAGAGTGGTATTTAGGGAGAAAAGGAGAGAACTGTGCTTCCTTAAACTAAACAGCAGAATTATTAAAACAAAGGCAGAAGGTAGAATCCGGCCACAGGCATTACCTCGCCATCTCTGAGCAGTGGGGGGAAATGGAAGAACAGGGACTGGCCAAGGGAAACTGTCTGGATTGGATTGTCGAGGTTTTCGCTTTTGTAAAGCTTGACCTGGAGGGAGAAACAAAGTCAGACATGCTTTGAAACTGAAACACAATCAATATTTCATAGCAGACATCCTCAGGACAGCCGCTCTCTGGGTAGGTGTCTTTGGAAACATGGATATTTGAAAAAGAAAGCTCCCTCCATAGACATCACACATCCCTCTGTCATCTGAGACTCCATCCAGTTATGTATCATGCACAGAAATTAAGATTCAAATCAGATTCTGACTACCCATGTTCTTGCTCAAAATAGTAATATAAGTTAATATAATAGTAATATTAAAAATAGCTTCTAACACGTGTTGAACATCTGTAATATGCCAGGCAGGCGCCAGATATTTTATCTACATTATCGCCAATCCTGACTACAAAACAGGTATTGTTATTATCCCTATGGAGACCCAGAGAGCCAAAGTCACCTAAGGTCACACAACTTACACATGGTAGAGCCTGGGACTCAACCCCCTGACGACTCCTGAGGGTCCTTCCCGCCTTGCACTGCCTCATCATATGATGTCACCTTAACTCCACCAATCTGTTAAACTCAAAACGCATTCCATCATGTACGTGGCTCTCCACGCTGCTTCAGGAGGCACTGGAGTACTTTGTTTCTGGCTTTATTTCTGGGGTTGTTGCCTGTTCTCACTCCCACACGGGATGGGGCATGAGCAGGGTTAAGGTGCAGCCCTGGCTGATGGCAAAGGCTGTGAGGATGCCACAGTGCACCTGCCGCAAGAGAATGCCAGGACCACCTCCCTGGGCCCACACTGGCACCTTTCTACATAACACACCAGGGGAATTTTCCTAAAATGAAAGTCACAGACTGAAGGTTATGGGTCGCATTGAAGATCCCTTATGTGTTCTTTTTTCTTCTATAACATCTTAAGTAAATCTGAATTCACCGACTATATTTAAAAATCAGGTGATTTCAAATAATTCTAATTTCCAGCTTCTCCGGAAAACTGGGAAGTGACACCAACCCTGAGCCTCAATTCTAGCACAGCAACACTCAGGAGCAAGAGAGTGGCGCCCTCCCCTCCTCTCTGCCTCTTCCCCTCCCTTGTGCCCCTCATGGATGGGGCAGGAGTTCCCCAGTTTGCCCCCCACCCTACCCAACCCTCTGCACTCTCTGACATTACCTGCCTGGTCCCTACAAGCACACGCCTGCAAGCCCTGGACAGAGTGGACTAAAGCGCACACACACTTTCTCACCCATGCCAAATACTTAACTGCTTATAAAATTACAAGCGCATCTTAACAATGTACCCCCAGAGCAAATCACTAACATCCGCAGAGGGTCTGCAGGGTATTTTATAAACATTTCTTCATTAATGGTAACATGGAGATTTTGTTAGAGCTGAACAAGATTATAAGAGGTCTCTGAGTCCAAAATCTAGGTTTTGCAGAGGACGAAGTCGAGGCATGTGGAAATGAAGTGACTGGCCCAGGCAGCAAGGTGAGTCACTACTGGAGACAAGAGAAAGCCCAGACCACCTGCTCTCCAGCCCACCGTCCACCACCTCTGATACTGTTTGGATATTTGTCCCTGCCCAAATCTCATGTTGAATTGTAATCCCCCGTGCCGGAGGTAGGGCCTGCTGTGAGATGATCGGATCTTTGGGGTGGATCCCTCGTGGCTTGGTGCTGTCTTCGTTATGAGTCTTGTGAGATCTGATCATTTAAAAGTGTGTGGCACCATGCCCCAACTCTCTCTTTTGCTCCAGCTTCTCCCACATGACATGCCTGCTCCCACTTCACCTTCTGCCATGATTGGAAGCCTCCTGAGGCCTCCCCAGAAGCAGACGCCACTATGCTTCCTGTACAACCTACAGAACGAGGAGCCAATGAAACCTCTTTTGTTATAAATTATCTAGCCTCAGGCATTTCTTTAAACCAATGCAAGAACGTTTAATACGACCTCCACTCCAGAGAAAATTTTAAGTTACAAGGCGCTTTCTTTAGAATTGGCTTTCCACGTTAGATTCCATATTGTATTGATCATTGATCAGGCTTCTACTATAATTCTTTGGAAGATTAACTGATGGCAGACAGTTATCTGAAACTGGACCACATTCTCTCCCACAACTGGCAATCACTCTCCCAAATACGTGTTGTGGTCCAAGGTTCTTAAATCTCAACCTCAACCCTCAGCAGGCGGCACTCTGGAGCACCTCCACCTGTCACACCTAAGGCACGAGACAGGCACAAAACCAAAAACATCCCATTCGTACTTGTCTCAAAGCCAAAGGGAACACAATACTTGGAGCTTAAAAGTCTGGACTTACCCATAACGTAGGAAGGTATTCAGAGGAAGTGATCACATTTCCACTTAAATCAAATTGATTAATCTGCCGGAAAACTATGATGTTTACATCATCGATGTCATTATTCCCAACCTAGAGAGAGAAAGAGGGAATGCCAGTAATGAGAAAGCTGGTGGAGGAACTTCTATGCCAGCTGTCCGATGGCCTGAGAGCTGCTTCATGGCAAACTTTGCTTCTTACATTAAGGAAGCTAAGTTTGTCATTGAGTACCCTACGTCCAAGGTCACAAACCGACAGAAGATGGCTATCCCTGGCCCATAGACACATTTCATTTCGAAAGCACAGTATTTTTTTTCTACGTTTGAATTACTTGCCAACATGTTAAAAATTAGGAAATTTCATATATGAAGCCAGATTTTCCAGCTTCTCTTAAAAAAAAAGGAGAAGGATGCTCTTGCCTGTTAGAGCAGGGGCATATCCCTGGCCCATAGACACATTTCATTTCGAAAGCACAGTATTTTTTTTCTACGTTTGAATTACTTGCCAACATGTTAAAAATTAAGAAATTTCATATATGAAGCCAGATTTTCCAGCTTCTCTTAAAAAAAAAGAGGAGAAGGATGCTCTTGCCTGTTAGAGCAGGGGCAGAGTCACAGCACCCCCTCTGCGTGAGGTCTGTACATGGAGTTTGCGAGATCCCAGAGGGCCGGCCCCCTTCCCTTTCATACCTGCCCGGCCACAGTCCACATTATGCTAGTGATCCTGGCCTAAGTTACTACACCGAGAACATGCAAAGCATTTTGGTGTGAGATGCAGTCATCCCAGCCATTTAAAATGCCAACACCGTAAAGACGTCAAGGAAATCCACTTCCGGCCCGGTGCGGTGGCTCATGCCTGTAATCCCAGCACTTTGGGAGGCCGAAGCGAGCAGATCACCTGAGGTCAGGAGTTCAAGACCAATCTGGCCAACATGGTGAAACCCCGTCTCTACTAAAAATACAAAAATTAGTCGGGTGTGATGGTGTATGCCTGTAGTCCCAGCTACAGGCTGAGGTGGGAAAATCACTTGAACCCACAAGGAGGAGGTTGCAGTGAGCCGAGATCACGGCACTGCACTCCATCCTGCGTGACAGGGTGAGACTCCATCTCAAAAAAAAAAAAAAGAAAAAAAAAAGAAAATCCACTTCCTAGGTCAAAAGTTCTATCCTCCCTCACAATCTTCATGCATAATGAAGCCACCTAAATAAAGCCACTAAGAGGCAGCCCCTCTTGCCCTACCTAAGCCCTCTAGTCTTCCCAATGAGAGTTACTCAGTAAGAGAAAAGCCTTACTTCAAATGATTCCCAGGCCACATTCTGTGACTCGAAGGATGTCCTCTTTAGGGATTAATTTAGCTAGGTCATGATCTTGAGTATCAAAAGACTCTGCCCACAAAATGGGAGCAGGAAAAAGGTCATCTGAACCTAAGATAACTGCGTGGCCCTGCCACCCATTAAGCCCATGTGCTATTATTGTCCCTTGATTTGAAATGCTGCTTAGGCCTTAAGTTCCTTAACTTGCAGAATAATGATCAGAGCTTACAGGGCAAGTTGCGGGGAGGATACAACAGTTCCAATTTCCTTTCTGGATGCATGACAGCAACGCTGTTCACTAAAAACCCACATAAGATTCTGCTTGTGAAGATGACACTATTCTAAGAGGACCCTTAATTAGGATGAAAGTTCCCCCCGCCACAGATGAAAGGCAGACAGCCAGAGGAGACGGGAGGACTTCTGATTAGGGAGGCACCCACACCCAGGTGCAGCGGCAGCACTGAATGCCTTACCTCAATCACCCTATGGTGGGGGAGCGCCCGCTCAATGTGGTCGTTGCCTTCTGCCTTGAGCTGAACGTGGTACACACATCCCGGCTGCAAAAAAACTCAGGAGTCAGTTCTCTAGAAAGGGGGCTTGTCGTATCGTGCCTGGTCCAAGCCTGGTTTGGCTGCACGAGATCATTAAGACAGGAGCATTTCTCTCCCCTCATTTCCTAATCTGTGGCCTGTTAACCTTAAGAGTCCAGAGTTCCTTTAAGAACACCCCTAGTGTTGAAACATCTGAAATTTTGCGACTCCTTCCATCCCAACTCAGTTTCATTTTCTCCTACCCCAAAATAAATCAAATTTGGTTTCTTATTTCAAAATTCCAAGCATACTATGTGCTCTTACTCTTCTAAGATGTTTTTCCTCTCCATCCACCCCTCCCCTCTACCCGTATATACACATTGATGGATATCTGGAATGTCCACCATAAGCATTCCCAAATGCTTGTGTTGGGTATTATTTCTGGGAAGTGGGAATTTCTGACTTCTCTTTTTAAAATTTCAAGGATCTGGCAACCCTGACTCTGTCTTCCCCCATGGCTACAATAAGCTGGAACCAAGTGACAGGCTGTCCCTTTCCACAGGCCGTGCCCACTCCACAGCCCTCACCACTCCCTATCATTTCGCACAGCCTCCTCTCCCCCGTTCATACTGCTCTTCTGGCTCCATAGGCGTTTGGCTTGAGCCCTGGCGTAAGCCATGGCCACACACTGCTAGGGAAAAGCCCTACCAAACCCATGGTTTTCCAACTCCATTGTGCCACAGATCCTTGATCTGACCTGTTGGCTAGAAAAAAGGCAAACTCTACCAATTAAAGGTAAGAACTGGGAGGGCTCCAGAGCCCCACCCCCAGCCCTCTCGCCCAACCCACTCCTAGCAGTCTTGGGGCCACCACAAGATACTTCTGGACACAGGATGAAAAAAAAGTCCCCAAAGAAAACACATTCCAAGTCTCACCAGCAATCCACGTAATCTGAACTTGCCCTCTTCGTCTGTCACGGTGTCTTCTCCGTAAATGCTGCAGTCGTTCTGGCCCACCGCTTCCATGGCAACCCCTTGTTCGGGCTCTCCGTTTAAGGAAGACACTGTGCCATAGCAACTAGTATGGCAAGAACAGGCACGAATGAGATATTCTCATGGTTATCTGAAGGACCCAAGTGTTTCCCGTTTACCAACAATTATGGGGCAAAATAGTTCAGGGGAGAACTGTGCCTCAATGACCCAGGCAACTCGGTGTGGCCGGCCCACTTTCAAACCACACCTTCCTGCCGGAGGGATAAGCTGCCATCAATTTCTTTTCTCATACATTTTGAGGGATGCTCTGGAAAATTGTAATTTAAGAAGGCTAAAGCTTTATTTTATTCTTTCTAGGCTTTATTTGAAATAATGGAGCTTTCAATAACATGGAAATAACTCACTTCCTCTTTCATTCCATATATTCAGTAGAAAATGGTCCATTTTTCTAAACCCAATCTTTCCAATTACTCTTCCTCTAAAGTGATTCTGTATAAGTCTACAAAAAATACACATATGTGTGTATCTGTGTGTATACATGTATATATGTATGCATCTCTCTATCTATAGATGTGTATCTTTTTTATTTTGTATTTTTATTTTTTTGTAGAGACGGGGTCTTGCTATGTTGCCTAGGCTGGTCTTGAACTTCCAGACTCAAGAGAACTTCCCACTTCAGCCTCCAAAAGTGCTGGGATTATAGGTGTGAGCCACTGTGCCTTGCCAGACACTCATGTGTATCTATCTATCTACAGCTGGGAGCATTCAGAAAAACTGGAAGTACTGGTTGTCTCCCAGAAGAGGAACTTGGGTGGCTAGGAGACGAGACAGAGGGGAAATTTTACACTATACTCTTTTCAGCATTTTGAAGTTTTATTCAACTGAGCACATTTTCTCCTTTTAATGATGTAATTCAGGTTTGAAACTCTTTTAAAAAATAAAAGTGGCCAGGCGCAGTGGCTCACGCCTGTAATCCCAACACTTTGGGAGACCGAGGCAGGCAGATCATCTGAGATCAGGAGTCCGAGACCAACCTGGCCAACAAAGTGAAATCTTGTCTCTACTAAAAATAGAAAAATTAGCCATGCATGGTGGCAGTCCCAGCTACTTGGGAGGCCAGGACAAGAGAATTGCTGGAACCCGGGAGGCAGAGGTTGCAGTGAGCCAAGGCTGCGCCATTGTACTCCAGCCTGGGCAAGAAGAATGAAACTCCGTCTCAAAAAATAAAAAATAAATAAAAGCTTTTAGCAACTCAATAGGCTCTCTCAAGCCAATTCCAAAATAGGAAATTTGAGACTGAACCACCAGGTTGAGCTCCTAGGAGAGAAGGGCAGCAGTCAAAACTCCTTTGCCCTCATATCTCATCTCCCTTCCCTCCCAAGTAAAATCAGTGTGAAGCCTGGGATGCGTTTCCAGGCAACAGAGGCCTGAATGTGATTCACCAGCCCAGCCCTGGAAGAGAGTGGGGTGGCCAGGGCACTTACCTGTAAGCGGTTCGGTACCCCGTGATGGTGATCTTCAGGTTCTGGCCTTCCTGCACCTCGATCATCTGTGAGGATGGCTCAAACCGGAACTCCTTCATCATGGGTTTGAAGTAATACTGGCCAGGGCTCTGCCAAGATAATCACACTGAGCCTCAGCAGCCACATCTAGGCATGGCTTAAAAGTGAGGGGCGAATGTCACGATGGACCAGAATTACACCAGGGGAGCGCCATGGCTTCCCTGGCAGCCAAAAATAGTAACCCTCTCTCTATAATCACCACTCACAGTCAGGTAGTGGCAATCACAACTCTAACAACGGCAGCTGATGGTATCACCTGCCTGCAATGACTCAGAGAGGTAGAAGTCATATTTAATTTTTCTTTTCTTTTTTTTTTTTTTTTCTGAGACAGGGCCTGACTCTGTCCCCCAGGATGGAGTGCACGATCACAGCACACCGTAGTCTCAACCTTCTGGGCTCAAGCAAATCTCCCACCTCGGCCTCCTGAGTACCTGGGACCACAGGCATGCACCACCATGCCCAGCTAATTTTTTTATTTTTTGTAGAGATGGGGTCTTCCTATGTTGCTGGTCTCAAACTCCCAAGCTCAAGCGATCCTACTGCCTCACCCTCCCAAAGCGGTGGGATTACAGGCGTGGGCCACCATACCTGGCTCATATTTGAATTTAATGAATAAAGAAACTGAGGCTCAGAGAGGCAAAGTAACTTGCCTGATAGGACACAGCAAGTAAGGAGCAGTCTGCATCACTGCAAAGTGGTGTCTTCAGATGCCCCCACTGCCCGGTCTCCAGTAGCCCCACCACAGCCACTTTGTCACCATGACTGACAAGATGACCAACTAACACACACTTCCTGAATCCCCACCAGTCAGGGCCTCCGACTGCATCTTGAAAGAAAAACTGCTGCTCTCTTCCCACCAAGTGGAATGTCTTTTCAGAAGAAACGCAAGCTAACCACCAAACAAGACTCAGCATCATAAACATGATTCTGTGGCAAAACGAGAAGACGCCTAAGAGAGCAGCCGTTGTGGCCAGGGAAATTAATTACACTGTCTTAGTGACAAGCGGGTGATCAGAAAACAAGAAGCGCGTGTGGAAGGGAACATGAATCAGCAGCATTAAGTTCGAGTAAGAGCAATACTCTAATGACCGTGGGCCCCCAAGAAACTGAAACCACTCCACATTGGCCTTCTCTTCTCACGTTGTCAAGCAACACATAAGTCTCGCATGCTGCATCCTGGCTCTCTCTCAGGGAAGACAGGCAGGTGGTAAATTGCAGAACACGTTACCAGGTTTGAGAATGTCAGAATGCCGTTGTCCTGGGTCAAGAGGTTGGAACGAAACAGGCCACCACTCAGGGATAAGAGGACTCCCGGGAGGGGCTGGTCATCCTCAGCTTTTATCTGGGGATGAGAAGGTGAGACCAGAGCAAGGTTAAACTCCTACTAACTATGAAAATAACAGTTCCACAAGTCAAGAGGTCATTTTTTCAAGGTTTTTTTCTTTTATTGTTACTCAAAGGAGGACAGGGGACCTAATCTTCCTCCCCACAGGTAACTACTGTTGTAAGTTTTGTAAGTTTGGTGTGTAGCCTTCTAGAACTTTTTTTTTTTTTTTTTTTGAGACAGGGTCTTGCTCTGTCACCCAGGCTGGAGTGCAGTGGCACAACCTGGGCTCACTACAACCTTCGCCTCCCAAGCTCAAGCAATCCTTCAGCTTTAACCTCCTGAGGAGATGGGACTATAGGCGCACACCACCATGCCCAACTACATTTCTGTATTTTTTATAGAGACGGGTCTTGCCACGTTGCCCAGGCTGATCTCAAACTACTGGGCTCAAGCAATCCACATGCCTGGGCCTCCCAAAGTGCTGGGATTAGAGGCATGAGCCACCGTGCCCCGCCCAGAACTCTTTCTATGCCCACACAAATTTTATAAACATTACATATTATTGTTCACAGACTGGCAAGTTCATTGAGTGGGTGGAGGAGGTGAAATAAAAATGGCATGTTATATGTACAGTTCTGCAACTTGCTCTCTTCCTCAACAATTTATCCTGGTTCTCTTCTGCCAGCCAATAGAAATCTGCCTGTTTCTTAACTACTGCATAGCATTCTAAGGCAGGGTTTGACAAACCACAGCACCTACTCTTGTGGTACACAAGAGACAATTGGAATATCCCCAAATATGTATCTCTAGGCACTTAGTTTTATTTCCTGAACAATCCATTCCTAGAAGTAGAATTGTTGGATACATGCACTTTAAATTCAGAAAGATACTATCTAATTGCATTCCAAAGTGGCTGTAACCACTTACAGTCCCATAAATTATTTATGCTTGGGAAAACCCACACTTACCAAAAAATAGAGATTGTCTTAATTACAGCAAATCTAATCCCTGCAAAACAGTGTTTCGACTGTAACTTCCTTAGCACATTTCCTCAGTAACTACAGAGGCTTTGTGTTTCTGTGTTTATTAGTCACCTGCGTTACTTCCATGAATTTCCTTTTCATAATCTTTGTTCATTTTTTTTCTAGTGGGTTGTCTTTTTCTTACCAATTTTAGGAGCTCCTTGTAAAATGGGGATATTATTTATGATACAAACATTTCTTCCGAGTTTGAATATCTTTCAGTTTGGTTCCAAATGTATTCAGCAATATAGAATTTTAAATTTTTATGCGATGTAATCTGTCACTCTTTTCCTTTGGCCTATAGTTTATAAATATTCATTCTCAACGATCTCCAGACCCACTCTGTACAATCGCAGCACGCTTCTTCCCAGAAAGGACCGGTGGAAGGGAGCTAGGCAGCAAACGCCTCAGTAAGAACATTCTGTGTCCTTCAAAATGGAACAGTTATGGATGACAGCTTTAACTACTTCCCAGAAGGTACACAAACATGCTAAAGTCAACAGCTCTCCAAATTATGCTACGTGAAAGAAGTCAGACCAAAAAAAAAAAAAAAACAACAGTATATCCTGTTTGATTCCATTTATATACAGGTTGGTGCAAAAGTGATTGCGGTTTCTGCCATTATTCTCAATGGCAAAAACCACAATCACTTTTGCACCAACCTATAAAAACTCGAAAATGCAAACTAACCAATGGTGATGAAAAGCAGATCATCAGCTCAGCGGAAGGGTGGCAGGGAGGGATTACCAAGGGGCAGGAGGAAACCTTGAGGGCCACAGATGTGCTATTTTAATTGTGGAGGTGTTTTCATGGGTGTATTCCTAGGTCAAGACTACCACACTGTACCCTTTTTGTGCAGTTTATTATATGTTAATTATACCTCAGTATAACTGCCTTTTGAAAATACAGTGTTAGTTACCTCAAAGCTTACGCCTGCCAGGGCATAGGCCTTGAAGTCTCCGATGGTTCCTTCCACTGCAGTCAGAACATAGCCCTCCTTCTGTGAGGTCACCGTGTACTCCAGGTCACTGTGCAGGGGGCCAACACTGAAGAGGAGAGAGCAGAATGCTAGCAACGGCTTTGTTCACACCCTGCAGGAAGCCTTACCAAGCCCAAGGAAATGTGGGCCCCAGTTTCTTCAGAGGACTCCCACGCTGATCCCAGGCAAATGTGTCTCTATCCCGGGCTCACCTGTAGGCACCTTTGTCATCAGTAAAGACTGTGATCAGCGGTGAACTTGCCCCCTTTTCACTGATGACAATCTCGACTCCTTCCAACTCGGGGTGGATCTGGCCTTCTAAAAACAGGCCTGCCTTCCCGTGGATCTCGATCAGCTTCCCTGGGCAGCTTTCTAAGAGGGGAAGAAATAAACACAAGGATGGGGCTTGGTAGCAGAGACAGGAGCTTCTTGGTTGGGGGTTTCCCATGACAAAAGTGGCTAAAACAGATCTTAGAAGCTAGTTCCAAATGCGGTTATTTAACACCCCGGGGAGCTCAATAATCGGATACAGCCCAAGCCTCTTTCCATCCCTGAAAGGCCTTTCTCAGTGTGAAGGACTTTAGCAAGAGAATCAAAAAACGCTGAAGGCTGGGTTTTTACTACTACTCTTCCTAGGTTCTCAGGAGGCCACAGATCAGGAGGGAACACTTTACAGCAGACAGGAGGCCGTGCTGCTCAGCCTCTGGAGGACCCACTGAGAAAGACCGCCCCAAACAGCCTGCCTGCTAGAAGTCACGCTCTTCAACACCCTCTGCTTCCAAACGCGAACCACATAACACCCACAACTTAACGAAGCCAGAGTGCTGGGAAAAAAATAATAAGTGGCAAAAGACAAATACTCCACAAGTGATCACTTCAGTCATCCATTCCCCAAAAAAAGACCCTCCCATCATGCTCTGCCAAACAACAGAAAGATCATTAAAGATCATCACTGGCAGCTTTGTGCTTCATCTACCTTCTGGTGTCGACCTGATAATGTCAAAGAAAACCAAGTCCTTTTCCAAAAAGATCAACTCAATTCTAACAGCAAAAGTTACTTTTATTTATCTAAATCATTCATTCATCCATCCATCCATCCATCCATCCATCCATCCATCCAACCCAACCATCCATCCATCCATCCATCCATCCATCCATCCAACCAACAGTAACATCTGTGTGCCAGAGAGGATGTAAGGTGGCTTACAAAGATGGCTTCACTATAACATCACAAATCTACTTGTAAATGCAGGCAAGGGAACAACTGCAAAGGTGTGTGTGACATTCGCTCGCTGAGTTGACATTTACCTCCACTGACAACGGCTTCCATTGAAGGGGGATAAAAGAGCAGCTCTTTAGATGACGGTGTAACAGTGATTTTCTCTCCAGACCTAAAATAATTAATATACTTCAGTTTGGCGGGTCCTGTCCCCACAAAACAGAGGACACTGTAGGGAAACGCACAAGAGAGCTTACCGCGCCCAGTAAGAGAAATCATACGAGAAGGGGCCTTGTAACTCATCTACCATCTCCTGCACGGGAGGCTTGGTCATTCTTTCTTCACCTTCCTCATTGCCGTTTTTCTCCCTCTCCTGCCTGCGGGCCTCGATCTCAGCCAGCTGCTGCTCCCTCCGCAGCTCCTGCACAGACTTCAGAGGGCCTAAGACCAAGGCGGGTTCACTGTCGATGGAAGACCTAGAAGAAAGAAATGGCGGCCCCTAGGACGTGGTTGCGTATCCTTGTGGTCAGTGGGAATTTGACCTTTCTACGAGTATGGACTTGCGAGTTACAAACTGGACATCTTATCATGACACCACAGTGGCGGAGTCTTCTGTTTTAAATAAACTAGTAGTTTCACAAAAAATAACAACTGAGCTTCGCAGTGATGGTGGCAGTATCTGGTAGATCTGGGCTGGAATGAAATACGGTTGATTTTATGGCGACTGGATATAAGCTTGTAGCTTCCATGTAGGACACGGAGTTTTCTCCACACCACCATCCTCTGTTCTCCATTCTACCTTCGCTGAGAACTGCTCTGATAGAGAACTAGGCACCAAGGATACAGCATCAACAAAACAGACCACACTTCCTACCCCTGTGGAATCCACGTTTCAGTGGGAAGGGGCTGAAAATAAAGAGAAAAATAATACCAGAGGAAAAGTGCAATAAAGAAAAATAAAGCAGTGTGGGAAGACGGAGAGCCCGGAGCACTGTTTTACATTAAAGGGACAGTCAAGGCCTTTCTGATAAGGTGACATTGAGCAAAGGTCTGAAGGAAGGGAGAGAATGCGCCACGCAGCTCTCTGGGTAAACAGTAGCTTGGGCAAAGCGATGCCAAGTGCAAAGTCCTTGGAGAGAAAGCTCACTCAGATGTTCAAGCAATGGCAACACCAGTCCAGCCTGGGGCACAGGGGCCCACGGAAGAGTCATATCCAACAGAGAGGTCCAAGGGGCAGCAGATGTCAGACTGAGGCTTCACAGGCTTGGTGCCGACCTGGAGCCACTGGAGTTTTCAGTCGAGGAATGGTATGATAAAAGAAATCGTTCGCTCCTTCATGGAAAATACACAAAGCAATGGCGGAAACAGGAAGGCCAGCTGAGAAGCTGCTGCAGTGATCCCAGAGGGGGGTCAGACCAGGGCTGAGGGCCACGTGGTGAGAAGGGAAGGCCAGCTGGGAAGCTGCTGCAATGATCCCAGAGGGGGTCAGACTAGGGCTGAGGGCCACGTGGTAAGAAGCAAAGCCCAGCTGGGAAGCTGCTGCAGTGATCCCGGAGGGGGTCAGACCAGGGCTGAGGGCCACGTGGTAAGAAGGGAAGGCCAGCTGGGAAGCTGCTACAGTGACCCCAGAGGGGGGTCAGACCAAGGCTGAGGGCCAAGTGGTAAAAAGGGACTAGATGATGGGTGTATTTTGATTGTAAAGCCAAGGCTTTGTTGGGGAATTGGCTGGGCCTAGGGTTCAAGGGAAATAAGAATCAAGAAACAAGGAGAAAGCGGGAGCTGCCATATCTGAATCAGAAAAGACCACAGAGGGGCTCATGGAGGGCAACTGTCAGCAGTCGGGTTTTGGGTCTGCTGAGTACACGATTCCCAGGGGAATCCGAGTGGCTCTGTCTAGCTGGAAGATGCATTCCATACAACCTCCGGCACAAGCAAGCAACACAAACACCCTTGTGAAGTTACAAAAATGAATGTAATCAAGCTGAAAGGAGGTAACATGCAGTTACTACTGGTAAGAAGGTAGATTGCTAGTCCTATCAGTAATTCATACTTTCCAAGCAGGGAGACAGTAAATGATAGTAAAAGACAGCAACAGACCTTCAGCAAATCCACCCCCAGCTAAAAACCTGGCTCCCCATCACCAGAAACCAGGGCCAGCCCTGACATTTCTCCCGCCCTAACCCAGTGGTCACTTTAGTGCCATGTCTCATCAACTCAGTCCCTCAACGACTCTCCGACCAGTCCGTCGCTCTCCATCTCCGCAGCCACTAGTCTGGGGCCCCCATTGCCTCCCCCTGCCTCCACCACCTCCCACTCTCAGGCCTCTTCTGTCTGTTCTCCACTCGGCCAATAGGGGGACCTTCAGGAAGAAAAATGTCATTCCTCTATGTAAAACATGTCAATTGCATCATGGGACAAAGACTATGGACCTTAACATGGCCTGGCCCCCCGCAGCCTACCTGTCCTGCATGCCCCCAAGGTCAAGCTCAAAGCACTCAGAACAGTTGTCATTTTACGGTTCTGCATGTGAGTATCTGACCACTGTTCCCCCCATGAGACTGTCAATCCCATAAGTGTAGGGGCTGTGGCCTCATAAGCCCAGTGCCTAAACACTGAAGACTCTCAGTTTTTCAGTCATCATGTACTCTGCAGGGATGACGGATGGATAAACAGATGGTGGACAGAAAGATGGAAACATAGCTGGAAAGGTGACTTCAACCAGGGGCAGGAGGGAGACAGGGACTGCAATGCCCATTCTACTTGACAGAGACGGTCATGTTGCCAAAACTCTTTCATTTCTCAAGAAAATTGGGGCGTCACAGGTACCTCACCACACTGCAAAAATTCCCTGAAAGGTGACATTCACATGAACGTGACCTTCGGTGAGGGACTTGCCTTTCAAATACTTCCTCTCTCACGACCCTTCTCTTATACCAGGTGCCATCTCTATTTCCCAAGCCTTCAAGCAAAAGTCTAAAGAAAAATAGGCAATTTGAATTTGCTAAAACACTTGAAATACAATGCACAAACCCCAGAGATTTTTTTTTTCCTTAGCAAAGATGAGAAGTACAAAGAGTTCAAACAGAAATTGAAGACACTGAAACAAGCTGTCGCAACGCTCTTCCTCACCCACAGGTAATTTCTGAATCAGAAAAGGAAAGGATCAAGGCTGCTGGGAATTGACGGCAATGTCCTATAAGAGAGGGAAGGCCATTTGTATATACATCTAGAGATAAGAAATCAAAACTAATTTCCAGAGAGCCTATTAGAGACTCCCCAGGCCTCATCCACACCCTCTCCCGCCACTCTCGGCCCACTGCAGAACGCTCATCTTACTTGATAGTCACAGTGACATCCATCATTTTGTCGGTGGTGATAGTTCCAAGGACATGGTGGCGAATGGCTGTCAATGTCAAGATACTAGGTGAAGACCTACAAATCAAAGCAGAGGAAACGCTAGAACCTACTCATTCTCAGAAGATCATCAGCAATACCCTTTTTGGGCATCCTTCTTCACCCTAAATATACTACAGAAAATTGCTTTTAGTCTGGGGTAAAATAACTCTGGAGATCCAGAGAAGTATTTTAAAGAGTAAACTAATTCTCCACTCCACAACTTTATGCTTCCAATTCCCAGTGAAACCCACACACGTCTGTAAAAATACAAAAATGGCAGACTTGAACTTGACAGATGCCCATCGGTGAGGGCTGGGAGATTTGACAAAGCTTCTATTTAAGGCACTTCAAAAACACAGCCCTCTATCCTGGGGTTACAGAATTCTTGGGAAAGGGATCCTGTCTCCGGTTCCTCAGTAACTAATCCAAGTGTCTTAAAATCCTTATCTAGAAATGCTGTTGAAGGCCTAACCTTGCCTCTTTCAGAAAAAAAAACAGAAAAACTCCTTTTGTTCTCTGAAGTAAATGAAGAATCCTCCACGGAATGTATACAAACACCACAAAGCATTCAATTCCCAGGCTTACGTGTCATAGGTGTAGAACGCTTGCTCAAACCGGTGGCAGGAGCGAGGGGTCACTTTGTACACACCTACAGACAGGAAATCAAAAGTAATTTTCAGAGAATGGCATCTATTACACTGAGCAATTCCGACATCTGAAATCGAGTGGCAGCTCTTTGCATGTGAAAACTCAAACGTATCGCAGATCTGCAATAATGGGATCAGAAATACTGGGCAGGCATCGTTTTCACTGCCTATGAAGGCGTCTTACCAATGACCCGATCCATGCAATGGCCCGATCACAGGCGCATGATTTTCATTTTCCATAAGGTAACAACTCACAGTAGTTAAATCTGCACAGACCAGGTGAACGGACCCATGCACGAGAAGGAACAGAAAGTACGTTTCTACTGCAAATTGGACTGAGGATAATTTCCTACTTAAAAGATTCTATTAAGGATCCAAGAGATAACCACAGCCTCAATTTCTTCCTATAAATATTCCTAAAAAGGAGGTAAGGAGTAAGGGAAGCCCCAGAAAAGTGTGAGTCTGTGTGGGAGGACACTCCGAGTAGGGGTACATTTCATCACTTGCCAGAGGAACACAGTCAATTTCAGGAAGATACAAGGAATAACAATGTATTTCCCCCAAATCATCATTAACCAATATTTTGGCCACACTTCCTACAAAAACCTGAAATTAGCTAAAACCACCCTGCTGTTTTCATTGCACTCAACAAGCCCCAGAGTAGTTACCATCAAAAAAAAAAAAAAATCAGGTTTCTCTGTTTGTTTTGTTTGGTCTTTCATTCAACAAATATCGACAGAGCACCTCTTCCTGGCCAGGTATTATGCTAGGTACTGGTACACAGTGGGGAATGACAGAGCAGTGGTCCCTGTCTTCATGGAGTTTACCATCCACAGAGAGGGGGAGCATTTGACAGCCACAAACATATCAATTGTGGCACATGCAAGAAGGGGATAGAAGTGAGTGCTGAGAGCAAGAGTGTAGGAGGCAGGCCTAAGTGGCCCTGGAGGCCATCCTTCCCCAGGGAAGCAATACTGAACTGATGGGTAAGAAGGCCCCAGCTAGGAGGGGCAGGAGGACATGTCCACAGAGAACAGCATCTGCCTCACAGGCTGGCTCATTGTTTCCTCAACAGGCATCCTTCCTGCCTTGAGAACAAACCCTGGTTATGTTGAGGGTGGCAACGTGCTCAGCCTCGGGTAGCACATCCAACTGTCCCAGCCTCCCTTGCAGCTAGAAGTAACCATGTGGCACGGTTCTGGCCAATAATACAGACAAGTAGCTTACTGGAGGAGGGGGCGCAAGGAAATGTTTGCCTGCCCTCTCCTTGACTTTCTCCTTTAAACATAAGTTTTCTAACAACAGCCATCTTGAAAATACAAGGCAAAAAATAGAAGGGAAAGGCCTAAAGAATCACAAAGACACCACCCCTAACATCTACCAGCTGCTGAACCCATGCTGGCAGCCACGCACTGCCACACTTCTTTATTGAGCCAAATAAACTACCACTTGCCGATGGCACTGCTGTATGGATTTTGTTACATGTAGCCAAAGGCAGCTGAACTGACACCCAGAAGGACAGAGTGGCTGGAGTAGAGACAGTGGCAGACAGGGCTGGGTTACACAGGAGCTAAGATCAGGTTAAGGAGTTTGTATTTTATCTTGGGAACCAAACAGAGGAGCCACTGAATTATTCATTAGGAAAATGCAAAACAAAACCACCATGAGACACAACTTCACATCTACCAAGATGACTATAATAAAACAGACAATAACAAATGTTGGCGAAGGAGGTGAAGAAACCGGAACCCTCGTGCATTGCTGGTGGGAATATCAAATGACACAGCCTCTGTGGAAAACAATTTGACAGTTTCTTAAAAGGTTAAACATAAATTTATTACACAATGCAGCAATTCCATTCCTAGGTATCGAAACAAGAAAAATGAAAACATACGGACACAAAGACTTGTACAAGAATGTCCGTAACATTAGTCATAACAGCGTCAAACTGGAAACCACTCAAATATCCACCAACTGATAAATGGATACACAAAATATGATATAACCACACACCAGAATACTACACAGCAATGTAACAGAACAAACTACTGATATGTGCCATGACACAGATAAACTTCAAAAACATGTTAAATAAAAGAAGCCAAACAAAATACCAGCATCGTATGATAAACGTCCAAAAAAAGCCAATCCATGGGGACAGAAAATAGATCAGTGGCTGGCCATGGCTAGAAACAGGGATTAACTGTCAATGGGCACAGAGGATCTTACATTGTGGGTGATGAACAAATCTAAAACTGGATTCTGGCCGTGGTTGTGCAACTTGATAAATTTACTACAAATCATTTTATTGTACATCTTAAATAGGTGAGTTTTACGATATGCAAATTCTGCCTCCAAAAAAATCCATTATAAAAGAGAGAGAAGGTTGGGTGCAGCAGCTCACACCTGTAATCCCAGCACTTTGGGAGGCTGAGGCGGGCGGATCACTTTAGGTCAGGAGTTTGAGACCAGCCTGGACAATGTGGTGAAACCCATCCCTACTAAAAATACAAAAATTAGCCGGATGTGGTGGTGGGCACCTGTAATCCCAGCTTCTCGAGAGGCTGAGGCAGGGGAATCGCTTGAACCCAGGAGGCGGAGGCTGCAGTGAGCCAAGATCAAGCCACTACACTCCAGCCTGGGTGACAGAGCAAGACTCCATCTCAAAAAAAAAAAAGAGAAAAAAAAATGAGAAAGAGCGAGAAGCCACTGAAAGATTTTAAGCAAAGTGGGAAATGATTCCAATTTTAAAACAGCTCTATAAAGAGAGGCCATTGGCCAATGGTATATTTTTGGAGGTGAAAGGGCCCAGTGGTGTCTACCCAACTCAAACCCAAGACAGACAGAAAAACAAGAGCAGGTTGAACACACAGAAATTGAAAGCTTGATGCAAACAGAACTAAGGTAGAAAAAAATGCCTTCAAAACCATCCTCTGGTGCCTTTCCATTTTTCTAATTCATGGCACATCAATCCTTCCAAACTTACCAGGCTTGGACAGGCAGAATCGGTTGACTCCTTTGGAGAGGTTATAAATCCCCACATTCTCACGCCCATTTCCATCCTGATAAAATTCCTAAGGGAGCAAAGCCAATACAATGACTTACTAAGAGAGATGGAGACACCAAGATGATTAATAATATTTCTCTTTCCAAACCAGTCATCTGTTTTGCCCATTAATCATTGGAGCAGTTGGGTGCCACAGGAAAATTAAAAACCTCCCAAAACTTCCAACAAAAGTGTGCTATTTTTCATTCAATCAACTAATATTTATTGAGCACCTGCTATGTGACAGACACAAGGCTGGGCCTTGGGAGTCATGACCATGGCTCCTGCTCTCACAGGGCTTATGTTCTAATACAGGAAGACAAAATCAACGCATCAACAAATAAATTAGTGATCTCAACTGGTCAGTAACGAAGCTGTGAAAATAAACAGGAAAGCAAGAGAAGAACAATCCCCACCTAGGGGTCTTTAGCTCGCTGGTCCCAGGGCACATCTCTCCTGAACAATAGGGCTGCGCCTGAATGAGGAGGAAAAACCAACAACACGTGTTTCTGGAGAAGACACAGCACTCCAGGCAGAGGGGAGAGTATGTGCAAAGGCCCCGAGGAGGGAGTGAGCTTGGTGTGGGACTGCAGAGGACCACTGTGGCTGGGGCCCGGCGAGTGAGGGGACAGTGGGAGGAGATAAAGAAGGGGTTAAGGAAGTGTCAAAAAAAAAAAAAAAAAGGATCTTATTACAAGAGAGCTGGAAATCCACTCCACTGCTGGAAGGGAAAGGTTTCCTAAATATCTATCACTTATTATGAACCGGATATTAATCGATCTCCTATAACAAATCGACCTGTCAAGTTTTTGTAATTAAGCAGTTAGGGGAGTAAGTTGGCACATGAAACACCAGTTCCAATTCTTCTAGTTTCTCTACAGAGAAACTAAGACCTGACGATGACATCTGCCGCCACTCAACATCAAAACATTATAGAAAATTCACGAAGGGATCTACAGAGGTGCTCCTGAAACCCATTTCACACTGCCTTTCAGGCCACAGAGACCACAATCAACAAGAAGCTAAGATCCTGTTTACAGCTTCTTCCCCTGCGCTGGAACAAATACACCAGAGAAGGTGGGGCACAATGGCTCACGCCTGTAATCCTAGCACTCTGCGAGGCCAACACAGGTGGATCCCCTGAGGTCAGGAGTTTTAAGACCAGTCTGGCCAACATGGTGGAACTCTGTCTCTAACAAAAATACAAAAAAAAAAGAAAAAAAAAGCTGAGCATGGCGGCACGCACCTCTAGTCCCAGCTACTCGGGGGGCTGAAGCAGGAGAATCGCTTGAACTCGGGAGGCGGAGGTTTCAGTGAGCCGAGATTGCGCCACTGCACTCCAGCCTGGGCAACAGAGCAAGACTCCATCTCAAAAAAAAAAAAAAAAAAAAAATACATATATATATATATATATATATATATATATATATATATATATATATATATCAGAGAAACTCACTTGGCAGTACAGAGCGGTGTACACCAAGGACACTTTGATACCTAAGAGGGTTCACTTAAGCCCTGCCATAACCCTGAGAAGTAGGTATTAAGATCTCAATTTTCGGTGAAAACTGAGGCTGAGAAGCAGTAAATGAATTTACCCGAAGCTATTATTACTAATAATATAAAGCCAGTGTGCTCTGCACTGTACCAAAGGTCACCCCGAATCACCAGTCAGATTTAGTGTAGGGCCAGGACAAGGAAACCTCCTAAATACAGGGGTCCTTCCACTGAGAGAGTATAAATGCTTCCTGATTATGCGTTGCGTAACAGGTGGGCGAGTGGAGAGGCAGAAAAGGAAATCTGACTTGCCTACGTTTACAATATTCCTGGGATGTTAGTCTTTCTTGACATCCACAAGGCGAGCGCTTTTCCAAATAAGAGACTCCATAAGCCGTACATACCAGAGTGATGGCGTGAGACAGGGAACATCTCAGCATGTAGCCCGTCTGCCTGAACTCAACTGCAGACACGTCATCCTCCAGCACTTCCACCTCCAGGCTCTTGTTCTTCCAGCACCAATCCTCATGCATGATGCTTACTGCAAAAGCAAACACCAAAAACGGATACATGGGCGTGGAGCACACCACCTCCCTGCACGCCACCAGAAACAATGATCATGAATTAACTAATTTTAAAAAGCAGGTGTGTATGTAGACATAAAGATAGAAATATACACATACATATATTTATAACTAGCAGTATTTGGAATAAATTACTGCTAAAGAAAACCTGGAGTCGAGCGTGGTGGCTCATGCCTATAATCCCAGCACTCTGGGAGGCTGACGGCAGTTGGATGGCTTGAAGCCAGGAGTTCAAGACCAGTCTGACCAACATAGCAAAACCCCATCTCTACTAAAAATACAAAAGTGATCCAGGCATGGTGGTGCATGCCTGTAATCCCAGCTACTCGGGAAGCTGAGGCAAGAGAATCTCCTGCACCCAGAAGGCGGAGAGGTTGCAGTGAGCCAAGGTCGCGCCACCACACTCCGGCCTGGGTGACAGAGCGAGGCTAAATTTCAAAAAAAAAGAAAGAAAAACTGGAACCAATTTCCATTACATCAAGAAAGAAATCTAATGGGGCCTGTAAGATCAGGCTGCAAGTAAGGTATTCAGGGATCCACAAACTTTTTCTGTAACTCTTTTCAGTTTTGCAGGCCACATGCTTTGTCAGCCTCAACCACTCGACTTGGCCACTGTTACACACGAGCAGCCATAGAGAATCCATAAACAAATGGGCAAGGCTGTATTCTAAGGAAACTACGCTTATAAAAGGCAGTTTTTGTAGTCTGCCAAGCCCTGCCATAACAGAAAATATTAATATAATTCCAGAAAAAGCAGTCTGTTTTATGAGCTATCCACTGCCAGCAGCCCCAAGCTGATTTCTGAAAAAGCAGAAATACAGGCAAGAAGTGGCTTCTTAAGAAGGGCAAGGAAAAGGGAAGTAACATTTGTGGGCACCAGCTACTTAGCTGGCTCTCTGCACAACGGGCTTTATAAACTTTACTTCTTTTAGTCTTATATTCTGCAGAAAGGTTCCATTACGTCTATTTTACAGATGGGAAAACTGAGTTTCAGGGAGGTCAAGTACCTTGCCATGGCCAGTACTCAGCACCAGTACTGCTAAGTTAGTAGAACACATCAGTGGAACTATTTCACACTCCTTTCTCTGGGCTTTAGAAATAAAATGCCATACGTCGGGGCACCCTCCCTTAACAGAAGCCGCCAGTGGGCTGTGCAGACAAGGTGGCGGTCAGCTCAGGGCCTGGACTCCTCCATGCTTGTCCAACGCTAAATAATGCAGTCAAGGTCACGAGGCAAAGACGACTTAAAACAAGGAAAGGTACATGGTCGTGATACAATTTGAGACCTGAGTTTTAGAAAGTTTACAAAGACAAGAAGTGTGTGAGGGCCACAGGATGTTGCATTCCAATTCTTACTTTTGTATTTTCCAGGGAGCACGTTGTCAAAGGTGAAAGTCATGGCGTTGACCTTGCCGGAGAGCTGGAGGCTCCGCTTCTCACCCTGGCGGCTCAGGGACTGTAGAGTCACCAGCAAGTCACCACAGGTGTCTGCAGGGAAAAGAAGGGAGGGCTCCATGTGACCCCTTATAAGGCTTCAGCACAGGTTCGAATCCTAACCCTATGTAATAGCTTCTTGCTACTGCTGAGCTCCTAAGAGGCAGTGGCCGGAGGCAGACGGAGTGCTTCTTTCAAGCTAACATGCACCCACTTGACTCCAAGAAGCCTCCCTCGCACGCAGGTGATCAGTAGCAAACAACAAAGGCAAAAGGAAAAGTTTCCCAAATCCCACTCCTACTGGCTGACTTCTTTGAAACTATGTGTTCTTACTTTCCAGTGATATCTTACCCAAACAAGAGACTTTCCCAGAAACTGATGCCAAGAACTGTACAAAGGCCACATCCATCACGGGCCTGTCGGTCACAGTAAGAGGAAATGTCTGGGGTTTCAACGTCAGCCCTGCTCTGGTTTCTGCCTCAGGAACCATCACCTGCGGAAACGTGGATGGAACGTTAGAGGCTGCATTCGGGGAGATCTTCCCCCTGACCTACAGGGCGCTAGAACATTCATCTGGGACTAAGGCTAAAGAGATTTTGAAGGCCAAAGGTTCGTTTCCAGGCCAATTTTACAATCACAACAAATCCACGAATAACTTGTGTGAAGTAAGCACAGTTCTACCCAGATGAAAAATTAGCCTCAACAGACCGATGTGTATGAACAAAAGTCTATCTGGCCTAATTCCCCACAGGCCCGCAACGCGGACACGCCTCACTTACATACTAGAAACCATACTACATCCCAGTCACTTTTCCCGGCTTCGGATCACTTGTAGCATAAGCTCTGAACCTGTTAACACTATGTGGATGACACTTTGGTGGAATTAAGTCATTTTCTTCCTCCTATTGTTCTGCGTGCCTTTCATGGGCTAAGAAGAGGAACAGGTGAAGGTAGCAGCGGTCAACTCTTTCATCCCTAGTAAAGACGACACTGCCCTTCCTTGGAGAAGTCCATCATGCTTCCGAAAGGGCTTCCAAAGACTTGTCAATGTGGACATCTTCGCAAGAAGCCAGCTACCATCTAATAAAGGCAGCTGTCAACCCACACACCACGCTGTTCTGTGGAAGCAGGGAGAACGCAATCTCCTACCCTGTTTCCCACAGAGGGAGGGACCCCACTTTGCCCTAGAGGACAGCAGAGTCTAACAGGGAACCTTCTCGGCCCTCTCCCTTTGTGTTATTTGCTCTTCCACAGGGAGGAAGGGCAGCTGCTGATTTGATGGGTGACAGCCCACGGAAACAGTCTCTCCCCAAGGGCAGGGCCACTGCACTGAAAGGCATGGTGGGCTGACCTCTGCTCTGTCCTGTCTCTTGCTTGCTTGGGCCAGCTGTGGCTTGGGCCTTCACCATGGTGAGGAGACCACAGGCCAGACCGTCTCCCCGTTCTCGGCCTGCTTGAATGGATAAGTCGCGTGGTCCCTGCCTAGCCATCTTGAAGTCAAGGCAAAGCAGGAAATGGGAAGCTCCATTTTGGCCTGGGGTCCCAGAAGCCACGCACTATGGCCATTTTTGAGCGGCCATTAGTAGAGTTCATTTTTGGTGTCCTCTTGGACTCATCGACATTCTACAGCAGCCAGAAGCCTGAAGGTAGAGGAGTGACTGGCAGCCTGATACTAATAAACATCAAGACTGGAAAAAAGAGAGGCAGATGGCATTATTTTTTAGCTGGATGCCTATCTGACTCTCCTCTACTGGTGCAGGATTGTAAAGACTTAAAAACAAGAAGTTGGAAACTGGAATGCTCCTTCTCTAACCCCATTCGACCTAATAACCCTTCTAAAAATCACTGCTTTTTCTCAAAACATTTTAAATTTAAAACAATGCATCGCACCTGCACTTTGTAAGTCCCTGGTTTTGCTTTAAAACAAAATGATCCATGAGCATCTGTCTCCACGGTGACCAAAGACTTGTCCTTGTCTTGAGATGACAGGACAACTTTGTATTTATTCATCTGCTTGACGGTGTCCGGGAAGCGAATGATTGATATCCGACCACAGACACTGAACCTGCAAAGAGAAGACCATTCATTCCAGCACGAGGACTCAATTATAACAGGAAAGGCTCTTATCGACCAAAAAAGATGCAGCCCTCTCCCAGCCCTTGTTCCTGAGAATAGTCTAATCTTAATGAAGAGACAGAATGCAGTCCAGATGATTCTGGTTTTAAAAAGCAACCTTCATTCTGGTTTTAAAAAGCAACCTTCAGAAGCAAGACTGGGCATCTTTCTACAGAACAGGGGCCCGTAGTGGGGCTGTTTGTGTGTTCCGGGTGACATGTGGCAATCCCCCACTGCAGAGGCAATTTTAAGAAAATCTGCAGATAATAAAAACGTTTCAGGTAATTGGATCGTTGACAGCGGAGCGGCCTTGGACTGAGAATGTGGGCTAGCCCTTAAAAGCAAGAGCTCTAAGCTGCCTAAGAAACTGTGGCATTATCAGGCCATCAAATAAGTCAGGATTATCAAAGACGTCTTCCTTGCTTGTGATTATATATAATACATGGATGAAAGCAAACTGGGAGATTGGAACAGAAAAGGTAATTAAGTTAAAAAATGCAAAGCTAAAATTGAACTCCTTGGGAGGTAGGAGCCACAAATGTAACTTATAACTGAAAAGCCCTATTAAGGTAATGATTCAGATTTGAGATTCTAAATAAGGAGTAAGGTGTTGCAAGGCATCCCTCGAATAACACACGAGAGGCCCCCCTACAACGACCATCATCCTTGGAGTGCTGGTCTTCATTTCTGAAGCAGCTGGTGTATTAAAGTGTAATAGTACATCCTAGCTGGGGGTCACAGTTGTCTTTTCAACTGTTCATTTTAAAGAATCTTCAAGAATCATTTTAGATAAAAATTAGTTACTTTTGACATAAAGATAATCAAGAATGTTGGATTCTGACAATTAGGGGTACATTAAATGTTGGAACCACCACTCCGCCTCAAATAAAAAAACAGTGGAAAACACAAGGAAATGGTGGAAGATTGTGTATGTGAAATCTAGGAATCATGAAAAACACAGCCATTTCTTCAGAGTGAAGGGACTGCCCAGCCATATGAGCTCACTATCTCCAGCATGGGTCAGCAAACTACCACCCAAGGACCCCCCTCCCATTTGTGTATGAACTGCAAGCCGAGAAAAAGAATTTTACACTCTTAAGTGGTTAAAGTTAAAAAAAAAAAATCAAAAGAAAGATAATATTTCACATGTAAAAATTACATGAAATGCAAACTGTGGTGTCCAAAAATGTAGTTGTGTTGCGCTCTGCCCATTCATTTACAAATGTCTATCTCAGCTGTTGTCCTAGAGACCGTATGGCTCACGCAGCCTAAAATAGTTATTCTCTGGCTCTCCACAGAGAAAGTGTCCCAGTCCCTGACCTAGCATATGCATTTTGGTTCTCACATTCCCCTACTGTGAACTTTCAGAATAAAAGGATGGGAAGCGAACACTGACACAATCATTCCCAAGGACCTGTCATATTCTCTTGATTTGTGTACCTGTCAGAGGACACATCACCTTGTCTATTTCCTATCAAATCTCTTTGCCTCCTTAAGTTGTAAATATTTGAACCATAAGATCTGTTTTAGCCCACATTCTTATTAAAAAGAAGTGCCTATTTTCCCTAAACCTCAAATCTATACTGGCTTAGTTTGGAAAAATAAACCAAAAGGGTGGTAGAAAAAGGTTCCGTTATACTGAAGCCCTTAAAAATTGATTTGTATCAATAAATTCTTTCAACAGGGTTTAAATACATATATGGACAGAAACAGGTAATATTGGTGGATATTGAGAGAAATCTATTTTCACAGTCATTTGGACAGAAGCCAAAGAGTTTGTTTTTACAATAAATTGAGTAATTTTTTTATTTTACTTTAAAGGAAGACTAGGCACCATGGCTCAGCCTGTAATCCCAGCACTTTGGGAAGCCGAGGCGGGTGGGTCACTTGAGGTCAGGAGTTCGAGACCAGCCTAGCCAACACGGCAAAACCACATCTCTACTAAAAAATATAAAAATTAGCCTGTAATCCCAGCTACTCAGGAGGCTGGGGCAGGAGAATCACTTGAACCCGAGAGGCGGAGGCTGCAGTGAGCCGAGATGGCGCCACTGTACTCCAGCCTGGGCAACGGAGTAAGACCCTGTCTCAAAAAAAAATAAAAAGGAAAAGAAATAGTAAGAAGTATCAGTGTGCTAAAAAGGCAAATGTACTACGTCGGCCAATAAAAAAAAGAGATTTTCCAAAAATGTTCAACAAATGCTATTTTTCTTTCTTTGACCCAAATACTCTACTTTAAAGGAGAAAATAAATATATTTCCTCCATCTCTGTGAACAGCGCCTCCTCCATCTACCCAGTGGCTCAAATAAGAAACCTGTAACCTCAACAGCACAGGCCTGTGGGTGTGTTCTCCATGTGACCTACCAAATCCATCTACTCCTCCCTCCCTCGCCTGCCAGCCGCCTGGGCCCGGCCACTACCATATCTCCTCCAGACAACCACCACTGCCTCATATCTGGCCCCTCCATTCACACCATGGCTTTCCTCCAATCCATTCTCCACACAGCAGCCAGGAAGAAAAACAAACTTTTTAAAGTACCATGATCCCTATCACTCCCTTGCCAACTGATAACTCTTTTTTTTTTCTGAGACGGAATCTCACCCTGTCGGCCAGGCTGGAGTGCAATGGTGCAATCTCAGCTCACTGCAACCCCTGCCTCTCGGATTCAAGCGATTCTCCTGCCTCAGCCTCCTGAGTTGCTGGGATTACAGGAACGCATCACCATGCCCCGCCAACCTTTTGTATCTTTAGTACAGACCGGGTTTCACCATGCTGGCCAGGCTGCGCTTGAACTCCTGACCTCATGATCCGCCCACCTCAGCCTCCCAAAGTGCTGAGATCATAGGCGTGAGCCACCATGCCCGGCCAACCAACAGACAACTCCTAACGGGTTTCCACTGCATTAGGGAGCAAAGCCCAATCCCAAAGCAAGGCTACAAGGCCCCAGAGCTCCCTGACCTCACCCACCTCCTCCAGCTGCGCAGACTGCCTTTCAGGTCCTTCCTATCCTATGCAGGCCTCTGAGCATGCTGCTTCTCTACTAGGGAAGATCTTTCTTTAGCTAACTTTTAGTCTTTACTAAGGTCTCTGCAACCCAGAGAGCCTTGCAGAGCTCCCACTCTAAATTAGCTCTTCTTGCAGCACCCTGATCTCTTCCCTGCACAACACTTGCCATAATTTAGCAGCATAAATGTATTTGTCTTTTTTGTCTTTTTTTAAAATCTTGTTATTTTATTTTTTAATTTTTATCTCTTTATTTATTTTTAGACCAGGTTATGAAACTAGCTAATTTTTGCATTTTTGGTAGAGATGTTGTTTTCCCAAGTTGCCCAGGCTGGTCTCAAACTCCTGGGCTCAAGCGATCCACCCGCCTCTGCCTCCCAAAGTGCTGGGATGGATTACAGGTGTGAGGCATTAAGCCTGGCCACAGATGTATTTGTCTTCAGTCTGTCTCCCTGGAAGGGTGAAAGCCCCATCTCTGGAACACTAGTTTGATTAATTATTAGGTACGAAGCATTTTTCAGTGCCTCATCTAGAGTAATTGCACAAAGTGTTTATGGAAGGTGGGAAAGACTTAAATCCAAGAATTACTTTCTGAGGGTAATTTGCTTCCCTGTCTTCCATTCACCACTGGACTCCTTGACCTCGACCTCCATCTGTCTACAGAAGAGTCACTGTGGCCTCCTCAGTGATCAAGCCAGGGGACTGTGTTCACCAGGGCCCAGCTCCCTGCACCTCCCTGTTGGGCCCTACCTCCTACCCCAAACTTACTTTCTTAGCTCCTATGACCTCACGCTCCCTAGGTCCCCCCTGGGCCACCTGGCACTCTGTTTTTGGCCTACTGTTCTTCTAATTCTACTTGCACATACATATTTGAGGTCCTGGCTGCCACCTGCGGCCAAATCTTCAGGATTTACCATCCATCCAAGTACCTATTGAAGAGCTCCACCTAGTGGTCCTACAGACCAATGTGGCCAAATCTGAACCCTCATCACCTAACTGGCTTCTCTTTCTGTCCCCAGCCATCACACCTCTCAAGCTGGGCACCCTAAATATCTCACCAGTCTGTCCCTGACTTCCCTACAAGGCAAGCCCTTGTCGTCTCTGCTTTCAGACCTCCTGTGCCCAAGTCCTGTCCCCTTCAAAGCCACTCTACTCCATGCCACTGTTTTCAGAATGCCCTATTGAAAACAATGATCAAAGCTTGTTATATTAATGCTCAAAACCACTCATGGCCCGTTGGCCCCAGTGGGAGAAAGCCCCTACGCCCTGGTGGGGTGTGAGGAGGTGCTATGGGGTTGGCCTCATCATCACCTTCACCTGCCAGTATATTCTGCTCCAGTAGCACCCAGCTTTACACCCGCAGCCACCTCATGCTGCTGTGAGACTGCCTGACTTTGCTCATGCCGCGCTTCTCCCAAGCAGACCCTGCAGTCTCCTTCTAAGCTACTGTTTTGTGAGCACCTGTTATGTCTAAAGCTGTTCTGCAGGTTACATACAGGTGGATCTGGGATCTGACTCCAAAGCCCAAGTTCTTGGCACTACACAATCTTGCTTCAGATGATGGTAAAACCACATGAATTCAACCACAAGATGTCCCTGCCTGTACTTATAGTATAATGAGTAACTACAAGCAGGAAGAACTACACCAATGACCTGAAGCATCTTCCAATAAGCTTTCTCAACCAACAATACCATCTTCCAAAAATCCTCAAAGATTAAGCAAAGAGGGGTCCTGTGAAAGATCGTGAAAGTCAGACATGAAAGATTTTTTAATTTCACAAGCCCATTTTAATTTGAAGCAAGGGACTTTTCATTAAGCATCCGACATGTCAGTACCTTCAGTTTGTAAGATTTAGAACTAATCTTTCTTGGCCGGGTGCAGTGTCTCACACCTATAATCCCAGCACTTTGGGAGGCCAAAGCAGGCAGACAGCCTGAGGTTAGGAGTTTTGAGACTAGCCTGGACAACATATAGTGAAACCCTGTCTCTACTAAAAAATACAAAAATTAGCTGGGTGTGGTGGGGCACGCCTATAGTCCCAGCTACTTGGGAAGCTGAGGCAGGAGAATCACTTGAACCTGGGAGGCAGAGGTTGCAGTGAGTCGAGATGGCACCACTGCACTACAGCCTGGGCAACAGGGCAAGACTCTGTCTCTCAAAAAAAAAAAAAAAAAAGTACTAATCTTTCTTAAGTTCTTAAGCTCGGCAAAGACACACAGATCACAGGTCATTTGGTTCTACACTGGCTGCCAGCATATTTACTGGTGCTTCCAAATCCACACGATAAGCTTACCCTGTTGCAACAATGTCAGCCAGCTGAGGTGTGTTCGGTGCAATTTTGATGGTGACCGTTTCAAAGTAGAGGTGCTCTTTCTGAGCATGGATGGTGTATGTCCCTGTGGTTATGTTCTCAAGGCGGAATGAGCCATCAGCTTTTGTTTTAACTGTAAAACAAAAACACACAAACAGAAGATAAGCCAAAAATAACAGTGTATCCTTACATGTACACCAGAATACTTGGACCAAAAGCTGCCATGTTCTCATATAGTCATCAGTTCCTCTCCATTTCTCTCTGTGATCCAAAAAGAGCGCTGGCCATCAGCCTGGGGCTGCTGTGTCAGCCCACCTTTGATTTGGTTATTCAGGGTGACTACTGCTTCTGGAACACCATCTCCTTCGGGTCCGTTCAAGACCCTCCCGGTGACGGAGAATCCCATGACGTGGAACACGGGCTAGAAAACAAAGAACAAGAAGAAGGTGCTCGAAGGTGCTCCTGTGCCAGAGCCACAAAGCCTCCTTCTGCTGCGCCGGCCACCACCTACCATGTCTGCTCCTGCCGCCCACCTCCCAACACTCAGTGCCCCGGTCCTGTGTGCCAGCCGGGCTCCCTCTCACTTTACCCACATCTGTCTTCTCTGTTGTGTTCCCAACACACTGCTGAGTGTCAAACAACAGAAAAGAAAAGTCTAGAGACTTACTTCCCTCGTTAAAAGGTCACTGACTCAAGCTTCTAGAAGCCCCCCACCCTTACCCCTGTGCCATCTCCTCCCCTCCAGATGCCCCCATTTTGGTGAACCACGTCTTCCTCCAGTCTCCCATGCACACCCCGGCATCACTTTGGATGCCCCGCCCCGCTCCTCCAGCATCGATCAGTCCTGTGGATTCCACCTCTGCAAGGTCTCACGTGTCCCCTCCTGTCTTTCCACCACGACCTGAACACAGGTCCTTATGAAATCCACCTAGGCCAGGCGCAGTGGTTCACGCCTGTAATCCCAGCACTTTGGGAGGCCGAGGCAGGCAGATCACTTGAGGTCAGCAGTCCAAGACCAGCCTGACCAACATGGTGAAGCCCTGTCTCCACTAAAAATACAAAAATTAGCCAGGTGTGGTGGCAGGCGCCTGTAATCCCAGCTACTCGGGAGGCTGAGGCAGGAGAATCGCTTCAACTCGGGATGCGGAGGTTGCAGTGAGCCAAGACAGTGCCAGCCTGTGTGACGCAGCAAGACTCTGTCTCAAAGAAAAAAAAAGAAATCCACCTAGACCACCCTCCTCCACCACCATCACTGGCTCACACGTGGTCCCATGCTCCATGTGTCTGTGTCTGTGTCTGTGTCTGTGCCCCACTTGCCTGTGAGCAGCACACCTGTGCTTTCTCTGCAGTTACTGAGTTCCAGCCCTGATCTGTGTATCCCCAAGGTCACCACTGCTAACCCATTTTAGTATCTTCATCAAACTTACCAGTATCTGAAATGTCCTCGTTCGATTTCTTAGTTGTCTCCCTCCCACTAGCATGTTACCTCATGGAGACAGGGACTTTTTCTGTCTTAGTCACCTGGTACACAGCAGGCACTCAATAACTGACTCCTGAATGAATGAATGTGTGCACGCACGTGTGCAACAGCATTTGAGATGAAGCTTTAAATAATTAAATGACTTCCTTTTTATGCAGGGAGCCCTTCTTTTTTATTTTTTTATTTTTTTTTTCAGCAAATGGTTTCTTAGTGATGGTCTCACATGACAGGTAGTCCTTCCTGATCTTTCCAAAAAGACATGTTTCATTCCATGCATTACCTACTTATTAATTCACATATGTACTCAACAAATATTTTTGCTGGGCACCTACTATGTGCCAGGCACTAAATCACATGTTAGGAAAACAGTAAAGAATAAGACACGGTACCTGACCTCAGGGAACTTACAGGGCCCCATTCCCTGAAATTCCATTCATCATTTTCAAAATATGTATTTGGCTGTAATCTGGGAATAGCTGTCTCTGCTCACCTGCCCCCATCCTTCTCTGCAAGCTACGAGAAGCAAAGTAAAGGCTTCATCTTCTTACCCTTCTCTTTCCCCTCCAGTGTACAGCAGAACAGTCAAACACTCCACTGAATCTTAAAATGCAGAGTCTGCACCCCACTGTGCATATGACCTAAAAGTCCGCTTCTGCCAGTTTAAGCGATTTTAACACAGTACTTTCAAATGTAATTATTAAAAGAAAATGATTAAAATATAATTGCTTCGATAACTCTAACATTGGGTGGTCCACTTAGGAGAGGCTGTTATTTTCTTTTGGGATTTGTTCTAGCTAGCCAATTTTCTACAGTAACCATTTTCTACTTCTGTAATTAAAGGAGACGTAAGTGAGATGAAAAATACATTTACCATTTATGTGAGGGTCTAGGCAGTTTATCAAGCCATGTATCACACTGCCCATTCCTACCATCACGGTCCAAGCTCTGCCAGTTCTCACCTGGTTTACGGCCATGGCATCCCAACTGGTCTCCCACTTCCACCCTGACACCCTGCAAACTCTCCTCAATGCAGCTGCCAGAAGGATCACGCCACTCCTCTGCTAGGAACCTTCCAGTGGCACCAATTCTCACCCAGAGTTATAGGCAAAGTGGCCCACCAAGCCCTGCACAATCTGCCCTGTCACCTCCCTGACCCTCTTTCCGCCTCCTCCTTCCTTGCTCATTCCCTCCACTCCAGCCACCCTGGCCTCCTTGGGATGCCCCAAACCCTTCAGCACACTCCTGCCTCAGGACCTTTGCACGTGCCGTTCCCTCAGTCTTACACACTCTTCCTGCAGGAGTGAAGTATGGTTCTCTTGTTCTTTCCCTTCAGGTTGTTGATCAAATGTCACCTTCACAGGGAGGACTTCCCAAAAACACCCTATGTACAACTGCAACCCCTGTCTCCACCCTGATACTGTACGACCTCCTTTCTTCCTTTATTTTTCTAGAGAACACTTATCACCTTCTACTGTACTTTCTAACTTATACATCTATACATGTATTGACCCTTCCTGTCATTAGAACATGAGGTCTAGCCAGGTGCGATGGCTCACACCTGTAATCCCAACACTTTGGGAAGCCGAGGCAGGCAGATCACTTGAACCCAGGAGTTAGAGAACAGCCTGGGCAACATGGTGAAACCCCATCTCTAACAAAAATACAAAAATTAGCTGGGCATGGTGGCACGTGCCTGTGGTCCCAGCTACTCAACAGGCTGAGGTGGGAGGATCACTTGAGCCCTGGAGGCAATGGCTGCAGTGAGATGAGATCGTACCACTGCACTCCAGCTTGAGCCACACAGTGAGACCCTATCTTAAAAAAAAAAAAAAAAAAAAAAAATGAGGTCCACAGGGACAAGAATTTTTGCCTCTTTTGGTCACTGCTATATCCCCAGTCCTGGAATGGTGCCTGAAATGCATGTCACTGGCAATCAATAAATATATTTCATTGAATGAGTAGATTTAACTAGGAATCCAGCTCTCTACGATAAGGACATCATGGGTAAGAATATAATACCAGATGGCATTTTTTCCAACAGCCCTTCCAGATAAAATAATTGATTTTTTTTTAAAACATGTTTGCAATACCTGTGCCTAGGGATGGGAACTCAAACACCTGTCCCTCCAGAAGACAGAAAAGCCTTACCTCGATTTTCAAGCTGTCATGCTCCACTGTGAAGTCAAGTCTGGAAGGCGCCACATCAAAGGTAATCCTCTCCCCTCGATAGAACGGAATCTGGAAGGAAGAGTCTCTTAATCACTAAGAACCACTAACATGATCAATCAGCAATATTAATAATCGATCTAGCAGCCCACAAATGACAAGGGGTTCAGACAGACCAAGAGAAACATTCATCATAACTGTTGCAGATTCGAAAAGAGGAAGCCTTGCCCTTTTTGTAGCTATTACGAAGGGGTGAGTGTCTCATCTTAAGTAAGTTACTGCTTAACAGCGTGTTCAGAGAACTGCAGGCCAACCATCTTTTCCTTTAACACCCAAACAGCATTGGCTTTTACTGTGTCATGAGAGTCCCAGACATAAACAGAACGGAAATCTGCTTCACTCACCACAGTGTAGCCCCCACTTGGCAAGGAATAGAAAGAGAACGAGCCATCTTCTCTGGAGACCGTGTAGCACAAATACACCAGACTCTCGTCTTGGGGCTGGAACCCAGGCACTGGTGAGACATTGCAGCCCAGGACATCCTATGCCAGGGGGTAAAAAAGACAAGACTTCCTTTTCCATTTACATGTTCTGAATACCATCAATTAGCCACATTATAGGAAAATTTTTTTAAGTTTCATGTCAATATATGTATTTCTGAAATCTAAGACACATTAATACAGATAAAAGGAACAAAAATCTTGACATTCAAGTTGCAAAGTTAAAAACTGGCACAGTCTTCCCGGGAAAGATGACATGACTGTCCTTCCTTATCATGGGTCACCATTCTCCAAATAAGGAAACGGAAGCTCAGGAAGGTAATGTGACCGGCCCAGGGTCGCATAGCTAGGAAGAGGAATTTGTTTAAACCTGAGATTTGTTTAAACCCAGGTCTGATTTCAAAGCCTGTGTACTTTCCATCACATACCACTGCCTCCCAGTGTAGATGTGCAATGTCTTGTGAGTCAACAGAGACACATGATATTCTTGAATTTTTTTTTTTTTTTTTTTGAGAGTCTCACTCTGTCACCCAGGCTGGAGTGCAGTGGCGTGATCTTGGCTCACTGCAACCTCCACCTCCTGGGTTCAAGCGATTCTACTGCCTCAGCCTCCCACGCAGCTGGGACTACAGGCACGTGCCAACATGCCCGGCTAATGTTTTTGTATTTTTAGTAGAGATGGGGTTTCATAATGTTGGCCAGGCTGGTCTAAAACTCCTGACCTCAAGTGATCCACCCACCTTGGCCTCCCAAAGTGCTGGGATTACAGGCATGAGCTACCACACCCGGCCTGAGACAGACGATATTCTTAAGTGTTAAAATGATAAATCAACTCAGACCTGCATTTTTTAAAACAGTATGTTCTGGTCTATAATCCCCCACCCTCCTACCCTTCACACCATCTCTTTTGTTCTTTTCTTTGCTTACCTCTTTAGTTACTAAAGAAGAAAAGAGAAGAAACTTCACCCCTTTCATGGGCTCCCCATCACTTCGGACAGAGCCAGACACATTGTAGCCAGCAACTATGAGGGGACTGGCCGCATTGGCATTGGAGTTGGTTACACGCACTGTGGTGCTTGCCTGTAACAGAAAAAGATTTTAACCTGTAAAAAAATAAACACTTGCAAAGTGCCTAACAACATGAGGACACGCTGAAGCTAAAATATTAACTGGGAAACGTAATCTATAAAATTGCTTATTCAGTATGATCACTTCTTTTCTTGAGACGGAGTCTCAGTATGTCACACAGGCTTGAGTGCAATGGTGCAACCTCGGCTCACTGCAACCTCTGCCTCCTGGGTTCAAGAGATTCTCCTGCCTCAGCCTCCCAAGTAGCGGGGATTACAAGCGCTCGCCACCACGCCCGGCTAATTTTTGTATTTTTAGTAGAGACAGGGTTTCACCGTGTTGGCCAGGCTGGTCTCGAACTCCTGACCTCAGGTGATCCGCCTGCCTCAGCCTCCCAAAGTGCTGGGATTACAGGTGTGAGCCACCGTGCCTGGCTTATCATTATTTTTTAATGCCCAAAATGAAGTGAAAGGAAATGTGGCAAAATGTAAACAATAATGATTTTGTCTATATGGTGCTATTTTACTTGTATACTTTTCCAGCTTCCAAAATTTGTTTCCACTGCTTTATATTCCTCTATATGTTCCAATTTTTTTAATGAGCATATTTTGCCTTTTTTTCTATTTTTAATGATATACAGTGTTAACTGAAGATTAGCCTAAAGCTGCCTCCTTACATATTTTAAGTTTGGCCTAAAGGTTTCTCTGTACGTGTTGCCAAGTCTCACCCAATTCAAGCAGCCACCCTTCAACTACTCACAGGCAGCCAACTGTTCAAACCATGTGCAAATAAGACAAACGTCCAGCTGTAACCAATCCAACTGTTTCTGTACCTCACTTCCACTTTCTGTCCGTCACTTTCTTTTTCTGTCCATAAACCCTTTCCAATCACGCAACAGTGCCACAGTCACTGTAAACCTATTCTGGCTCAGGGGGCTGCCCAATTGACAAATTGTTCTATGCTCAATTAAACTCTGTTTAATTTGCCTTAAGTTGTTCTTTTCACAATATGTGTATATTTTTAAACATTTTTGTTAAGGTACAATAAACACAGAGAAAAGTGTACAGATTCTAAGCACGCAGCACAGGGCTTGTCACAAATTGGGCACTGGTTACCCAACAGAAGAGCACCAGCAAGCCAGAAGTGCCCTCACACTTGCTTCCGGTCACTAACACCCCAGGAGGATAAACATTATCCTGACTTCTAACAACATGCTTTACTTGAAAATCCCAATCTCATATTAATAAACTCAGATTCTTCTATGCAGACAATTAACATACAATGTAAACCTCAAAATCTCTTCTATTTATAAATGTGTAAGCTCTTTCATTTCGAATAAATTTTTTTTTTTTTTTTGAGATGGAGTCTCACTCTGTCACCCAAGCTGAAGTGCAGTGGTGCAATCTTGGCTCACTGCTACCTCCCCCTCCCAGGTTCAAGCGATTCTCCTGCCTCAGCCTCCCGAGTAGCTGGGATTACAGGTGTATGCCACCATTCCTGGCTAATTTTTTTCTATTTTTAGTAGAGATGCGGTTTCACCATGTTGGCCAGGTTGGTCTCGAACTCCTGACCTCAAGTGATCCACCCACCTCAGCCTCCCAAAATGCTGGAATTACAGCATGAGCAACTGCACCCAGCCTTGAATAAAATATTTTTAAATGTTGCTGCAGAAGAGAAAAACCCCCAAAACCAAAAGTCATAAACAGTAAGAAGAGACATCTAGGTGTGAAACTATCATCAATTATAAGTGCGTAAAACCTACAGAGTAAAAATAATAATAAAACAGATAGAGTAGAAGCTGAAATACTGATTCCAATGCTTCTTTAGCAAAAATGAGATACAGCTTCAATACTAACACAGAAGCTAACATGTCAAGATGTCCCTTAAGTCTTATTTCAATTTGGTCTTTCACGGCTATTACAGAACCTCACCTACTAGGTGGAGTTCCTTTTTTGATCTTTGACTATAAACTATTTCAGTCAAACAAAAAAAGATATGCTAAAGAACACTTACATACCTTCTAACCAGCTAAAGAAATTTAAAAAAATACAATTCAAGATGCTGGCGTACCCCGAAGTCCCCCTCCTCCCTCTTTCTCTAGAAGTCAGTATCATTTTGAACAGCATCTGCTATTCCCATACATGTCTTTATAATTTTTCTACATAAGACTGTATCCTCCCTGTCCCTACTAAAAATACAAAAATTAACTGGGCATGGTGGCAGGCACCTGTAACCCCAGCTACTCAGGAGGCTGAGGCAGGAGAATCGCTTGAACCCAAGAGGCGGAGGTTGCAATGAGCCGAGATCGCCCCATTGCACTCCAGCCTGGGCAACAAGAGCAAGACTTCATCTCAAAAAAAAAAGACTGTATCCTTAGCTAGGGGCAGTGGCACATGCCTGCAGTTCCAGATCCTTGGGAGGCCAAGGTGAAGGATCGCTTAAGGCCAGGAACCAGAGGCTGCAATGAGCCATGAATATGTCACTGTACTCTAGCCTGGGCAACAGAGCAAGACCCTGTTGCAAAAAAAAAAAAAAAAAAAAAAGACTGTATCTGGCCGAGTGCACTGGTTTATACCTGTAATCCCACCACTTTTTTGAGAGCCCGAGGCTGGTGGATCATTTGAGGCTAGGAGTTCGAGACCAGCCTGGCCAACATGGCAAAATCCCATATATACTAAAAATACAAAAATTAGCTGGGCGTGGTGGCACATCCCTGTAATTCAGCTGCTCAGGAGACTGAAGCCGGAGACTCGCTTGGACACAGAAGGCCGAGGTTGCAATAAGCCAAGATCATGCCACTGCACTCCAGTCTTGGCAACAGAGCGAGACTCCGTCTTTAAAAAAAAAAAAAAAAAAGACTGTATCCATAAATGATTATCACAAGTATTTAAAATCATATTTCCTTCAACTCTGTTTTTAAATGTAGTTACATTGATATATGTAGCTCTGGTTCATTCATTACTGCTGACATACAGCAGCCTATTGTATGATGGAACCCCAATCCATTCTTCTCTTAAAAGGCATTTAGGTTGTTTACAATATTTTGCTATTACAAACAAAGCTGCAATAAACATTCTCATACATTCTCCTTGGTCACGCGTACCACAGTTTCTAGAATGTTTAGTATATTTACAGATTTCTGTTTCAGGCTGAAAAAAGAACAACAAATAAATCTCGTCAGGGCCTTCTGTTGTTGATTTAGTTTAAAATAGCTATAGTTAATAAAACAGATCTATTTCACAGCAGGAAGACAACACTGTCACCTAAAACTGAAACTAACACAAGCAACATCTGCTACAGTGAGGAGTTACACCTTATAAATAACTACCAAACTAAACAACAGCACCATTGGTTCTTCATCTAGTCCTGGAGGAACCATAAATTCTTTTCATATCCTAAATTGAAAAGCCCTACATTTGTCCCAAGACCAGCATATTATTGGCATGGCTATAGACGTAGCTGTCACTCACCTCTTTCAACGCCCAGGTTGGATGAGTTGCGAGGATTTCATAATCTCCAGGCAGAACTTTAAAAAATGCAAACCTAAGACATAAAAAATAACCATTTAACTTTCTCCAAACAACCCAAGTATTTCTAATTCTATGACTAATGTTGGCAGCACAAGAAAACAATGTTGGAATTATCGCAAACTTCCATTAGCTTGTTAAATGAGCATGAATGAAATTCAATCCTTCACTGTACAAATCTGCATAAAAGAGCGCTTATTGAGCACTTACTGTGTGTCAAGAGGGGTGCTCCATGTGCTGATCGGAAAGAGGAGTGCTTACGTCTCCCTTAATCTCAAGGATTTCTGGCATAAAACCAATCCTTGTAGCACAGCAGGGACCAGTCACAGAACATTCGACTGTGTTTGACAGAGGTGACAGGCATGAACTGACAAGGAGAAGGGGACAGAAGTGTCCAAGGAAACACATGGGAAGGGAGAAGTGGGGTGAAAAAGAACAGAACAGATGCACAGGCTGAGGGGGACGCTGACCCAAGATGATGCAAATGACACAGGGCAGGGTAAACTATGACAAGCTTTGAATCCCAGAAAAAAGGCTTTAGAGAAACACAGATAAGTCATTCTGGGTTTTTGCACAAAGCAACTGAGATAAGAAACCAGCAGCTGATGAAAATTACTCTACTAGCCATAGACAGACTAACACCAGAGTGAGCCGAGCTAAAGCTGGAAATGCTGCTGCCAGTATACTAACATGTTTATCCCTTCAAATTTGTAAGGCAACTGACAAATGAGAAGGCTAAGTCCGGTGAAATGAACTAGAAAACGCATTTGATTTCTTCTTCTGTGGTATTTTATTGTATCAAATCTTGCCTGCAATAACTGGATAGGGCTTGGAAATCACATTACTACAAGTATTGGTAAGATTGAGCTTCTATTTCATTTTCATAATAGCCCAGTGCTACATGTTTCATTGTTTCAGTTAGTGCAGATGAAAGGTATTCAGAAGGCTCAAGACACTATTTTTTTCTAGTAAGGTCAACACCAAATTACTAGCCCAGAAAAAAAATTACAGCTCCATATTCCTGCTACACACCAGGGCTGGAGAGGCACCAGTCAAGCAGAAGTAAATGTTATTTCAAAAATGAAAACTAGTTTCAACAATAATAACTTTAAAATTGAATAACTTACTGACAGACTCATTATAAACTTCTATTTTGCAATTTACTCAGTTTGTATATTAACGGAGTTAGTAATGATTTGAACGCTTTCGGAATTATCAGTTTGAACTATTCTGGTATTAATCTTGGCATATCTGTTAACATTTACAACTCAACTATATACATCCATTAAATAAATGCTTTAAATCTGACTCAGCAAGGTCAGCTAGGCATCTGCTCCAACTACAAAGCAGTTTTGATATAATAATGATAATGATTTTTTCTAATCATAACTGAGCTAACCTGTTTGAGCTAATATGCCAGGCAGCTTGAAGTAATAATATTAATTTCATCTTTCCAGTACCTTAGGAGATAGGTTCCACAATTATCTTCATTTACAAAAGAGGAAACTGAGGCACAGAGGGGTTAAGGAACTTGCCCTAGGTCAACCAGCCAGCAAATGGGGGAGCTGGGATTCAAGCCCGGGCTGGCAGGCTCCAGAGCCAGGCTGAGCTGCTAAATGAAGACCCACTAAGCCCCAGGCCTTGAAGCAGGTGCTTTATGGGTATTAACTCTTTTTTTGTTTGTTTCAGACAGGGTCTTGCTCTGCTGCCGAGGCTGGAGCACAGTGGCACATGATCACGGCTCACCGCAGCCTCAACCTTCCAGGCTCAAGCAATCCTCCCGCCTCAGCCTCCCGAGTAGCTGCGACCACAGAAGCATGCCACCACACCCAGCTAATTTTCTTCCCCCGTGGGACTCTACTTGATATAATTTTTTAAATTATTTGTGGAGATTGAGTCTCCCTATGTTGTCCAGGCTGGTCTCGAACTCCTGAACTCAAGTGATCCTCCCATCCTGGCCTCCCAAAGTGCTGGCATTATAGGCGCAAGCCAATATGCCTGGCCAGTATGAACTCATATTTAATCATCTCATCAATGCTAGGCAAGATGGGTCAAATGGATTCCATTTCACATGTGGGGAACTCAGCACTCTGACGGGCATGAACTCACCCAAAGTTAAGAGGCTGAATCAGGATCTGAACCCAGAACTCCCTGAATCCAAACTCCCAAACCCAGCTCCATGACCCCTGTCAGAGCCCGGCTCTAAGGCAACACTAAGAGACAGGACGCTACTCACTTTCCGCCAGGCTGTGTAACTGTGGACTGGATCTTTGCTTCGGTCCCAGTGTTTCTCAGAGACACCTGAACTCCCGCAGGACCCAGGGGCTGCCCTTTGCTGAGGACCTGCCATGGAGAAGAAAGTTAGGGCCCACCCAGCAAAGCACCCTCCTCTCAAAGCACTGGCAGTCCTGCTTACAACTCCCAGGTGGAGCCCAGGAACCCTCTTTGGGTCAAGAATCCCATTGAAAAGATGCTATAAATCATGGATATGTTTCCTGGGGATGAGGTAGGAGAGGGAACAGTAACAGTAAAATAAGACTCTATTTCAATGAATCTAAGACATCATCAGTTATAGATTCACCATTATTGGTCTGGGTGGGTGTGGTGGTTCACGCCTGTAATCCCAGCACTTTGGGAGGCTGAGGCAGGCAGACCACTTGAGGTCAGGAGTTTGAGACCAGCCTGGCCAACATGGTGAAACCCTGTCTCTACTAAAAATACAAAAATTAGCTGGGCGTCATGGCACATGCTTGTAATCCCAGCTACTCCTGAGGCTGAGGCAGGAGAATCACTTGAACCCAGGAGGCGGAGGTTGCAGTAAGCTGCAATCGCGCCACTGCACTCCAGCCTGGGCGACAGAGGGAGACTCCATCTTAAAAAAAAAAAAAAAAAAAAAAAAAAAAAGTAAATGTACATAAAAATAAAAATATAAAAATTAGCTGGGTCAGGTGGCACACGCCTGTAATCCCAGCTACTGGGGAGGCTGAGGCAGGAGAATTGCTCGAACCCAGGAGGTGGAGGTTGTGGTGAGAGAGACTGCGCTACTGCACTCCAGCTTAGGCCACAGAGCGAGACTCTGTCTCAAAAAAATAAATAAATAAAAATAAAAATAAAAAAAGATTCACCATTATTTTGCAAACCATCGATAAAGAAAAAACTACCCAAGATCCCCATCTCTAACAAGAAGCCCACACATACAGCTGGGATGGAAGGGCCTCCCCGTCACCGCAAAGGTAGAGGAGAAAGAAGTCCATCATGAAGAGAAGGACAGGAAGGAAGGAAGCACATCTCAACCTCAGGCACAGGGCGGGTGGAAGAGAAATGACTCTCCCCTGAGAATCTGAATCGCGGGAGCTGGGCACACACCCGTTAGGACTCTAAATTCACACCACCGTGGCGGTCCAAAAAAATCTCAGAACTTAAATAATAGGAATCCTCCTAGGTAAGTGTCGGAAGCAGATGCACGCTCTCTCTGGGAGAAGCTGACTTCAATTCACCCACAGGGACAGCAAGATGCCACAAGGCTTAGAGAGTGCGTCCTTCCAATTCGGCATCCCTGTAAAAGGCCATCCCTGACATAAACGCTAACAGCGGCTGGGTGCACAGCGTACACCTGTAATCCCAGCACTATGGGAGGTGGAGGCAGGCGGATCACCTGAGGTCAGGAGTTTGAGACCAGCCTGGCCAACACAGCAAAAGCCCATCTCTACTGAAAATACAAAAATTAGCCAGGCATGGTGGCACACACTTGTAATCCTAGCTACTCGGGAGGGTGAAGGAGCGGGAGGGTGAGGCAGGAGAATCACTTGAACCTGGGAGGTGGAGGCTGCAGTGAGTCAAGATTGCACCACTGCACTCCAGCCTGGGCAATAGAGCAAGACCCTGTCTCAAAATAAAAAATAAAAAAATAAAAACACCAACAGCCTATGCTCTGGGAGCAGAGGGGATGACCAGCAACCTCAATCTCACTCCTAAATACACCTGCTGCGTTCTACACGGATGAAGTACAGAGTTCACAGGCTCACTTGCCACTTATCCATGGGTCCCTTGTGGGATCAAAGTCCCCAGGTTAAAATATCCTGCATTTTTTTAAAAAAGGATTTAGTATACATTATAGAGTGAACAGGAAAAATAATCAAGTTCCAAAGACAAACCTTGCCATTCACAGAGAACCCAGTGAAGACAAAGTTGATGTCCCCACCCTTTGTGCAGATGTCACTGACTCCATCCACATGGAGCTCCACGGTCGTCGGCTCTGAGGAACGAAGCAGGGGAGGAAACCGGGGCACAAGACACAAAGGCAAGCTTAGTTTTGGGGTACAGTGAACCTAAGTAGAACGTATTTTTATTATTCAGGTTTCATTTTACTTTTGAACACTTAATACACTCGTGTGTTTCCAAATCCAAAGGTACAAAAAAGTATTCTGGGAAAAGTCTCCCTCTCACCCCTATCCCCCTAGCCTCCTGGTTTCCTGCCCCAGAGGGAATTCGTGTTTAGAGTATAAAATAATTTTACAACGCCTTTCAGCTAAGTTATATCTCAGAGTTCCAGGGAAAATTCAGTGAGCACCAAATAATTTTATTTCCTGAATGCTCATCACCGACCAGGCACTGAGCTGAGTGCCTTTAATCCTCACAATTATCTTAAGAGACAGGCAGTAATAGCTGCAATTTACTGAGGGGTAAATTAAGGCACAGAAAGGTTAAAGGAGCTCCCAAGATCACAGAGCTTCTGAGTGACAGAGCCCCAGTTCAACCCTAAAAGTCTGGCTCTGGATCTGTTCTCTGACCAAGGACATGAGCTCAGCCATGTTAAACCAGGAACACAAACTCCAGGGCCACAGGGGCCTCATGGGTTCGAAGTGAGCGGAGCATCCTCAGGGGGACTGTGGCAAATTGAAAGGAGACAACCGCCACTCAAGTCTGCCAACCACTACCATGCTTTGCCAGAGCTTCCAACTTCTCCGAAAAACTGGAAATCTGGATTTTATATACCATCTCTTGATTTTTCAATATCAGCAATTAACTCCATTTTTTAACTGAAGAGTTCATCATAATAGGGGTTAAGGTTGAGTTTTTGAAAGGTTAGGAAGAATATGGAGTAATGAGTAGAGAAAAAAATGGAAAACCATGAGATGAGATTTTCAGTTAAGATGAATTACACACGTGCTTGCACGCGTACATGCACACACACACACACACACACACACACAAAGACTCCAATAAAAAATGGGCAAAAGACTTGAACAGGAATCTTACAAAAATAGCTAGCCCATGGCAAACAAACATAAACATACGAAAAAGTGTGCAACCTCATTGGCCATCAGTGGAATGTAAATCAAGGCCACAGTGAGATAATACCACACCCCCACCAGAAGGGCTAAAATTAAAAAAAACTGACGATACCAAGTGTAGGTTAGGATGTGGAGCAATGGAAACCCTTGTACACTGCTGGGAGAACACAAACTGGTGCATCCACTTTGGATGTTTGCAAACACCTAAAGCTGAGCATGTATCAGCTCTATGGCTCAGCGACTTTACTCCTGTGATACACTCAGCAAAAATGCAGACACATGTATCAAAATATACATACAAGAATGTTCACAGGAGCACTGCTCTTAGTGGCCAAAATCGGTAAGCAACTCAAATGGCCATCAACAGTAGAAGAGATCACTGATACAAAATATGAATATAAAATATAAATATAGGCCAGGCGTGGTGGCTCTTGCCTATAATCCCCACACTTTGGGAGGCCAAAGCGGGCAGATCACTTGAGGTCAGGAGTTCGAGACCAGCCTGGGTCAACATGATGAAACCCCATCTCTACTAAAAATACAAAAATTAGCTGGGTGTGGTGGTGCACAACTGTAATCTCATCTACTGAGGAAGCTGAGGCACAAGAATTGCTTGAACCCGGGCCGAAGTTGCAGTGAACTGAGATCACACTCCAGCCTGGGCAACAGAGCGAGACTCAGTCTCAAAAAAAAGAAAAAAATAAAATAAAATATAAATATTTTATAAAATATAAATAATTTTATATTTATGCATCAGAATTCTCAACAGCAAAGAGAATGAACTAAAGCTACAAATGATAGAGATAAAGTTCATAATGTTGAGTGAAAGAAACTGGATATTAAAAAGTTCCCTGCATGATAGCATTTGTATAAAGTTCAAAACAGACCAAATGGATCTCTAATTTGTAGAAGGTCAGGGTGGTGGTCACCTGGAGGGTGGGGCGGGATGGCTAATGAGCACCCAGGATGGGGACTTCTGGGGTGCTGGTGAAGTGCTATCTTATCATCTGGATGGTGGATACATGGGTGTGTTCACTTAGTGAAAATTCATCCAAGGCACTTTTCTGAAAGTATAATTCAATTAAAAAGCTTATCAACAGCACCAGTTGGGGGTAGCGTGGGGGGTGGCAAACACAACACTCCTCCAGGCCACCAATCTGGACTTCTGCTTTGGCCATGAGCAGGGCTGCATTCCTCTCCAGCTTTCTGGAACGTACCAGCCAGGCACCCCCCACCCTACCCCTGACTATAAACTGATAAAAGAGCTGCTCTCACAGAGCCAAATTAGCTGTCAGCTGCCTGAGCCTCATTTTAGCCTTGGCGATGGCAGGTGCTAAATTCTTCCTTGTCTAATGCACGAGCAAGCCTGATATCAACAACGGTGATCCCTACTCCTCTCCCCAAGCCATGGACTGGGGTCACCCACACCTGCTCTACTGAAACATCAAGAGTCTCTCCTCTTCAAAAATGTAAACTACATCAAAACAGACCCTCTCTTCTGATCTCAACCCCATCCCCAACTCCCCAGCTATGCTTGAAGGCAGTTAGTTCTATGAGGAAAGTTTGGAGCTTTTGTTGGGATGTGTGCAGAAGGGCTGTTTCTGAATACTGAGTACTTGCTAATTACGTGCCAGCCCCTCTGAACACTCAGTATTGGTTTATTAATCCTCCAAGTACCCAGTGGGGCAGGGACTATATCTACCCTTGCTCGACAGTGAGGAGCCAGGCTGACACGGGGGAAGTAACTTGCCCAAAGTTATTTAACTGGTAAGGTATAAGGCTGACAGTCTTCTCATCTCATGGGACATAAATCTGGATTTTTATGACAAATCTCACAATCTTTAAATGTTTCAATTAATTCCATAAAAAATTAAAAAACTGAGAGGGCTAAAAAAGAAGCCATCCTGGGACGGGAACCAAGTCCCCACTCTTGATTTCTATACTGTTCCACGGCCACGTAATGAGTGAAACTGCAAGGGAAGAGTTTCCAGAAAGGTAGAAGAAAAGATGTCTATTTTTCAAAGGTGACAGAAAGTCTTAAGGTAGATTAAGGTAAATCCGAACTAAACCAGAGTGATGGGGGCAAGGAGGGGAGGAATACAAACCCTCTTCCATACTGGAAATGATCCTTAATATTTTAATAGTTTATGCACTCTGCTAGCCTAAATTAATATTCGGCATATCATCTAATCTTTTACAAAGAATGTCTAGTGATTCAGTTAACTTACCAAAACTCCACCCTAGGGGAGGCTCAATCTTCAGAATGAAATCCCCCTAAAAGGAAAAAAAGAAAATGTAATTTCAAGAAATGAGAATTGTGACTCTGGCTAAATTTAGTTTAGTGTTATCATTTAATCTAAAATTTTTTTACACCGGAAATGAAATTCTAAGAGTAAGCCTTGTTCTTCTACATGGTACTGAGCACTGATTCTCTTCAGAAGCTACAAGCTGAAGCTGAACACCAGAAGTTTTCATCTAAACAATCAGAAGACAGTGCTGAAGCCCATTCATGAGTTCTAAAGACACTAGGTTCAGCCACTCACTGTCTTTTAATACTAAACATACTATAATTCTATTAATTGAGTCTCCCATTAAGCCCTCACATGCCTACAGTTGCACAAGTTAGCATGTATCTTCAGGAACTAAAGTCACCCCCTAAAACTAGATTTGGCCAGGCACAGTACCTCACACCTATAATCCCAACACTGTGGGAGGCCAAGGCAGGAGGGTCACTTGAGGCCAGGAGTTCAAGACCAGCCTAAGCAACATAGCAAGACCCCATCTGTACAAAAAATGTTCTTAAAAAATCAGCTGGGTGTGGTGGCAGGCGCCTACAGTCTTAGCTACTTAGGAGGAAGAGGCAGGAAGATCACTTGAGCCCAGGAGGTCAGTGCTGCAGTGAACCATAATTGTGCCCCTGCACTCCAGCATGGGCAGCGGAGGGAGATCCTGTCTCTAAACAATACATTAACTCATTAATTCAATAAATAAAACTAGATTTTACTTATCAACCCTGGTTTCTTTGTTTCTGTTTTAGTTTTTTTTTTTGAGATGGAGCCTCGCTCTGTTGCCCAGGCTGGAGTGAAGTGGTGCGATCTTGGCTCACTGCAACCTCCGTCTCCTGGGTTCAAGCGATTCTCCTGCCTCAGCCTCCCAAGTAGCTGGGACTACAGGCATCCACGTGACACCCGGCTAATTTTTTTGTATTTTAGTAGAGACGGGGTTGCACCATGTTGCCCAGGCTGGTCTCACACTCCTGAGCTCAGGCGATCCACCTGCCTCAACCTCCCAAAGTGCTAGGATTACAGGCATGAGCTACCACGTCCAGCCTCCTGGTTTCTTGAGACTGATACTGATACTATTTAAAAATTAATTAAATAGATTTCAGGACAGACCCAGCTAGTCCATCTCTAGAAATCAGTCCTATGCATTCTGGATGAAGAGTTAAGTTCAAGAATATTTCCTGGTGTGTTATGTTAAAATTACTATTATTTTAAAATTGGGGAAAGTCTATATGTCCAAGTAGTTAAATAAATTACAGTTTGGGTTTGACTCTGACACACTATGCAGCGATTAAAAAGAAGTCAGTAGGCTGAGCATGGTGGCTCATGCCTGTAATCCCAGCACTCTGGGAGGCTGAGGTGGGCGGATCACCTGAGGTCAGGAGTTCAAAACCAGCCTGGCCAACATGGTGAAACACCATCTCTACTAAAAATACAAAAAAAGTTAGCTGGGCATGGTGGTGGGTGCCTGTAATCCCAGCTACTTGGGAGGCTGAGGCAGAAACCCAGGAGGCAGAGGTTGCAGTGAGCCGAGATCGCGCCACTGCACTCCAGCCTGGCTGACAGAGTGAGACTCTGTCTCAAAAAAAAAAAAAAAAGTCAGTAGATCTATCTATGCTAATGTTGAAAGCATGCAAGAGGAAAAAACCAAATGTCCCTCTGGTATTGAAAGCATTAACACAGGGGAAAAAATGAAACTGCAGAATAAATCCTATTGTTTGATTTCATTTGTATTAAAAAATATATCAAAATCAAAACTATGTGTATTGACTATTTTTGCAACTTCCTATGAATCTGTATTTCCAAATAAAAGGTTTATAGGTGGGAGGATGGGATTGTATAGAGGTGTTTGTGGATACATATCGATGTGCATGTGTGCTTGTGTGTATTTCCATGTATACATATGCATGTGTACCCGTGGATACCTGAATAACTATAAATAGAAAGCAATCTGTTAGGATGCCCATCAAAATTTTATAAGAGGGCCGGAAACATCGGCTCACACCTGTAATCCCAGCACTTTGGGAGGCTGAGGCAGGTGGTTCACTTGAGGTCAGGAGTTCGAGACCAGCCTGGCCAACATGGCAAAACCCCGTCACTATTAAAAATACAAAACATTAGCTGGGTGTAGTGGCAGGTGCCTGTAATCCCAGCTATTCGGGAGGCCTAGGAAGGAAAATGGCTTGAACCTGGGGGGTGGAGGTTGGAGTGAGGCAAGATCACACCACTGCACTCCAGCCTGGGCGACAGAGCGAGACTCCATCTCAAAAGAAGAAAAAAAAAACAACAAAAAAAACCTTTATCAGATTATCAGAGGTTATCACTACAGAGGGAGGTAAAATTGGAGGGAAAAGGGTACAAATTTATTTCACATACTTCTAAAGACCTTGACTTTCTTTTTCACAAAGTTCATGAATTCATGTATTACTTGTACAATTGTTTTAACAATACTTTAAGCTGCTTGCAAGTAACGGGTTCCATGAAATCAGGGTTTCTCAGCCCTGGCACTACTGACATCTGGGCTGTCGTAGGCAGCACTGTAGCGCATTTAGCTCCACGCCTGGCCACTACTCACTGGGTGACTGTAGCGCACAGCCACAGATGTCACAACAAAAACGTCTCTAGACATTGCCAAATGGCCCTAAACACAGAGAGAGCCACTGTATTCGTCAAGGCAGTTTGTAAGTTGTCTCCCTCCAAATGTGACTAGGATTATCATATTCCACTAATAATTTACAAAACAGATGAGCATTTGCTAGTGTAGGAAAGGGCATGGTTAATGCAGCCTGGTGAGGCACACTAGTGACTTCCCATCATAAGTGACAAGCAGTCCCCTCTTACCTTATCATACAAAGGGATCATAAAGTAACCATTATTAGGGGCACAGTCTGTCTGGTATTTCAAAGTCCCATGCTTGGTGTACAGCTTTATCTGGAAAGGAAGGAAGGAAAACAGAAATCATAACATTGCCTTTGGGAATTAACTACACATGTTACACCTGAATGCACTCAGTCAGTATACATTCACTGAGGACCTACTATATACCAGCTTTTAACACGGGGCATTACTGGGGACAGAGGGAAATCAACAAACTCTCTCCCAAATCATGTGACTCAATGTTTTTCAGATTAGAAACCACCTACAGCCTATTACAATGCCTTATTTTTCAATGCTTTCCTGTTTATTTTAGTGGCTGTCTCTAGGTTGCTCGTGTAAGTTTCCGGGTCTAAAACAAATTTGCAAACTTTGCCATTAGTAAGGTGCTTATTAACATGCAAATTCCTGGCTGGGCACGGTGGCTCATGCCAGTACTCCCAGCACTTCAGGAGGCTGAGGTGGGCAGATCACTTAAGGTCAGGAATTTGAGACCAGCCTGGCCAACAAGGTGAAACCCTGTCCCTACTAAAAATACAAAAAAAGTTACCCAGGCATGGTGGCAGGCACCGGTAGTCCCAGGTACTTGGGAGGCTGAGGCAGGAAAATTGTTTGAACTCAGGAGGCGGAGGTTGCAGTGAGCCAAGATCATGCCACAGCACTCCAGCCTGGGAGACAGAGCAAGACTCCGTCTCAAAAATAATAATAAAAAAAAATAAAGTAAAATAAATTGCAAATTCCTGGGGCCCACCTCTATTTCTCAACTAAAGGTCTGGAATGAGGGCCAGAAATCTTCCTTACTAACTCTGAATAATTTCAAATACTTGGAGCAACATTCATCTAGAAACTTAATTTTCTCATTACTTTCATTCTCTGAAGAAAAAGAGACTAAAAAGACATTTAATATCTGTCCTCTCTTCAAGGACTCTCTAAAACTCTTACATTCTGAGCATTACCAGACACGAAGTGTTAACCCAGTAAGATGCCCAAATGCCATCTGAGTCTTCCACGTGTTGTGTGGCCTTGGGCAAGCTCGTGTTCGGTTTCTTCAGGTGTAGACACAGAGCCGCTCCTTTTCATGTGGTTGTACAGATTCACATCAATGCATATTAAGCACCTGCTACAGAATATGGATTCAAAGAAAAATCAGTTTGCGGCCAGGCATGGTGGCTCATGCCTGTAATCCCAGCACTTTGGGAGGCCAAAGAAGGAGGATCACCTGAGCCCAGGAGACCAGCCTGGACAACACAGCCACACCTCATCCCTACTAGAAAAAAAATTAGCTAGGCATGATGGCACGTGCCTGTAGCCTCAGCTACTCAGGAGGCCGAGGCAGGAGGACTGCTTGAGGCCAGGAGTCAGAGGCTTTGGTGAGCTATGATGGTGCCACTATACTCCAGCCTGAGCAACAGTGTGAGACCCTGCCTCAAAATAAAACAAAATAAAATAAGTAAAATGGAAAAAGCAGTTTGTATTACTGTTTAATATCTCTCTCTGAAGAAAAAGGCAACACAGTGTAATACGTAGGGAACATACTGGGCTCAAGGAAAATTTCCTAAATGTACCTGCACAGCTCAACCACTCTGAGGCTCAGTTTCCATGTCTGTAAAAGGAAGCAGTTGGGTCTGATGCACCTAAAAGCCTCACCTCCAAAATGTTAATGCTCTATGACCATGAAACAAACCATGACACGAGCCGCAATGAAACAGTCGAATCTTACCAGCTAAGAAGATGTACAAAGTGACTAACTCATAAAACGAACATTTGAACATTTGGGAAAGGACTCGTGTGAAATAAGGTTAAGCCTGTATGTAAAGTTCTCTGAGGTCAGTGACCACAACTTCATTCCCCAGTGCCTGAGACAGTGTCTTGCTTACTCTAGGTACTCAGTGAATTTGCTACAGGTGACAAAGAGATTCAGATGCATGCATTTAGTGCAGGGACTGGAAATTCACCAGCCTAGACCGGTTAGGGAGGCAACATCAAGGGACATTCATCCAAAAGGATTCAGATCACTACAAAACCCAAGCCAAGGGTGGCAGCCTAAAGATCGGCTGGTTTTCCAGAGAAATAAAGAACCCAGTTTTTAATGTGAAACCTGCTGATTGTTAAAGTATTAGCAACCAGTATAATTTTTTTTTTTTAACAGTAAGGTCCCTGTTAGAGAACAAAATGTCAGTCTCATGAGAGTATGGAGTTTTGTCTGTTCTGTTCACTGTACTGCTATATCCACACTGGGGACAAGGCTTCAGTATGTGCCGGGGCTCAGTAAATAGTTGTTGACTCAATGAACACGATGTAAAAACACTCAGGATGGGAGAAAGCTAGAGAAGAATGGCGGCAGTTGCATAGGAACACAAAAAACACAATCAAGAAATAACCGTGAAATATCATGATTATTTCTACATCTTTCATAAAGTACAATCAGGACACAGGATGGCAATGTAATCTACATCAAGATGGCCAGTATGAAATGTCTGATTTCAGAATCTGAATTACTTACGAAAGAATGAGTGTCCCACACCATCTGGACAGGCAGCCCTTGGGCTTAAGGAACACACTTTGAAATGGGTCACAAAACCTGTTCTCTGCTCTCAAGGTCACTATTAGTATGAGGGTGAGGGTGGAGGGGGGTGCCTGTCTTTTCCTTCCTTCCAGAACCCCTGGAAACTACAAGTTGCAAGAGGCCTTACTGGCCTCTTGCATTTCAGCTTCTGAAATGCCCTGTGCCGTCTACAGCCATACCACCCTGAACGTGTCCTGTCCCCAGTGCAGACCTAGGAGGTGGCATGGGCACCCAGAAACATGTACCCAGGAAATCCTAGGAGCCCTGCCGCTGCCAGTGGGTATTCATTCAATGCCTGACCTCTGACCTCTTCAGCCTGAAAAAGCAGCAAACAACGGGGCCTTGAAGAAGATCACGGATCCGCTTGTTAAAGAAATGTATCTGCTGGGTTCCACTGTTTCTCTCCCAACACCATCCTATAGGTACAAAAACTGAAACCTAGAGCAAGGGCAGGTCGCAGAGCTGATGGGGTGTGGAACTGACTCCCTACCCCTCCCCCAATCCTCAGCAGCCCGCTTTGCAGAACACAGAGCTTCACCCTTCACTGCCAGCCCTGGAACAGCTCAAAGGTGCTTTCAGACGATCTTTGGGGTCTTATTCCCCAATCCCTCTCTTTGGCATTTCCCAGCCTCTTCCTTCGTTTTCTCCTAAATTACCTCCGAGGCACCCGCTCTTTTCCTCTTCCTTGTCCTACCCCACCATAAATCCCCGCCCAAAAATGAGGCCCAGGCCTTGCTCTGGTCCCCTCCCATCTACCGGGACAAATGACATTCTGCCCCTACCTCCATCCATCCCTTTCCTCTTTACGGGAACCTTTCTGGGTCATAATCCCACCGGGCTGATAAACATTTAACAGGACTTTACAACTTAATTAAAAAAAAAAAAAAAAAAAAAAAAAAAAAAAAAACCTTTACAAATCTCTAGGGTAATTCCATTAACTACTCATTAAGGCAATCAGGGCAGCTGGCAACTCTCCATTTTCAGAAGTGGAGGGGAGCCGGAGAAATAAAAAATAGCTTTCCGGCCCTAGGGTTGCCAATACTGATCTACTAGGTCAGAATCTATGGGATGGGAATTGATGCTCTTTAAAATCATGCCGCGGGGTTTGGAGGAGCAGTGGATTAGAACTTCGGGGGGTTCTGGGCTGTGGAGTTTGGGGGATAAGACATGTGGTCTCTAGGTTCTGGAATGTGGGTTTGGGGAAATCTGAGTTTCAGGGGGTCTGATTCGAGGAGATCTCAGGTCTAAGTTTTAAAGAAATGGAGTCTGGGCTCCAGGGAATTTAGGGTCTGGGTTTTGAGGATCTGGGGTCTGTGTTCCGCGGATCTGGAGTCGGGGTTTTGAAGAACCTGAGGTCTGGCACCCCTCAGTCCTTAGACGACCCCATGATAAGAACCTCCCCTCCAGCGCGACTGGGGAGGGGCTGCAGGGAGCCCGCGGACAGCATAGCCTCGGAAGAGGTAAGGGCTCCAAGGACTCCACACCGCCCGGTGTCAGAGACGAGGCCAGCGCGGCCCAGAGAGGCTGAACCACCGGCCCGGCGACTCGGCGCCGGGCGGCGGGGCGGGCGCTCACCTCGATGAGCGAGTAGTTGATCTCCACGTCCGACTTGACGAAGCCACCGCAGCCCACCACGATGTCCTCCGAGCCGTGCGCCGGCCCCACGCCGCTCAGCAGCAGCACCACCGCGGCGGTGACCACCGCGGGCCCCAGCAGCCCCGCGCCCTGGCCCACCAGCATGGCCCGACCTCCCCCAGCTAGACCCACCGCCGGCAGCCGGGTCCCGCCCCTCACACTGCACGCCGCAGGCTCCTTCCTCCTCCTAGGCCGGCTGACAGCCCAGGCCCCGCCCCACCGCCGCCGCCAGAGCCGCCGCGCACGCGCGCTTCGACGCCACGTTCACAGCCCCAGAAGAGAGAACTAAGGCGCATGCTCGGCAAGGAAACGAGACCATCTCTGCCTTCTAGAGGCCTGGAGGACTCCGCGCGACATCTGGCAGGTGCAACGCAAGGTGCATGCCTACAGGGAGAAGCTCCAAAGATGAATTCTACTTTAGAATTCACCATCACAGCTGGAAAGGACGGGAGATTTTGTTGGTGGAATTATCTAACAACTTTCTCAAATCTTTCTGACCCATATATTTCGCAGGTAAAATATATAATCTCACAAAAAGCTTTAGGGCCGGGTGTGTGGCTCACGCCTGTAATCCCAGCACTTTGGGAGGCTGAGGTGGGTGGATCGCTTGAGCCCACGAGTTCGAGACCAGCCTGGGCAATATGGCGAAACCCCATCTCTACACACACACACGCACACGCACGCACACACACACACACACACACACACACGAAAAACGCTTTAGGAATTTGTGTAAGCTGGTGTATTTTTCCATGATAAATGATCGATACTTTTTTAAGCGAAACGTGTTAATGTTAGCATATTAAAGAAAGTATGTAAGATTTATTTTAATCCTAGCTCTAATAACATATGCCTAGAAACAAATTTTGATGAGTTTTCTTCCCCTAAGCAAGAAGTGCATGCAGTCAGTATACTTTGAATTAGCTCTGCAAGATGAAACATGATTTGCCTGAAAACAAGCTCAAATCCAGCATATTTTGTCCCAAGAGTGAATTCATATGTACACTGAATTTAACTACCAGTCACCACATCAAAATACACACCAAAGAGGCCGGGCACAGTGGCTCACGCCTGTAATCCCAGCACTTTGGGAGGCCAAGGCTGGCAGATCATGAGGCCACGAGATCAAGACCATCCTGGCTAACACAGTGAAACCCCGTCTCTACTAAAAATATAAACACTTAGCCGGGCGTGGTGGCGGGCGCCTGTAGTACCAGCTACTCGGGAGGCTGAGGCAGGAGAATGGCGTGAACCTGGGAGGCGGAGCTTGCGGTTAGCCGAGATCGCACCACTGCACTCCAGCCTGGGCGACAGAGCAAGACTCTGTCTCAAAAAAATAAATAAATAAAATTTAAAAAACACCAAAAAATTGCTTTTCTAACCTAATATTAGGATTTCTTCCATTTTGTCTCAAAAAAAAAAAAGCTAGTGCTTTATTTTGATAGGTTTTGTATTTTGTTTCCAAATGACAAAGTAAGACTGAATTTCCCGCTGCAATTTGCCGTTGTGGCTAAAACTTAAGCAATAAACAACTAAGAAGCACAGGTTCAAACCATACAGTAGTCAAACCTTCATGGGGGCAAGGAGGGAATGAAGGGAATGACACATTGACCTCAGGGTCATAATCATGAGTGCATCTGATTTCAGCTTCTCTTGCTGCATTTTCACTCAAATACAGTAGACTCTCAACTATTCAGTGATAATGAGAAACCATTTAAATAATTCGTCTATTTATTGGGGTTTGTTATTTATAACCACAATTGAAATAGATGCCTTTTATGCAAATCACCAGAGGATTGAAAGCCACCAATTAGAAAGTGTAGGCCTATGGAAACCTTTCATCTTACAGAATGGGAAACTGAGGCCCAGAGAGGAAAAGGAAGTTGTCTAAGACTCTGCATGCAGCCATAGGTTTTCCCGGAGCTAGAGAGCAGGAATTGGGGCCAGAAGCCGTGGCTTACTACTGTAATATGAACATGTTGGGAGTCCGAGGTGGGCAGATCATTTGAGGTCAGGAGTTCGAGACCAACTTGGCCAACATGGCAAAACCCTGTCTCTACTAAAAATACAAAAATTAGCTAGGTGTGGTGGCGCATGCCTCTAATCCCAGCTACTTCAGGAGGCTGAGGCAGGAGAATCACTTGAACCAGGGAGCCACAGGTTGCAGTGAGCTGAGGTCTTGCCACTGCACTCCAGCCTGGGCGACAGAGTGAGACTCCATCTCAAAAAAAAAAAAAAAAAAAAAAAGCAGGAAGTGGGATCCCCAAGTTTTGTTCTGGACTCACCTCAATTGATTTCTGCTGTGTTCTTCTTGACTTTCTGACTACTTCCCTCAAATTCATCTTCAAATATAGAAAGAAATGAAGCACCAGGACTGTGACAATGCCAATTCATGGGGGTGGGATTGGGGAGTGGCTTGCAGAGAGACAGGGATTTAGCTTCCCCATAATTTCCATCAGTTTCCACCAAAACCAGCTCAGATAAGCAGACATGATTTACATGGAAACAGTAGACCTGCCACACTGAGCTTCATGACAAATCCTTGGGTTCTTTCTGTCCTGAAGCTTCCAGAAGACTCAGGCAGAAGGACAGCTGAAGGGGGCAGGGGAGGGGGTGCTCCCTGGGCCCAATACTGGATTTAGAGTGATACAAAAAGATCGGGGAAAACACGCTGTGGGGTCCCTGCAGAAGGCAAGAGTAGAAGATGAGGACAGGACCCCGAGAATTAGCAAGGCAGCATGGAGAGTGCAGAGGATTTTAATTCTTCTCCCAAACTGAGCACCTGTGCTTGTCTGTCTAAAAGAGCCGAATATTTCATTCCTATCTTGAAACAAGTACTTGCTCACTGCAACAACAAAGAAATTGGAAAAGAAAACTAGGATTCCCCAAGATCACTGTGTTACCACATTTCCATCTTTTTATCGATGGATTTATGCTAGTATGACATCGAGTCATTTCTAAGAAGTGGTGGCTGGGTCTTTGACACTTTGCTTTAAGACCGAAGAGAGAGCTGGGCATGGTGGCTCACGCCTGTAATCGCAGCACTTTGGGAGGCCTAGGCAAGAGGATGGCTTGAGGCCAGGAGTTCCAAAGCAGCTTGGGCAACAAAGTGAGACAAGTCTCCACAAAAAAATTTAAAAATTAGCCAGGCTTGGTGGTGTGTGCCTGTAGTCCCAGATACTCCAGAGAGGCTGAGGTGGAAGGTTGCTTGAGCTCAGGAGGTCAAGGCTGCAGTGAGCCATGATGGCACTACTGCACTCCAGCCTGGGTGACAGAGCAAGAACCTGACTCAAAAAAAAAAAAAAGAGACGGAGAGAGAAAAAGACTCAAGAGAGGAAGGTAAATGCCTTGGCCTTCTTCTCCATGTTCCCTAATTTAGGCATATCCTTTTCTTTTTTGCTTTAAAAAAACCAAAGCCTATTTTATATTATAATCTCTTTTATTCAATCATCATTTAGCAACCACCTTTTCATATTCATATATGTCTTCAATGGCATTTTGTTTGCTTGTTCTGAGACAGAGTCTCGCTCTGTCACCCAGGCTGGAGTGCAGTGGCACAATCTTGGCTCACTGCAACCTTCGCCTCCCAGGTTCAAGCGATTCTCCTGCCTCAACCTCCTGAGAAGCTGAAACTACAGGCACGCACCAAAACACCCAGCTAATTTTTGTATTTTTAGTAGAAACGGGGTTTCACTATGTTTGCCAGGCTGGTCACAAACTCCTGACCTCAAGTGATCCGCCCTCATCAGCCTCCCAAAGTGCTGGGATTACAGGCATGAGCCACCGTGCCCAGTTGCAATGGCATTTTAAACCACTGGTTAGTAACCCATGGCCTCAATTATAACAGTAACAATAAAAGCTAAGTCTTCTGAGCATTTAATGTATATCTGGCAGTGTGCTAAACGCTTGCATAATCTCACTAAGTTCTCCCCACCACTCCACGGGTAGACAGTGTCCATTCCAGCAGTGAGGGGACTGTGACGTGGTCTCCATCCTATCTCCCTCGGATATTATGAAAAATATCACAGAGTGTACACCCACTGTGATATTAGGAGAAAGCTCTCCCTTGGGTATTAGAATAATATCACAGGGTGTACACTCACTGTGATATTAGGAGTAAGATCTCCCTTGGATACTATGAATAATATCACACAGTGCACACCCACTGTGACGCGGTACACCCACTGAGATATTAGGAATAATATCTCCCACGGATATTAGGAATAATATCTCCCTCAGATATTATCACACCCACTTTGATATTGGAAGTAATATCTCCCTCAGATGTTATGAATAATATAGAAGGGTGTACACTCACTGTGATATGGAGAGTAATACCTGCCTCAGATATTACAAATAATATCATAGGGTGTAAACCCACTGTGATATTGGGAGTAATATCTCCCTCGGATATTATGAATAATATCCTAGGGTTTACAAACATGGTGTACACCCACTATGATATTAGGAGTAATATCTCCCTAAAATATTACTAATAATATTACAGGGTGTACACACAGGGTGTACACCCACTGTGATATTAAAAGTAATATATCTGTAAAATATGAGTACACCCACTATGATATTAGGAGTAGTATCTCCCTAAAATATTACAAATAATATCCCCCCAGTATATAACAGATAATATCATAGGGTGTACACCCACTGTGATATTAGTTATAATAATATCTTCTTGGGATATAAGGAATAACATCACAGGGTGTACACCCACTGTGATATTAGGGGTAATAATATCTACTTAGCACATAACGAATAATATGAGAGGGTGTACACCCACTGTGATATCAGAGGAAGTAATATCTCCTCAGGGTGTACACCCACTGTGATATTAGTAGTAATATCTCCCTAAAATATTACGAATAGTATTACAGAGTGTACACACAGGGTGCACACCCACTGTGATATTAAGGGTAATAATATCTCCAGAAAATTTGACACACCCTGTGATATTAGCAGTAATAACATCTCACCAGGATATAATAAATAATATCACAGGGTGTACACCCACAGTGATATTAGATGTAATAATATCTTCCCATGATGTAATGGATAATATGACAGGGCGTACACCCACTGTGATACTAGGAGTAATAATATCTCCCCAGGATATAACGAATAATATCACAGGGTGTACACCAACTGTGATATTAGGGGTAATAACATCTTCCATGAATATAACGAAGAATATCACAGGGTGTACAACCACTGTGATAATAGGAATAATATGTCTCCAGGATAAAACAAATAATATCACAGGGTGTACTCCCACTGTGATATTAGCAGTAATGTTTCCCTCGGATATTGCAAATAATATCACAGGGTGTACATCCACTGTGATATTGAGAGTAATATCTCCCTTGAATATTATGAATAATACCACAGGGTGTAAACCCACTGTGATACTGGGAGTAATATCTCCCTCGGATATTATGAATCGTATCACACGGTGTACAGGGTGTACACCCACTGTGATATTGGCAGTAATATCTCTCTCAGATATTATGAATAATATCACAGTGTTTACAAACATGCTGTACACCCACAACGATATTAGGAGTAATATCTCCCTAAAATATTACAAATAATATCATAGGGTGTACAAACATGGTGTACACTGACTGTGATATTTGGAGTAATATCTCCCTAAAATATTATGAATAACATCACAGGGTGTAAACACAGGGATACAGCCACTGTGAAATTAGGAGTAATATCACCCCAAGATATAATCAATACTGTCACAGTGGGTACACACACTGTGATATTATGGGTAATAATATCTCCAGAAAATTTGACGAATAATATCACAGGGTATACACCCACTGTGATATTAGGGGTAGTAACATCTCTCAAGGATATAACGAATAATATGACAAGGTGTACATCCACTGTGATATTATGGGTAACAATATCTCCCTAGGATGTAACGAATAATATCACAGGGTGTACACCCACTGTGATAATAGGAATAATAATATTTCTCAAGGATATAACAAATAATATGACAGGGTGTACATCCACTGTGATATTATGGGTAATACTATCTCCCCACTACATAATGAATAATATCACAGAGTGTACACCACTGTGATATTAGGGGTAATAACACCTTCCCCAAATATAACGAATACTATCACAGGGTGTTCACCCATTGTGATATGAGACATAATAATATCTCCCCAGGATATAACAAATAATATCACAGGGTGTACACCCACTGTGATATTAGAGGAAATAATATCTTCCCAGGATATAATGAATAATATTACAGGGTGTACACCCACTGTGATATTAGAGGAAATAATATCTTCCCAGGATATAATGAATAATATCACAGGGTGTACACCCACTGTGATATTAGAGGAATTAATATCTCCCCAAAATATAATGAATAATATTACAGAATGTTCACCCACTGTGATATTAGGAATAATAATACCTCCCCAGGATATAACCAATAATATCACAGGGTGTACACCCACTGTGCTATTAGGAGTAATAATATCTCCCCAGGATATTACAAATAATATTACAGGATGTACACCCACTGTGACAATACAGGTAATATCTCCCAGGATATTATGAATAATAGCACAGGGTATACACTTACTGTGATATTAGGAGTAATAATATCTCCCCAGGATATAATGAATAGTGTCACAAGGTGTACAGCCACTGTGATACTAGGAGTAATATAGTAGTATCTCCCCAGGATATAACAAATAATATCACAAGGTGTACATGCACTGTGATATTAAAGGAAATAATATCTCTTCAGGATATAATGAATAATATCACAAAGTATACACCCACTGTGATATTAGGGGTAATATTATATCTCCAAGATATAGTGAATAATATCACAGGGGGTACACCCACAGTATATTAGGGGTAATAGTATATCCCCAGAATATAACAAATAATATCACAGGGTGTACACCCACCGTGACAATATGGATAATATCTTCCAGGATGTTACGAATAGTATCAAAGAGTATACACCCACTGTGATATTAGGGGCAATATCTCCACAGAATATTACAAATAATATCAAAAGATGTACATGCACTGTGACATTAGGGGTAATATCACCCAAAAATATTACAAATAATATCACAGCATGTACACAATGGTGTACGTTCATTGTGATATTATGATATCCATAGGGTATTACAAATAATATCACAGGGTGTACCCCCACTGTGATATTAGGAGTCATATCTTTCTGGGAGGTCACAGCGTGTACACACATGGTGTAAATTCACTGGGATATTAGGAGTAATATCGCCCTAGAATATTTCGAATCATATCACAGGGTGTACACCCACTGTGATATTAAAAGGAATATCTTTCTAGAACATTACAAATAGTATCACAAGGTGTACACCCACTATGAGATTAGGAGTAACATCTCCCTAGAATATTATGAATAATATCACAGTGTGTACAGGCACTGTGATTTTAGGAGTACTACCTTCTTAAGATATTATGAATAATATCATAGGGTATACACCCACTGTGAAATTAAAAGCAATAGCTCCCTACGATATTATGAATAATATCACGCAGTGTACACTCAAGGTGATATTAGGAGTAGTATCTCCCTAGGAAATTACGAATATTATCACAGAGTGTACACCCACTGTGATATTAAAAGTATTATCTTTCTAGGATATTATGAATAATATTACAGGGTGTACTCCCTCTGTGATATTAGGAGTTATATCTCCCTAGGATATTACAAATCATATCACAGGGTGTACACCCACTGTGGTATTAGGTGTAGTATCTCCCTAGGATATAACAAATAATATCACAGGGTATACACCTACGGTTATATCAGGAGTTATATCTTCATAGAATATTACGAATAATATCACAGGGTGTCCACCCTCTGTGATATTAAAAGTAATATCTTTCTAGGATAGTATGAATAATATCACAGGGTGTACTCTCACTGTGATATTAGCGGTAATAACTCCCTAGGATATCACGAATTCTGTGACAGAGTGTACACCCACTGGAGTAATATATCTCTAGCATATTATGAATAATATCACAGGTTGCACACCTACTGCGATATTAGGAGTAAAATCTCCCTCGGATATTATAAATAATATCACAGTGTGTACTCCCACTGTGATATTAGGAGTAAAATCTCCTTCGGATATTATGAATAATATCACAGGATGTACACCCACTGTGATATTAGGAGTAATATCTCCCTTGGATATTTCTAATAATACCACAGCGTTTACACACATGGTGTTCACCCACTGGGATGTTAGGATAATATCTCCCTTGGATATTACCAATCGTATCAGAGGCTGTACACACGTGGTGTTCACCCAGCGTGATATTAGGAATAATATCTCCCTCGGATATTAGGAACAGTCTCTCCCTGGGACTTAGCAGAACGTAGCCCCCCAGTGTTAAATAAGCGACCACAGCAAGAGGTAGAGGCGCAGGGACTGAAATGAAGACAAATATCTGACAAGTTTAAAACACGTATTTAAAATAGAATTTATAAAATGCTTAATCTGCCGACTCAGGAGCCCGCGGTGCAGGGTGGGGTGGGAGTTGGCAGGTGACCGCTACACCAGCAGAGTAAGACTGCAGGGCTGCGGCCCTCCCTCCTATGCCCTTCTGTTCAGACACCCGAGGGGCTCATGTGCACTCCTGGGATCATACGACCAGAAAACAGGACCCTAGAGGTTTCTTGAGTTTCTGCTTACCAGGGCGGCTGGGTATAGCCCTGCCAGCCCATTGCATAATCTTCTAAGTTCTCCCCACCACCCTCCATTCCAGCAGCGAGGTGCCTGTGATGCGGTCTCCATCCTCTCGGCCTCGACCCGGTGGTCCCCGCGATTGGACGCTTAGGCGGTCACCAGGCCTCCTTGTTACTAACGTGTGCACACCTTTCAGTTCTCTCATCAGGATGAACTCCTGGAAATTGCTGGGTCCAAAGTGTTTGGGAAGTTTGGAGTGATTCTTGTTGCAGGGGGAAGAGGGAACTATGGAGGTGTCACTGAACTTTCAGGGGTTCCGGGACCCCCCAACCCGGTGCCCGTCCCAGCTCCCCGAGCGCCTCTCTTCCCCCCTCCCCCACCTCGCCTGTTTTCACCTCCCGTGGCCTCACTCCCGCCGCGCAGCTGGACCTTGCCCGGGGCCTCCCGATCCCGGAGCTCGAATCCCAGCCGGACCAGCCTAGCCCGACCAGCCCAGCCCCGCCTCTTCTCCGGCAGGATCGCGGCCGAGCAGTCTGCCCAGAGACTTAGCGACAGACAGACGCTGGGACCCACGACGACAGAAGGCGCCGATGGCCGCGCCTGCTGAGCCCTGCGCGGGGCAGGGGGTGAGTGCCCCCCATCGCGCCCCACTCTCCTTTTCCAGGCTTGGTTTGGCTGCAGATCTCTCGGGCTGCGATACTGGGGAGAGGAGAGACCCCCAAATTCCTGGACCCGGGAAGCGAGGAGACTTACTCCGGCCCCCTCACTGCAGCGGGTTGGATTTCTTTCACCAAGCCAGCCGCCGAGAGCCCAGCTCTATTTAAGGGGCCACCAGACCTCCCAGCTACTAGAGGCTTTGACCCTTCTTTGCATAAAGCTAGTGGGTCCCCCAAGCCCTCCTACCCCCGGAGAGCCCTTACCTCTCTGGTTTCTTTTTCCATTGCTCTTAGCAAAGGACTCCAGGGAGTGGAGTTCATGGAGTGGGGGTGGGGGTTGCAAACTGCCAGCATTTCGAGGGCCAGGGAGTTGAAGCAATAAACTGGCAATGAACTGAGGGCTTTCTCTGTGCCTAGCCTTGTGCCCAACCTTGTGCCATGCTGCTATGAACTTTGCTGCTATTCATCCATTTAATACAACTCATAGAGGTAGAGTCTCGTTATCCCCCTTTTGCAGGGAAGGAAACTGAGATACAGAGAGGTTAAAGTTTGCACAGCCAGTGAGTTGTGAAACCAGGAGGAGTAAAAAGACAGCGGAGAGAGAATTGAAGAGGCCACGTCCACTAAACTTCAAATTTCTTCTAGGGTTAGATAGGACCAGCAGACCTGCTGAGATGAAAATAACAGATCAAGCTGGGCCGGTGGCTCTTGCCTGTAATCCCAGTACCTAGGAGGCTGAGGCAGGAGGATTGCTTGAGGCCAGGAGTTCGAGACCAGCATAGAGAGACCCCCATCTCTACAAAACATAAAAAAAAAATTAGCCAGGCCTGGTGAGGCGGCTTATGCCTGTAATCCCAGCACTCTGGGAGGCCGAGGTGGGAGGATTGCTTGAGCCCAGGAAATTCGAAGCTTTGTTAAGCTTTGATTGTGCCACTTCAGCCTGGGCAACAGAGTGAGACCCTGTCTCTAAAACATAAATTAATTAATAATAAAAAATAAAAATAAATCATACATCAAGACCACCAGTCGAACGAGGTTTGGGGTCAGATAAGCCTGGGTCAGAGTCAGCTTTGCCACTTCCCATTTGTGTGTCCCTGGGGGAGGCATTTCCCCGATTGGTGCCTCAGTCTGCTGGTTTCTGAAATGGAGACAGTACTGTCTGCGTCCTGGAGTTGTTATAAGGATTAACTGACAGTCCATGCCTAGCAATGATTATGGAGCCCAGGTCTCCTAGACCACATGGCCCAGTTCCCTGGGTTCAAATCCCAGCCCTTCCACTCCTCAGCTGGGTAAACTCAGCAAAGTTACTCAACCTCTCTGGTCCTCAGCTTCTTCATCTGCAAATCAATATAATTGCAACTACCTAGGGTTAATGTCAGGATGAAAGGAATTGAGAATTAGTAGGTATTCCAAAGAGTGCTTGGCACATTTTTGTGTAAATGTTAAAGATCCAAAAAGTTGCCTGGCCCCCCGGGCAGGTGAGCTGGGGACCCCTGCCTTGTACCATCCTAAGGGTCCTCTTTGTGTTCCCTCAGGTCTGGAACCAGACAGAGCCTGAACCTGCCGCCACCAGCCTGCTGAGCCTGTGCTTCCTGAGAACAGCAGGGGTCTGGGTACCCCCCATGTACCTCTGGGTCCTTGGTCCCATCTACCTCCTCTTCATCCACCACCATGGCCGGGGCTACCTCCGGATGTTCCCCACTCTTCAAAGCCAAGATGGTAGCTGCCATCCCTGGGAGCCTGGAACCAGGCAATGGTGGGGGGAGGCAGGGGACAGGCTGGAACCTGGTGAAGTCTTAAAGTAGACTCCTCCTATCGGGGTGTAGAAGGGAATCTGTTAATCAAACAGAGCAATATTAGAAAGGCTACAGAGGTCAATTCAGTGGAACACGGTTCTCCCAAACAGATTTTGTAATTCCGAAAATCCACGCATGCGCAAACATACGCATACACTCCCATGTTCCTGGACAGTTTATAGCTACCATAACCTGGCATTTTCCAAAACATACCATGTAGACTCTTGGATACACAAGGTAATTTTAGGGCCACATTAGGATGAACCTTTTAAAAAGTTATGCATTTATTTTTATGTTCCCCCACTGGCTGTATTATAGGACAATTTTTATATGTGATATGTATTTACCTTAGTGTGTTAAATAAACACTGGCATTCCAAGTGTGAGCCTTTCTGCTCATCCATCCTCTTCTACTCCATTCTTGTAGGCTTCCAAAGAATGTTCTTCAGAGTTCATTCATTCTTCTGCCATTGTATTAATTTTTATATTATCACCCGCCACCAACCCAGGGGTTGGCAAACTTAAAGAGCCAAGCGGTACACAGTATTTGAGACTTTGTGAGCCAGGTAATCTTCCTTCCGAACACTGAACTCTGCCATTCCAGAATGAACGCAATAGTCATAACCATAGACAATAGTCATGACTGTGTTACTTTTTTGTTTTGTTTTGTTTTTGAGATGCAGTTTTGCTCTTGTTACCCAGGCTGGAGTGCAATGGTGCGATCTCGGCTCACTGCAACCTCCGCCTCCTGGGTTCAAGTGATTCTCCTGCCTCAGCTTCCCGAGTAGCTGGGATTACAGGTGCCCACCCCCACACCTCGCTATTTTTTTGTATCTTTAGTAGAAACAGGGTTTCGCCATGTTGGCCAGGCTGGTCTCCAACTCCTGACCTCAGGTGATCTGCCTGCCTTGGCCTGCCAAAGTGCTGGGATTACAGGTGTGAGCCACCACCCCCGGCCGACTGTGTTTCAATAAAACTTTATTTGTAGTCACTGAAATTTGGATTTCATGTAATTTTCACCTGTCATGACATATGCTTTTTGTTTTTCTTTGATGATTGATAGTTTGCCAACTTCTGCTTTAAACTGAGGTTCTTTGAGCAGTTCCTCCAACGTAACCTAGCTCTGGCCTTCCCTCTGGTGTGCCCACGTTCTCTCATTTTCTTCCTTTCTTTTATTCAATAGAGAAACCAAAATATATTAGAGAGACCCTAGAGACTTACTGGCCCAACAGAGAGTTGCTTCTTGATTTCATAGCAAGGATTGAAAAATGACTTGGAGAAAGGATAGTTTTTTACCTGGTGAGTACATTTCATTTCCTGCTGTTTCTCCATACCCAGAGTCATCTCATATGTGCACGATTGGAGCACTTCCTGCATTTTGGAAAACATTCGGTTGGCTCAAGCCCTTCCTGTGCATTATTTATATGACAGTTACAGGTCAGGAGTGATCTGCAATGCCCTTTACACATTGTTCACATTGGCACGTTTCTAGCTGGTGACCCTGGTATACTCAGTATCAGCCAGGATGCTGCAGAACCAGCTCCCAGTTGGACATGGGGCCGCCTACCAGTTTGCTGTGACCTCTCTTATTGCCCCCCAAGCTTATCTAAGCCTGTATCCTCAGGTGCTTGGATTCGCCCTCATAGTCCTGTGTACCTCCAGCGTGGCTGTCGCTCTTTGGAAAATCCAACAGGGAACGCCTGAGGCCCCAGAATTCCTCATTCATCCTACTGTGTGGCTCACCACGATGGTAATGATGCCCTCAGTCTGGAGCCCGGCTTCCTCCCAGCTGCTGCTTTGCCTGCCACAGTGGAGAACAAGGGGAAGAGAAGAGGCTCCCCTCAGCCTCCCACCCTCCCCTAAGGGGCCTCCCTGACTTTCCCGTCCAGAGCTTCGCAGTGTTCCTGATTCACACCAAGAGGAAAAAGGGAGTCCAGTCATCTGGAGTGCTGTTTGGTTACTGGCTTCTCTGCTTTGTCTTGCCAGCTACCAACGCTGCCCAGCAGGCCTCCGGAGCGGTAAGTCGGGGCGTGGGCCACCCTGGGAAACCAAAATGGTGGTTCATGCCTTGGGTCCCTTCCTTTCTCCTCCTGTTTCCACATACAACTTATTCTCTATACAGTGACACACACAAGCCAGTCACTTACACTCTAGAGACACAAAATCCACTCCCGCACCTGTCAGTACCCATCATCCCATACATTTCTTATCCACACAATTTCCTGTCTTACACGCCCACATCACACGTGCCACTTGCTCACGATGCACACACTTATAGGCACTGATTCATACATCGCACAAGTACATGCATGCACGCACACACACACAACCTGGGCACAGACACACCTGTGTGCACACATACCCCTCCGTGCACACCTCCCCTCATGTCATGGATTCACCCTCCCCATGTTCCTATGCACCTATATTTACACACTCATTCTGCACACCACTCGTATTTCTGTTGTCCAATCTGGGAAGCAGCTTTTTTTTTTTTTTTTTTTTTTTTTTTGAGAGGCTTGCTCTGTCGCCCAGACTGGAATGAAGTGGCATGATCTCAGCTCACTGCAATTTCTGCCTCTCGGGTTCAAGCACTTCTCCTGCCTCTGCTTCCTGTGTAGCTGGGATTACAGGTGTGTGCCACTACACCTGGCTTATTCTAAATTTCTACTAAAAATTTTTGTATTTTTAGTAGAGACGAGGTTTCACCATGTTGGCCAGGCTGGTCTCGAGCTCCTGACCTCAAGTGATCCACCTGCCTTGGCCTCCCAAAGTGTCGGGATTACAGGCGTGAGCTCTTGTCATTCGGCCGGAAGCAGCGTTTCTCTATTAGGAGACATGATGGGTCATTTTCTCTGTAAAGAGAAAAACATGTAGCCTAGACCAGCTTCCCTCAGCCTCAGCTTTAGTAATGTTGTGGCCAGACAATTCTTTGTTGGGTGGACAGGGCTGTCTTGTTTGCTGCAGGGTGTGAAACAGCATCCCTGGCTTCTGCCCATAGGTGCCAGTAGCATACCATCCAATTGCAGTAACCCAAAATGTCTCTAGATATTACCAAGTGTCCCTGGGGGTGAGGAGGACAAAGTCACCCACCTATTGAGAAGCACTGGCCTCGACAGTGTGCTTAGCCAAGGCTTCTGGGAGAGGGAGTTAGCTTAACACCAATGAATAGGCTGCAGCAGGTTTCAGATATTTTACTTCATTATTTTATTTTTGTGGAGACAACATCATGCTTTGTTGCCCAGGCTGATCTTGAACTCCTGGGCTCGAGCAATTCTCTGACCTCAGCCTCCTAAAATGCTGGGATTAGAGGCATGAGCCACCACGTCTGGACTCACAGATCATTTCTTCAGTCCAGTGGTTACTCCATCCTGCTCCTAAAGGAGAAGGTAGAGAAGCATCACCCTGTCCTTAAGGACAGAGTTTTTATTTTTTGTTTGTTCATTCTGAGACAGAGTCTTGCTCTATTGCCCAGGCTGGAGTGCAGTGGCACGATCTTGGCTCACTACAACCTCCACCTCCCGGGTTCAATCGATTCCCATACCTCAGCCTCCCAAGTAGCTGGGATTACAGGCATGTGCCACCATGCCCAGCTAATTTTTGTATTTTTAGTAGAGACAAGGTTTCAATATGTTGGCCAGGCTCATCTCAAATGCCTGACCTCAAGTGACTCACCCACCTCGGCCTCCCAAAGTGCTGGGATTACAGGCATGAGCCACAGCGCCTGACCAAGGACAGAGTTTTTAAAAGAGTAACCTTTGTAACTAAGGGGAAATTCCACAGGTTATTCAGTAATTTCTGAAATGGTGGGCTCCCGCAGTTGACATAAGTCAGCTTTTTGGGACACAGCATAGAAACAATAATACTGGGACCATATACACTCTGGGGTTCCAACCATGTGCCAGGCACTGTGGCAGGCACTTACACACGTCTCCTCACTGGATTCTCACAAGAGTTCACAGTGATGGGTTCTTCTTTATTTTTTTAAATAGAAATAGAAACAAAGTCTCATTATGTTCCCAAGGCTGGTCTCAAACTCCTGGGCTCAAGCGATCTTTCCACCTAAGCCTCCCAAAGTGCTGGGATTACAGGCTTGAGCCAATGTGCCCCAGCCAATGATGAATTCCAGCCGTCCCATTTTAAAGATGAGGGAGACTAAGGCTAGGAGAAGGGAATGACGGCCTCAGGGCCACAAAGCTTGGGAGTGCAGAGCCCGAGTTCATCTCAGGCAAATTCAGAACAAACTTTCTGAGAGAAACAGTGGGGAAAACAGTGGGAGTTTAGGGAAGATGGGCCATATTGTCATTGGAATATCCAATTGTCTGCTATCTGCCAAAAAACAAACAAACAAACAAAAACCCCAAAACTAGAAGAGTATAAAATCCAGTAGAGGAATCGTGATTTAAAACTAGGGCTCTGGTTTAAAGCCATAAAACCTCAGTTCACACTAGCTTAATGAAAAGGGAAAGTCAAGGGGGTTCATTAGCTCATGCATTTATTAGCTCATACCCATGGGATCTCCCAGGCATGACTGATCCAGGCCTGGGACCAGGTACCATCACCAGATCTCCACTTCTGCCTCTTGGCTCTGCCATGTTAGCTTGATTCTCCAATGGAGTGGCAAGAAGAGCCACCAATACCTTCATACTTACATTCTAGCATGTAGCAAAGCCAGCAGAATCTCCCGATGGTTCCAGCTCTCAAGTACCCAGCATTGGGTGCTATGTGCATTCCTAACCCTGCCATGGTAGCCAAAAGACTCGAATGTATTCATTGGCCAGGCCTCATTCACCCACCCAGCCTCGGAGTAGGGTCAGTTCTACACAAATCACACGCCTGAACACAAGCAAAAAACTTAGGAAGAAAGAAAATCAGTACATGGAAGAGATCTCTGCACTCCCATGATTATTACAGCACTGTTCACAATAAACAAGATTTGGAAGCAACCTAAGTGTCCATCAACAGATTAACTGATAAAGAAAATGTGGTATATATACACAATGGAGTACTATGCAGCCATAAAAAAGAATGAGGTACTGTCATTTTCAACAACATGGATGTTAAGCAAAATAAGCCAGGCAGAGAAAGACAAACTTTACATATTCTCACTTATTTGTGAAAGCTAAAAATTAAAACAATGTAACTCATGAACATATAGAGTAGATGGAAGGTTACTAGAGGCTAGGAAGGAAAGTGGGTGGGGGAAATGGGGGTGGTTAATGGGTACAAAAAAACAGAAAGAATAATATCTATTTGATAGCACAACAGGGTAACTATAGTCAATAATAATTTGATTGTACATTTTAAAATATCTAAAAGAGGCTGGACACAGTGGCTCACACCTGTAATTCCAGCACTTTGGGAGGCCAAGGCAGGAGGATCATCTGAGGTCAGGAGTTCAAGACCAGCGTGGGCAACATGGTGAAACCCTGTCTCTACTAAAAATACAAAAAAAGTAGCCAGGCGTGCTGGCACACATCTGTAATCTCAGATACTCAGGAGGCTAAGGCAGGAGAATCACTTGAATCCAGGAGATGGAGGTTGCAGTGAGCCAAAATCAAGCCACTGCACTCCAGCCTGGGCAACAGAGTGAGACTCCAACTCAATAATAAACTAAAAAATAAAATAACTGAAAGAGTAGAATGGATCATTTGTAACAGAAAGGATAAATGATTGCGGGGATGGAGACCTCTTTACCTTGATGTGATTATTATGCATTGCATGCCTGTATCAAAATATCTCACGTCATCTAGAAATATATATAGCAGGCCGGGCGCAGTGGCTCATGCCTGTAATCCCAGCACTTTGGGAGGCCAAGGCAGGCGGATCACCTGAGGTCAGGAGTTCAAGACCAGCCTGGCCTACATGGTAAAACTCCATCTCTACTAAAAATACAAAAATTAGCCAGGGGTCGTGGCACATGCCTGTAATCCCAGCTACTCAGGAGGCTGAGGCAGGAGAATCGCTTGAACCCAGGAGGCGGAGGGTGCAGTGAGCCAAGATCATGCCACTGCACATCAGCCTGGGTGACAAAGCAAGACTCCGTCTCAAAAAAAAAAAAAGTATACACACACACACACACACACCTAAAATTAAAAAATAAAAAATGTTTTAAATTAAAAAAAGAAAGAAAATTAGGGTGTTTCTGACCAGATGACAGGGCAGAAGGTGCAAAAATCATTGTGGTGTGGCAGCAGGAGCATCACAATTTGGACCAGATCATCTGCGTGTCCTTGAACAAGGTGCTGTCACTTCTCTGAGCCTTGTTTTCCCCATGAGTCAAAGGAAGCAAGTAAACTCCAGCTGATGAGACTGTGTATGGCAAGAATGCCGCATGTGCCCAGGGCAGGGTCAGTGCTCAATAAAACCAGCTCTCACCTCTGCAAAACAGAGAACCCTGGCCAAGGGGGAGCAGGGTTGAAGATTAGGGTAGAGGGTGGAATGGAGAAAGGATTTCTTTTGTGGCACAAAGAAGAAGGTAAATTGTTTCTTCATCTCATTGTCCCAGCAGCTGTGGCCAATCATCACGTGGCTAAGGACAAAACCCAGACACAGCCCTGGCCCACCATTTGTACAGACAGAATATTATAAATTGGGTATTTGAAAATTAGGACCTGCTGGGCGTGGTGGCTCATGCGTGTAATCCCAACACTTTGGGAGGCCAAGGCAGGCAGATCACTTTAGGTCAGCAGTTTGAGGCCAGCCTGGCCAACATGGCAAAACCCCATCTCTACTAAAAATATTTTTTAAAAACATTAGCCAGGCATGGTGGTGGGCACCGGTAATCCCAACTACTAAGGAGGCAGAAGCAGGAGAATCACTTGAACCCAGGAGGCAGAGGTTGCAGGGAGCCGAGATCATACCACTGCACTTCAGCCCGGGCGACCAAGTGAGACTTTGTCTTTAAAAAAAAAAAAGAAAGAAAATTAGAACCGCTAGGAAAGCCAGGGCTCTGGCTTTCAAATACTCTTGCCCTGGTCCCCAGAGTGGGCACTGACCCCAGATCAGAAACCTTTTCTCTCCTCTGAGCACCCTCCTCTGTCTCCATTCCTTACCTTCTGCTTTCCCTCCCACAGGGCTTCCAGAGCGACCCTGTCCGCCACCTGTCCACCTACCTATGCCTGTCTCTGGTGGTGGCACAGTTTGTGCTGTCCTGCCTGGCGGATCAACCCCCCTTCTTCCCTGAAGACCCCCAGCAGTCTGTAAGTCACCAAGTTCCAACCTCATTCCTGTTCCACTTTGAGGTCTCAGTCTCCCCCAGGTGACCAAAAGTCTTTAATTTTTTTATTCATTTAGCCATTCAGCAAAAAGTGTATCGCATTTCTACTCGATGCCACAGTTGGCAGACTTTTTCTATATGGGCCAAGAGAAAATATTTTGGACTCTGTGAGCCATACAGTGATCTCAGTGGCAACTACTCAACTCTGCCATTGAACGCAAAAGCAGAATATGTCAACAAATTGCATGGCTGTGTTGCAATAACACTATTTGCAGAAACAGGCAGTGGGCCAGATTTGGTCATAGTTTGCCAAACCCCGCTATGCCCTAGCAAGGGCATAAGGATCTATGGTGAACAAGCAGATAGAGTTTCTGTTCTCACGTAGCTACTGGTCAAGCAGGGGAACCAGACACTGGTCACAAAATTAAACAAATATGTTGAAAATTGGATGGTCACAGTGGCTCATGCCTGTAATCCCAACACTTTGGGAGGCCAAGGCAGGTGGATCACTTGAGGTCGAGAGTTCAAAGCCAGCCTGGCCAACATGGTAAAGCCTCATCTCTTCTAAAATTACAAAAATTAGCCAGGCATGGTGGTGCACGCCTGTAATCCCAGCTACTCGGGAGGCTGAGGCAGGAGAATTGCTTGAATCCGGGATGTGGAGGTTGCAGGGAGCCGAGACTGTGCATTTGCACTCCAGCCTGGGCAACAAGAGCGAAATTCCACCAAAAAAAAAAAAAAAGAAGGAAAAAGAAAATTACCCTTGGCGTAAGTGCTCCATAGAAGAAGCTCATGAGAGATTGAGAGATTTACAATAGGTAACACTGAAGCAGTCTGTGAAATCAAGAAACAATTCTTTTGTGGAAGAGACTGATCTGACATCATATAAACAGATGTTCAAATGGGGCCAGATGCAGTGGATCATGCCTGTAATCTCAACACTTTGGGAGACCGAGGAAGGAGGATTGTTTGTGCCCAGGTGTTCTAGATCAGACTAGGCAATGTAGTGAGACCCCATCTCTACAAAAAGGTTTTTAAAAATAGCCAAGTGTGGTGGTGCATGCCTGTAGTCCCACTACAGAGTAGCTCTGTGGAGACTAAAGCAGGAGGATTGCTTGAATCCAAGAGATAAAGGCTGCAGTGAGCTATGATTGCACCATTGCACTCCAGCCTGGGTGATAGAGCGAGACCCTGTATTCAAAAAAAAAAAAAAAAAATTGCTCGAAGGCTTGAGAATAGTTAAAACTATCATAGGAATCTTTTTTGTACCTACCAGAGTAGGAACAAAATTTAAAAATTGATAAGCTGCGATGGCAAAAACGTGGTGAAATGGGCACCTTCACGCCTTATTGGTAAAGAGTACAGACTGTTGTAATCTTCCTGGAGCACCTGACAAAAATCGCACGACAGGTCTGTCTTCACAACATTTGCCGAGGGATATTGTCAAGGATCTAATTTCTTCGTTATGCAGTGTCCTTCCTTTTGAGAAGCAAAGCAAGGTTTTGGTTTCAGTATAATCATAGTTGTTCTTCTGAGCCACTGTTAGTTCTTACCTTGTGGACATTGTCAGGCCTGTGGCCCAACCTCTTTTTACGCTGCCTGCTGGGAAGCACCAAGCTCACTGGTCTACACCCCTGGCAAGGAGACAGGGCACCTCGATGTTTACTTTCAGTACTAAATACACCGTCAGGGCTGGGTGTAGTGGCTCACGCCTGTAATCCCAGCACTTTGGGAGGCCGAGATAGGCAGATCACTTGAGGTTAGGAGTTTGAGACCAGCCTGGCCAACATGGTGAAACCCTGTCTCTACTAAAAACACAAAAAATTAGCTGTGTGTGGTGGCGCACACCTGTCATCCCAGCTCTTTGGAAGGCTGAGGCAGGAGAATCGCTTGAACCCAGGAGGCAGAGGTAGTAGTGAGCCAAGATCACACCGCTGTACTCTGGCCTGGGCAACAGAGTGAAACCCTGTCTCGAAAAAAAAAAAAATACACAGTTCGTCCTGTCTTCCTACCCTTGCCACATACTTCCCTTCTCCATTTTTGTCTGTTGCAGAACCCCTGTCCAGAGACTGGGGCAGCCTTCCCCTCCAAAGCCACGTTCTGGTGGGTTTCTGGGTAAGTAAAGTCGCACGGAAGGGTTGGGGTGGTGCCTCACCCGCCTGCATTTGCTGCTCTGATTCCCAGCCATGGCCCTTCCCCTGTGCTTACAAAGGCCAGCAAGTCTTTCTCCATCCCAGCCTCAGTGCTTTCTTCTTCGTGTTCAGTGTCTACCATCTGCATCCTGTTCCCATTCACTCACTGGAGTGAGATCTTGATTTGAATCCCGGCTCTGCCTGTTAGCAGGCCATGTCGCAAACCTCCGGAGTCTCAGTTTTCCCTCTGTAAAATGGGGATGACTCAACCTGCATGAGACGGAAAGTGCTTAGTGCTTGCACACAGCGGGTGCTTAATAGTAATAGAATTGTCTCCAATACTTGATTTCAGTCATTCCACCAACATTTAATAGGCACCTACTATGTGCTAAGCCCCAGGGGTGAGGAGATAAAGGAGCAAGTGTCTACTTTCTAGAGGGTTCCAGGCAGATTGAGAAAATAGCTGCTTCTCCAGGGCCAGCTCACAAGGCATTTGAGGATGTGCTCCCTCCCAACCACACGGCATTCAGACCTCAGTAGCACCTGACATGTGGATTTGAATCCTGGCCCTACCACTTCCTAGCTGTGTTGCTTTGGACAAGTTACTTAACCTCTCTGTGCCTCAGTCTCCACTCCTTCAAAATGGGATTAATAATAGCACTTAGCTTATAGGGTTGTGAAGCTTAAATAAGATAAGATCTGTAAAGCACTTAGAACAGGGCCTGGCAAATAATGAGTGTAAGTGGTAATTATTTTTTTTTCTTTTGAGATGGAGTTCCACTCTTGTTGCCCAGGCTGGAGTACAATGGCACTATCTTGGCTCACTGCAACCTCCGCCTCCTGGGTTCAAGTGATTCTCCTGCCTCAGCCTCCCGAGTAGCTGAGATTACAGGCATGCACCACTATGCTCGGCTGATTTTGTATTTTTAGTAGAGACAGTGTTTCTCCATGTTGGTCAGGCTGATCTCAAACTCCCGACCTCAGGTGATCTGCCCGCCTCGGCCTCCCAAAGTGCTGGGGATTACAGGCGTGACCCACTGTGCCTGGGCTATTCATTTTCTCTTTTTTTTTTTTTTTTTTTTTTGAGACAGAGTATCACTCTTGTTGCCCAGGCTGCAGTGCAATGGCACAATCTCAGCTCACTGCAACCTCCACCTCCCAGGTTCAAGCAATTCTCCTGCCTCAGCCTCCCGAGTAGCTGGGATTACAGGCGCCTGCCATCATGCCCAGCTAATTTTTGTAGTTTTTTGTAGAGACTGGGTTTCACCATGTTGGCCAGGCTGGTCTGAAACTCCTGACCTCAAGTGATCTACCACCCTCGACCTCCCAAAGTGCTGGGATTACAGGCATAAGCCACCGCACCCGGCCTAAATGGCTATTAAATAAATGAAAAATATCAGGCTTTGAATGTGTGGAACTGGTAGAAAGAGCTTAGAGATTTTCTAAACAGCTCTACTGGGGGGTCCAGCCCCTGCTTCCCAAACTTAAGCATTTATGGACCACTCTTGATGCTTTTTTGTCCTACTGGGGCAAAAACTAAATTGAGTCACTTTTTTTACTTGAATAAAGTGTTTTTAAAAAGAAACTCTCTATCACTGCTAAAATAGGAAAAATCTATAGCATCACTTGCCATATAGGAGAACTCCAATAACAATTTCAGGGAAAATCAAGCCACGTTAATAATTTCTATGTCAGAACGGTTGCTTCCCCAAGTTGGCTCTGCATTAGAAAAGGGAACTTGGTGGCCTGGCGCAGTGGCTCACGCCTATAATCCCAACACCTTGGGAGGCTGCAGCAGGTGGATCACCTGAGGTCAGGAGTTCGAGACCAGCCTGACCAACATGGTGAAACCCCATCTCTACTAAAAATATAAAAATTAGCCAGGTGTGGTGGTGGGAGCCTGCAATCCCAGTCACTCAGGAGGCTGAGGCAGGAGAATCACTTGAACCCAGGAGGTGGAGGTTGTGGTGAGCCGAGATCACACCAGTGCACTCCAGCCTGGGCAACAGAGTGAGATTCCATCTCAAAAAAATAAAAAGAATAAAAATAAAAAAGAAAAGGGAACTTGGTAAGGCTTAGAGAAGAGTCAGAGATCAGAACCAGGCAAGACCTTCTGGCTGGTGTCATCAGAAAGATTAAAGAGACCTGAGGCCAGGCACAGTGGCTCACACCCATAATCCCAACACTTTGGAAGGCCAACCCCGACAGATCACTTGAGGCCGGGAGTTCGAGACCAGCCTGGCCAACATGGCAAAATCCCATCTCTACTATAAACAACAAAATTAGCCAGGTGTGGTAGCTTACGCCTGTAGTCCTAGCACTTTGGGAGGCTGAGGTGGGAGGATTGCTTGAGGCCAGTAGGTCGAGACCAGCCTGGCCAACATGGTGATACACCACCTAAAAACACAAAAATTAGCCAGGTGTGATGGTGGCTTGTAATTTCAACTACTCAGAAGGCTGAGGCGTAAGAATCACTTGAGCCAGGGAGGCGGAGGTTGCAGTGAGCCCAGATCACGTCAGTGCACTCCAGCCTACGCAACAGAGTGAGACTCCGTCTCAAAAAATAATAATAATAATTTAAAAAAAAAAGCTGAGGGAGGAGTTCAAGCTTCTTCTACAATGATAGTTTTGGTCAACGGACTTCCGATTCCCAGGGAAATGTCTGTTTCCCTTGCCAAGGGCTATCCCTTGGTTTAGCCACTGAATCTCTCTGCACTTCTATTTCCTTCCCCATCTGTAAAATAGATCTATAATAATATACTCACACATTTATACAATTATAAACTATTAAATTACAGGCTGGGTGTGGTGGCTCATGCCTGTAATCCCAGCACTTTGGGAGGCTGAGGCAGGTGGATCACCTGAGGTCAGGAGTTCGAGACCAGCCTGGCCAACATGGTGAAACTCCATCTCTACAAAAAATACAAAAATTAGCCGGGTATGGTGGTGGGTGCCTGTAATCCCAGCTACTCAGGAGGCTGAGGTAGGAGAATCGCTTGAACCTGGGAGGTGGAGGTTGCAGTGAGCCGAGATTGCACCACTGCACTCCAGCCTGGGAGACAGAACAAGACTCCATCTCAAACAAACAATAATAACCTACCTTATGGGTTCATGTAAGAATTAATGAGACAATCTTTGTGAAACGAGAAATGCCCTGCAGACATTAGGTGGGGTTAGTGAATTGCTTTCTTTTTACCCAGGGGCCAGTAGAGGTACAGAGAGGTAAAGTGACTTACCCAGGGTCACACAGCTACTTGCCTGGCCAGGATCCTGCAGGGGTGAATGGCAGGAAAAGCTTTCCCTGGTGCCCCTCTTTTGCAGCCTGGTCTGGAGGGGATACAGGAGGCCACTGAGACCAAAAGACCTCTGGTCGCTTGGGAGAGAAAACTCCTCAGAAGAACTTGTTTCCCGGCTTGAAAAGGAGTGGATGAGGAACCGCAGTGCAGCCCGGGGGTAAGTGGGTGGAGGTCAAGAACTCACCTGATGCTCCTTCAGAAAAGCTCATCATTGGCCGGGTGCGGTGGCTCACGCCTGTAATCCCGGCATTCTGGGAGGCCGAGGCAGGCGGATCACAAGGTCAGGAGTTCAAGACCAATCTGGCCAACACAGTGAAACCCCATCTCTGCTAAAAATGCAAAAATTAGCTGGGCATGGTGGTAGGCACCTATAATCCCAGCTACTCAGGAGGCTGAGGCAGGAGAATCGTTTGAACCCAGGAGGCAGAGGTTGCAGTGAGTGGAGATGTCACCATTGCACTCCAGCCTGAGTGACAGGGCCAGACTCCGTATCAAAAAAAAAAACAAACAAACAAGACAAAAACAAAAACAAAAACAAAAAAAACCTCATCATTTGACCCCCAGTCCAGCCCCCAACGCTACTCTGGCTGCACTGCCGCCTCCCCACCTTGCCTTCCAGCTGATCCCACTAAGTAGTATCAGGCTCAAGATATGGTTCCTCCCAGAACGCATCACAGGTTCCTACAAACGGGGAACAAACAGGTTCCTACAAATGGGGAAATGGCAGAATGACAGGCAGCAAACAGAAGAGGTATTTTAAGGCCGGGGTGGAGGGTTGGGAGGGGACTCAACACACAAGCAGCTGCTCACTTACTATATAACCTGAGCAATTCCTTTCCTGGGCCTCAGTTTTCTCATCTGTTCAGTGGGGATGTCATTAGCCCCAGCTCATAGCTTATGGGGATGAAAAAAAAGGATGATTTATGGAAAAGAACTTGCAAATGTCTTGCAAATGGGAAGTGCTCAAGCACTGTTAGTCATCCAGAGGGTGTTAAGATCTTTGGAGTTATCCACTCTGTCCACTCCTGCCCTCAGTGGCATCTCTGGAAACTTCTCTGCAGCCCTTAGAGCCTGGGATGCCTCATTTGAGAAACTCTGGTCTAGATAAATGAGCCTGCATAGGATTAGATAAAATTGGGTTAAATGCTGCCCTGCCTTCAAATAGTGATGACCCTGGACACGTTGCTTAACCTCACCGGACCTTGGTGTTTCAGGAGACAGAACAAAAAAGGAAGTTAGCTCTGTGGGAAGTTCCCTGCATACTCCGGGATTTTGTGGTAGTTGTTGCAGATGGCTGAATCCCACACATTAAGAGAGACAGAGGAGACAGAGACTGATACTATAGGCTCACACAGCTAAGAGGATCTAGCCTCAGGTGTTGCTGGATCAGGGGACTCAAATGATGTCAGGATTCTCTCCTTTCATCTCCCATCCCAACTATTGTCTATGTGTTGGTCTCTCCATAAGGCCTATCCCTTCCCATGCAAGTTCAGCAAACTCCAGCAGAATGAGAGAGCATCTCTCTCCTAACGTCCATATAGTAAATCCCAAGGAAGGCCTCTAATTGGCCCGGCTCAAGTCATGTGCCTTTCAGGGGCCAATCCCATGCCCAGGGGGCTGGTGCCATGACTGGTGGTCCCTTCAGAGCCACAGAAGTGGGTAGGGGCTGTTCCCACAAAGGAAGGGCATGTGTTTTTCCAAACAGAATAAGTAGTGTGAGAGAACCAAAACATCAGTTCTCTCTCACCCCAGGCATGGCTTGCTGGACCCCCTTCACTGGGTTGGTTGGTTGGTTTGTTTTTTGAGACAAGAGTCTCGCTCTGTCACCCAGGCTAGAGTGCAGTGGTATGATCTCGGCTCACTGCAACCTCCACCTCCTGGGTTCAAGCGATTCTCCTGCCTCAGCCTTCTGAGTAGCTAGGACCACAGGCGTGGGCCACCACATCTAGCTCATTTTTAAATTTTTTAGTAGAGACAGGGTCTCACCATGTTGGCCAGGGTGATCTTGAACTCCTGACCTCAGGGTATCTGCCTGCCTTGGCCTCTCAAGGTGCTGGGATTACAGATGTGAGCTACTGCACTTGACTCACCCTCTACTTTTAAATGATTTTACGGAAGTGGCAGAATTCAGTCCACAGGGGCTCTGGAAGGAGCCTCTGCCAACTCCTGGCATCCCCAGCCAACATGAAAATTACAGGTCACCCAACACTAGAACTAAAGGGTAGAAACATTCTCCAGAACAGTTTGAGAATCCTCCCATAAACAGTTGACAGAAAGAAAGGGGAAAGATGGGGTTATACAAAGACCAGGCTCCGTCAGCTTCTGAAACAACCGACTGCACCCACAGAGAACTTTGGTTTTCTTTCTGAAGTATTTTGCAACCACTGGGGGAAGGGAGAGGGCGTCCTCCTGAGAGGCCACACAACAGCCACCTGCTGGTCAAGTCGGCTTCACTAATTTTTGTATTTTTTATTAGAGGCGGGGTTTCTCCATGTTGCTCAGGCTATCAGACTGGCCCTGAACTCCTGACCTCAGGTGATTCGCCCACATTGGCCTCCCAAAGTGCTGGGATTACAGGTGTGAGCCACCGTGCCCGTCCTCCACCACTCCCTTTTGTATCCCCCAACTCACACCTTGCCCATGCCACTCATGCATACCCCCTGCCTTGCCCCACCATCATTTGTGAGATCTGCACTAAATGGCCTTCAGTCCAGAGACCAGACGTCAGACAGCAATCTGGACATCTTCCTTGATGGGAGGTGCGACCTGCAGGAGAGGAAAACACTTGCTATGGAGCCTGCAGGCTGAACACACTGACTCTCTGGGGCAAACAGCTCAAATAGAACTGAGCAAAACCTCAGCCAGAAAGAAAACTTTCCAGTCAACTCTTCCCCGACCCCATTTTGCACATGGAAACACTAAGGCTCAGAGGAGAGGAGACAGAGCAGGCATTGGAACCACAGTCTCCTGGCTCCAAAGCCAAGTTCTGTCCACCCAGCCAAGCTCCTTCCTTCCTTCTATAAATTTTTATAACAGCATGTGCGGGGGGCACTCTTATTAGGCCCTTTGCACACATCACTCAATCTGTTTTTCCCATTCATTTGACAAGTGTTTATTGAGCTCCCACTGTGTGCAGGAGCTGGACTCTATACTAGGGACATCTTGGTGGAAAACACAGGCAAAGTCTACCCACCTGGGGTTCTAACGAGACAAAGAGAGGGTTGGAGCCATGGGCATAGCTGTGAAGGCAATGAATTAAATGGCAGGATCAAACAGGAAAGGGTGGGCAGGGATGCTCTCTGTATGGAAGGGGCATCTTCTTGGCTTTGAGATCCAAATGCCAAAATATTTGTGAGCAGCAGGCCACACCCACTCAGTAACAGAGCTGAACCACAACCCTCCATAGATGCCAAACCAAACACCAGATCAGACCAATAATGTGGGACAGAGACCTTGGCCTTGAAGGGTCTGGCCACCTGAGCTCACCAGAGGTTTTTTCTTATGCTTCTTTTTTTATTATTATTTTATTATGGTGAGGTTGGGGGTCCTTAGTGCACAAGAAACCCTCTACGAACCATAAATCAAGATCTAGGCTCAAAACCCTGCTCTGCCCTTGCTGTGTGACCTCGGGCGGCTGTCGCCATCTCTCAGAGCCTCAGCTTCCCCTTCTGTAAAATGGAGAACCTAATAATGCTCACCTGGCAAGGGGATCCAGGGGAGTCAGTGAGCTCCTTCGTGTAAAGAGCTGATCCCAGCACGTGGCCCCGGGTCACAGATCTGTAATGGGGATTGAAATTACTGATAAGTGGCCAGGCATGGTGGCTCACACCTGTAATCCCAGCACTTTGGGAGGCCGAGGCAGGTGGATCACCTGAGGTCAGGAGTTTAAGACCAGCCTGGCTAACGCTGTGAAACCCTGTCTCTACCAAAAATACAAAAATTAGCCAGGCATGGTGGTGTGTGCCTATAATCCCAGCTACTTGGGAGGCTGAGGCAGGAGAATTGCTTGAACCCAGGAGGCAGAGGTTGCGGTGAGCCGAGATTGCTACACTGCACTCCAGCCTGGGTGACAAGAGCGAAACTCCGTCTCAAAAAAAAAAAAAAAAAGAAAAAGAAATTACTGATAAACTTATAGGTTGTCAGAGCCACAGGGGACTCAGCGGAGGACCACACCCATCCTCTCACACACAGAGAGAGGAGCAGTGTCCCCGCCCAGGACCACACAGCAACCGGACTGTCAGCAGCTGCATCGCCCCAGCCTCTCCTTTCTGGCCCAGGGCTTCTGACCTGCCTCACAGGCGCCCTCGGGCCTCCCCCATCTCCTCCCTCCCTCCCTCACCTTAGCTCTTCTCTGTGGCCCCTGGTTATAGCCAAAGGCTGGGGATCTTATTAGTTTGAGGCAGCCTGAGCTTCTGTCTGCACTTTCACCCAGAGCTAGAGCACCAGGCCCCATGCCCATCAGCCATGATTCTCCACCAGTTCAAAACCACCTAAGGGCTGGCTGATTGTGTGTGTTGGGGACGGGGTGCTGTTCTTCCTCCAGGTTGACAACACGATAGGTTGAAAAGTACATGAGAGGCCAGGTGTGGTGGCTCACATCTGTAATCCCAGCACTTTGGGAGGCTGAGGTGAGCAGATCACCTCAGGTCAGGAGTTCAAAACCAACCTGGCCAACATGGCATAACCCCTTCTCTACTGAAAATACAAAAATTAGCTGGGTATGGTGGCACTTGCCTGTAATCCCAGCTATTCGAGAGGCTGAGGTGGGACAATCACTTGAACTGGGAGGTGGAGGTTGCAGTGAGCCGAGATCACACCACTGCACTCCAGCCTGGGCGACAGAGCAAGACTTTGTCTCAAAAAAAAAAAAAAAAAAAAAAAGATAAAAGAAAAGTGCATGGGCTCTGGAGGCAGAGAGCTGGAATCAAATTCCAGTTCTTTTACTTCTCAGCTGTGTGCCCTTGGGCAAGTTCGCTTCTCTGAGCCCCAGTTTTCTCATCTGTGAAATGGGAACAACACCTGGCTTCTCAGGGGGTCTTAGGATGACTGGGGAGTGCCTGGCACATAGTAGGTGCTCAACAGGTGTGCTTTCCCATGGCCATCTAAGAGGCCTCAGAGTGCCCTCCTGCCCTGCCCCCCAACTCCCATGATTGTCTCTTAAGTGGGTACTCAGGGTGATAAGGAGGAACAGGTGAGGGAGCCAGGCTAGATCCACACCCACCCATCTCCACTGTTGGGAAAACAACCCTTTAATGCCTGGCCCTGCCGCTGGTGGCTGAGAGTATAAAATGGGACCCAGAGCTAATCTCTCCCTTCCCCTCAGGCACAACAAGGCAATAGCATTTAAAAGGAAAGGCGGCAGTGGCATGGAGGCTCCAGAGACTGAGCCCTTCCTACGGCAAGAAGGGAGCCAGTGGCGCCCACTGCTGAAGGCCATCTGGCAGGTGTTCCATTCTACCTTCCTCCTGGGGACCCTCAGCCTCGTCATCAGTGATGTCTTCAGGTTCACTGTCCCCAAGCTGCTCAGGTGAGTCCCAGACCTCAAGTGCCCTGCTAAGGTGGGTGGTCTCTTAGTGGCATCCTTCCAGGGCCAGGGGGCTTCAGCTCTCCTGCCTCTGCCTATACATCTGGTGCTCGGGACACTGGATGGTGGGTGAGAAGGATACTGAGGAAGGGAAATGGATTAATGAGAAAGTGACTGACCCCCAGAAGGGCAAATAAGCAAGCTCTTACCTGACTGCACCAATTAGTTTTTGCTGTAAAATGCCCCAAAAGTGAGTGGCTTAAAATGACAAACATTCTTTTATTTAGTTCATGGTAATGTGGGTCAGTAATGTGGGCTGGGCTCAGCTGGGTGGTTCTTCTTTTCTTGGCTGGGTTTTCTCATGTGCCTGCAGTTGTGTATCTGAGACTGGGATGGCTGTCTCTGCTCCATGTGGGTCCCCATCCTCCAAAAGGCTAGCTCAGACTTGTTCATGTGGGTGCTTGGGAGGGTTCTAAGAAATAAACCAAAAACCACATTTTCTCTTGAGGCCTAGGCTCAGAGCCAGCATGGCTTTACCTCCACTGTACTCTGTTGGCCAAAGCCGGTTTTGTAGCCAGCCCAGATTCAAGTGGTGTCTGCTCAGCTGACATAACAAAGCATCACAGACTGAGACTGAGTGGCTTGAACAACAGAAATGTATTTTATCATGATTCTCGAAGCTGGAAGTTCGAGATTAGTATCTGCAAGGTGGTTCCATCTGAGGCCTCTGTCCTTGGCTTGCAGTTGGCCACCTCCTCCCTGTGTCCCCATATGGTCTTTCCTCTGTTTGCGCCCCCTGGTGTCTCCTTATGTGTCTACATTTCCTCTTCTTAAAAGGACCCCAGTCAGATTGGATTAGGGCCCAGCCTAATGACCTCATTTTAACTTCATTGCCTCTTTAAAGGCCCTATTTCCAAATACAGTCACATTCAGAGGTACTGGGGGTCGGGGCTTCAACATATAAAGTTTGTGAGGACACAATTTAGCCTATAACAAGTGGGAACAAAAACTCCACCTCTTGATCTTGAGGAGCTGCAGTCAGATTGAAAAGGAGTATGGACAGTGGGGGAAATAACGGAGACCATTATTGCAAAAAAAACCACACTGACTGATCCTCCACACCTGGACTAGTTTGGGCCGACTGATCCTCCACATCTGGACTGGTTTGGGCAAAGGCAACACCCTTAGGCACCTCCTCTCACCAGCTGTACCTTCTCCCTCCTTCCCCTGCAAGCCTTTTCCTGGAGTTTATTGGTGATCCCAAGCCTCCAGCCTGGAAGGGCTACCTCCTCGCCGTGCTGATGTTCCTCTCGGCCTGCCTGCAAACGCTGTTTGAGCAGCAGAACATGTACAGGCTCAAGGTGCTGTAGATGAGGCTGCGGTCGGCCATCACTGGCCTGGTGTACAGAAAGGTGAGCCCTGGGGGACAAGGGCAGGTCTTCCCAGCCAGGAAAAGCAGTATCACTGAGCAGGCAGTAATGTTATCAGCAGCTGAGAACGCATTCAGTCCTTGCTTATTAGAGTCACTCACCATACATTCTCACTTCCTTAGTTATTTCTCTTTATTATATGTATTTATTTTTTTGAGACAGAGTCTTGCTCTGTCACCCAGGCTGGAGTGCAGTGGTGCAATCTCGGCTCATTGCAACCTCCGCCTCCCAGGTTCAAGTGATTCTCCTGCCTCAGCCTCCTGAGTAACTGGGACTATAGACACGTGTCACCACGCCCAGCTAATTTTTATATTTTTGGTAGAGACAAGGTTTTGCCATGTTGGTCAGGCTGGTCTCGAACTCCTAGCCTCAGCTCCTTAGTTATTCCTGTAAGGTCTTGTGTGATCTGTCCCTAGGGTGTCTCTGACCTCATCCCGTCACCTCCTCCCATGCTCACTCTCCTCCAGCCACACAGGTCTCCTTTCAGTTCCTCAAACACTCCAGGCACCCACCCACCCTGGGGCCTTTGCAGTTGTTCTCACTGCCTAGACACCGTTTCCACTCCCTCTAATCTAATTTTAATTTTTGAGCCTAATTTTAACTTCCACTCATTCCCCCTTGAGGATAAAGGATTAACCTTCTGATAAGGTGGCCTGTCAGCTGTGTTCCCAGACAATACTGCTTGAGGTAAAAATGACCCCTAGGCTGGGCACAGTGGTGCACGCCTGTAATTCCAGCAATTTGGGAGGCTGAGACAGGAGGATCACTTGAGGTCAGGAGTTCAAGACCAGCCTGGCCAACATGGCGAAACCCCATCTCTACTAAAAATACAAAAATTAGCCAGGCATGGTGGCGGGTGCCTGTAATTCCAGCTACTCGGGAAGCTGAGACAGGAGAATCGCTTGAACCCGGGAGGTGGAGGTTGCAGTGAACTGAGATCATGCCACTGCAGCGCAGCCTGGGTAACAGAGCGAGACCTCATCTCAGAAGAAAAAAAAAAAAAAAATCCCAAATTGCATCTGGGCTGGAAGTTCTGTCCATTGACTGTGAATACCTGGTTGGAGGCCATAGCTTTAGACTTCTCTCTGTGCAGTGGCTCTTGTCCCTTCCGGGGACTCTGGAAGCTAAGTCCCTGGACTGCTGCCCCAAGAGCTATTGGCTCCTGTGGGGTATGGAGCATCTGAGCCAGGGCAGGTCCCGTCCCATGTAAGTGTCATTCTCTGATACCTGAGCTGTCACCTAGGGGAGGAGGGGACAGAGGGGACAGCTCCTAGGTGGCTGAGAGGGCAGCTCTTGATGCTGTCCTGCCAGAGTGCTGCGTCCCAGGCTCCTGTTCCCCTGAGCATGCCAGAGCTGGGTGTGCCCTATCCTGTCTTGAGAGTCCACATTTCCTTGAGCCTAAGAGGAAGGCCGCCTGGTGAGCAGGCATTGATCTTCCTATTCCCCACCCACCCGCCAGGAGGCCTTCTTTGATCTCCTGATGAGATCAGATCCCTCCTCTCTAACCTCTGGGCTTTTTTTTTTTTTTTTTTTTCTGACAGAGTTTCGCTCTTATTGCCCAGGCTGGAGTGCAGTGGCACAGTCCTGGCTCACTACAACCTCCGCCCCCTGGGTTCAAGTGATTCTCCTGTCTCAGCTTCCTGAGTAGCTGGGATTACAGGTGTGCCCCACCATGCCTGGCTAATTTCGTATTTTTAGTAGACAGGGTTTCACCATGTTGGCCAAGCTGGTATCGAACTCCTGACCTCAGGTGATCCACCTGCCTCAGCCTCCCAAAGTGCTGGGATTACAGGCATGAGCCAACGCACCCGGCCTGGGCTGCTTTTTTATGTTACTCATCATAACTGCCATTAAAGCATGAGTTATAGAAATATTTTTGTTTTGTCTTATTTTTTTGAGACAGAGTCTCACTCTGTCACCCAGGCTGTAGTGCAGTGGTGCAATCTTGGCTCACTGCAACCTCTGCCTCCTGGGTTCAAGTGATTGTTCTGCCTCAGCCTCCCAAGTAGCTGGGATTACAGGCGCCCACCAGCACGCCCAGTTAATTTTTGTATTTTTACTAGAGATGGGGTTTTGCCATATTGGCCAGGCTGATCTCGAATTCCCGGCCTCAAGCAATCCACCCGCCTCAGCCTCCCAAAGTGCTGGGATTACAGGTGTGAGCCACTGTGCCCGGCCAGTTATATAAATCTTTATTATAGAGCCTTGTTCCCCACCTCAAACTCCAGTCCCGGGAGAGCAAGCCTCATCTCTGTTGTTCACAGCTGTATTTTCAGTTCCCAGCTCAGTGTGAGTCACACAGTGGGCACTCTTCAAAGACTTGCTAAGTGGAGAATTTCTATGTCCAGTCATTCCTGGATCACTTCTTCACTCCCTCACGCAGTCACAAAGGGAGGGCTGCATGTGGAATTTAGCATTCAACAGGCTGGAAGAGGTCCACTGTGACCCCAGGGTTAAGGCAGATGTGAGGCTGCCAGAGAACCAGGTTGGTGTCACAGAAGCACGTGAAAGGTCTCACCCTTGTCATGCCTTCGTCACCCTGGATTCCATTCCTTGTGTAGGAGCTTACAAGGCCTGTGACTTTGGGCAAGTTGCTCAACTTCTCTTTGCCTCGGTTTCTTTAGCCATAGGATGGGGTTAGTAAATGTTCATTTCATTGATTCTAGTCTCACTTTTTTTTTTCACTCTAATACTTCCAAAATCGAGATGTCTCTTACATGTCTTAATTTAACTGGAAGTGGTATTTTCCTTGGTGAGAGAATAATAGAGAGCAATTTATCCATAGAATTTTTTTTAAAGACAGGGTCTTGCTCTGTTGCCCAGGCTAGAGTGCAGTGGCACCAACATGGCTCACTGCAGCCTCAACCTCCTGTACTCAATTAATCCTCCCTCCTCAGCCTCCCCAGTAGCTAGCTGGGACCACAGGCGCACCACAACCATGCCTGGCTAATTTTTTCTTTTTTTTTCCCCCCGAAATGGATTTTGCTCTTGTTGCCCAGACTGGAATGCAATGGCTTGATCTGGGCTCACTGCAACCTCTGCCTCCTGGGTTTAAGTGATTCTCTTTCCTCAGCGTCCCAAGTAGCTGGGATTACAGGCGCCTGCCACCATGCCCGGCTAATTTTTGTATTTTTGGTAGAGACAGGGTTTCACCATGTTGGCCAGGCTGGTCTCCACCTCCTGACCTTAGGTGATCTGTCCACCTCGGCCTCCCAAAGTGCTGGGATTATAGGCGTGAGGCACCGCACCCGGCCCCCTGGCTAATTTTTTAAAGTATTTTGTAGAGCTTGGGTCTTACTATGTCGCCCGGGCTGGTTTCGAACTCCTGGGATCAAGCAATCCTCCCACCTCAGCCTCCAGAGTGGCGGGATTACAGGCAGAGGCCACTGCACCTGGCCTGGCATTAGAGGGAATGAATATGGTAGTGCCTGCTTGGTACCATTCATGGCTGTGAGCACCCCGGGAAAGGATAAGGCTGTTCATTTAGCACAGTGCCTGCAACATGGTGAGCACTGGGCAGATGACCACCGTTATCTGTGTTAATCTGGTGTTTTCTCCTAAGGCAGGAGGATCTCTGCAGTCTAGGAGTTCGAGGTTGCCGTGAGCCATGATTGCACTACAGCACTCCAGCCTGGGTGACAGAGTGAGACCCTGTCTCAGAAAAAATAAAAATAAACATTAAAAAAAACCTTTCCCCGGAAAGCAAAGATAACCAGAAGCAGGTTTATGTCTTGTTCTTTCAGGAATTCCAATCAAAAAAAAAATTATCTTTTCCAATAGTTGTAGCAAAGGTCCCAGAATTCTAATTGGTTCTGGTTGGCCCAATTTGATGTTTTTGATTGGTCAGGTCTGGGTCTTTTGCCCACCCCTAGCACCAGGAATAAATCAGGCCCATCTGAGCCACCTGCCTTGGGAGTAGGGGAAGGGATCCTCCTAGGGAAATAGGGGTGTTATTATTCAGAGAGATCATTAACCTGTGGACAGATAAGAACTCCAGATATCAACGACACTTCCTTACCACTCTTTTTCTAGGCATCCACAGCATATCTGAAGAAATATTCAGAAGTTAACTAATCTCAGATGATTTCAGCAGGAGTAAAGAAGAGAAACAGACTCAGAAATGCCATTACAACAGTTAATTATGTCAAATTTATCACCCTGATTGATCACGCAGCATTAACCTCAAGAACGCCAAGCCAAGTTTTTTTGACAAATGTGAGCCAAGGTTTCCGAAAAACTAGCAGATATGACTGTGACTTACAAAATGGAAAAAGTAAACGAGAAACACAATTTGATATGATTTAATAAAAGATTTGTTTCCACCACTTCTCCTGGGAACCTCAGCACATTTTCTTTCCACTGACAGTTATTATCTCTACCTTTATTGAACAAAGACACCCGGAACACAGCTGCTGAGGATCAGTAAAGAAAATCATTCTTTTATTAATAAGACTGTTATTAGCAGGAAAAAAAAATCCATGTTTGGGAGTTTGCACTGAAGTTACAGGCCATTTTGAAGAAATATGGCTGACTAGTGCCAACATTATTTCAGGCAATTTCATGATCAAATGTCTTATTAGGTTGTTTAAAATTTTTATAGAGATTGTAAATCAGAACTATTTTCTATTTGCCCTAAATATTTAGATGCTACAGGGAAAGCAGATCAAATTAAAGGGTACTGTGCACATTTTTTTACTGGGAACTCCCAGGGATATAAATCATTTCGCCTGCAGCATGGAATTCTTCAGTACACATGCTTGTGGAAACATTCCACGCTCCGCCAGCACGCTCATTAAAGTGATGATTTGGGTTGCAACAACAGTGCCAAGTACTTCCTGTGTTCAACTGGGGACCATGTGGCAAGACCCAAAGCTTCCCCAGAGATCCTATGGGAATAAGTTTTTTGAGCCACCATATTCCATTATTTCAGCCTAAAATAACACCATGGGACAAGAATCAGAAGACAGAGGAGCAGACAAATGTGTGTAGACATGCTGGAAGGAATCTTTCTTTTTAGAAACAGGGTCAATATCTATTAAACTTTAAGATGTGTATCTCTTGACCTGGCAGTTTCTGTATTTGAGTTTTAACCTACTGATATACCCATGCATGTGAATAAAGTATCTTCCTGCATGTAACAGGATATTTAATGTAACCTTGATTATAGTTGCAAATGCTGGGAAACGATCCAAATGTCTTTCAATATGGCACTGATTAAATAAATTATGGCACAGTCTCACAATGAAAAACAAATGTAGCCATTAAACAGAATGAAATGGGTCTAGCTAAATTGAAATAGGACTACCTCTAAGATATGTTGTTAAAAAGAAAAAAAAGAAAGTGCAGAGGAACAAGTATGATACCATTTTGTATTTTTTAACATATGCAAGCGTGATTGTGCCCACACAGAATACCTTTGAAAATAAACTCAGTATTTGCCTCAGTGGATAAAAACAAGAACCAGCCTTATTTTCACTGTTATATCTTTTGGTGCCACTTTTTGAACTTTTTACCATATGTGCATATGTAACTTTCTAAATAAATTTTGTAAAAAAGAGAAATATGGCTCGTTGCAATAAATCTAACAAGATAAAAGATTTGTTGAAGAAAATAATAAAACTATTCAGACATGAGCGTTCTTGAAAAATGGAGAAATACATTATTTCCTTGTATGGTAAGGAATGGTAAGTAAGCTGGGTGGTATGGTAAGCTGGATATTGTTCCCGACTCTTCATTCCCTCTCTTAACAGAATTATACATCCTTGCACCTTTGCAATCTTCCCACTGTGAGTGGAACATACATCCTGACCCACTGATATCAGTCTTGCTAATGCCAATAGTGTTAGTAAATGTGATGCAAGTCAAAGCTTTATATGTGCCTCTGTGGTCTGGTTTGGCCCCTTGCACTTCTGCCATCCACCCTGAGAAGTACAAATCTTTGGGATCCATTGGTCCCAGAATAAAAAGATACATAGTGCAGACCCAGACCAACCCACAGCCTGGAGTCAAGCCGAGCCAACAGAGCCCAGCAGAATCACAGCCTATGCACAGACCTGTGAAAGAAAAAATATTTTTTTGTTGTAAGCAAGATTTGGGGGGATGCTTGTTATGCAACCTTGTTGTAGCAATATCTGACAGATACATATGGGAAAACTACATTATTTCCTTTGGCTCTATTCCACCTCCACTAGGAAAATATTCCTGATTAACCTCATTCCACACCAGATTGTGATCTCTTCAATGACAGGAAGTGTGTGTTATTCATCCCTGTGTTCCTAGACTTCTGCACAGGGCCTAACAGAATTTCTAGAAAACAAAAAATTCTGACTACTGTGCCTAAAGTAGCCATCTCTGCCCAACAGTTAATCTCTGCCACATCACAGAGTTTATTTAGTTCAGACCATGCATAACAATCAATAATCATCTTTCTATTTTGCTATGTTTCCCTCATACACAGTGTAAACTTCCTAGAAGAAATGAATCAATGAGTGGGGGAAAAATGAATATATGACTTTCTTACTCTGATTTGCATAAGTACTCATACATTTTTGTCTACCACCCTCGCCAAACTTCTCAGGCTGCCTTTCAAAAGCTGGTCCCAAATGGTTCCCAATTTGATCACCCACTGCTCCCCTTAGGCATATGTAGTTATTCACCATTGCCCACCCATTACCCACACTTTTTCTTTCTCTGCAACATTAGTGTTATATTCCCTATGTCATGGATGCTCTTCTTTACCATCCCTGCTTGTTTAAATCCTGACCATCTGTATTCTTTTGCAATAGGTTCAGCTATGAGTAACTGCAAAACTCAAAACAATGACCTAAGCAAAAGTTTATTAATTTCTGTTGTTTAGTAAATTTAGAAGTACCAGAATAGAACTGGAAAGGTAATCAGTGGTTTTAGAGGAACAAGACACTCCCAGCTTATTGCTCTGCCAGGAGTGTCTTCCATTCCTAAACTTACTTCATGATCCAAGATGGCTGCTGGAGCTCCAGCTATTACATACCCATTCCAGGCAACATAAAGGAAAAAAAGTGGAAGAAGAGCATACCTTCTCCCTGGAAGGAAATTCCCCAGAAATTACACACACCGTTTTTGTATGTAGAAACTTAGTCACATGGATACACTCAGCTGCATAGGAAACTGTACTAGCTAGTTTTGCTAAATCACAAACCACTATTCGGCAGCTTTAAACAATAAGCATTCATTTAGCACATGATTCTGCAGGCTGGCAATGTGCGCTGGGTCTATCTGGGCAAATGTAGTGCTCTTGATTGGGCCCATCTCAGGTACCAGCAGTTAGCTGCCTGGTTGGTCGGGTGCTGACTGGTCCTTACCTGGGCTGTCTCCTCTCCATGTGGCATCCCATCCTCCCAAAGGCTAGCTGGGGCTGGTTCACATGGTGGTTGGGCAGGATTCCAAGAGATTGAGTGGAAGTGTGCAAGTTATCTTGAGATATAGGCTCGGAACTGGCACACTGTCACCTCCATCACACTGTATTAGCCAAAGCAAGTCACAAGACTGGCCTGGATTCAAGGGTGGGGAAATAGACTCTAATAGGAGAAGCTACAATGTCACATTGCAAAGGGGTGTGCCTATAGAGAGGAGAATAATTGTGGCCATTTTTGCAATCACTATTTCACAGAACTCTAGTCTTAATTCTGAGGGACAGCTTGCATTTTCTGTGACACCAACTTTTAAAGCCCAGTTCAAAATGAACTTTCTCCTCCAGGAAGCCTTCCTTGACTATTGAGCTAGAATTCTGACCACCAAATATTTTTACCCATTTGTTCTGTGGCCTTTGCATAGCTACACATGGAGAGACACTGTCCCATCAGTGATGGTTCGGGATGACAGAAGGTGAGCCCTTCGCCATCCTCAGAAGCCACCAAGAACTTAGACCCCATCTTCACCAAGATACTAACATTTCTGTTGAAACAAGTGCCCTTATGATTTAAAAGTAATAGACCCCTTGTTTCAATGGCAAGAGTATGAAATTGTTACTTTTGCTTTCAGCAAGCCCACAAGAGGCACGAAGAATCCACGTGACCCAAAAGTAAGAGGTCAAATACTGAGATCTGGAAGGAATCCCTTAGCATCCGGAGCCTGAATAGATATATACATTCTTCATCAGAGAAGATGTCGGAACTAGTCCATGTGTACATTGGCATTTTTCTTTCTCCCTTTGTAATTTTTCCTCCTCTCGGTATGACTGAAATATAAATCAGTAGCCTAGAGTCCTTCTGGTTAACAAGGTTCTCATTTGGGAGGTTGCAGCCTAGGAGGCTATTAAAAACAGAAAGAAAGGCTTCTTCTATAAACATTTCCTGCCAGCTGCTGATAACTGGGGAGGAGGGAGAGCACAGGGGTGACAGCACAAAACAGGACAATTAGGGGAAGAAATCTGCAAAAGAGGAAGAATTCTTGGTCCACGTCCCTGGCAGAAGGATCCATGAATAGAAGTCCAAAGTGCAAAAGAAAACCTCTGGGAAGAAAGGAGGAGGGGCAGGAGAGCCTTCCACTGATCCAAACAGGCCAGTGCCATCGGAAGGGAGACAGGAGGACAAAATCCCTGCCTGCAGATGCTTCCAAATGTTTAAGACAAAATACCAGGACATTAAAAGTTGGAGGAGGGGTGGTCTTGGCATCTTCCCTCAACTCCTACAAGAATAAGAGTTTGCATTTGTTGAGTGATCACTGTGTGCTGGCCCACATTAATCATTTTTTTAATTTTTTAAAAGTTGTATATATTTAGGGGATATAGGTGCAGATTTCTTAACCGCATACATTTCATTATGATGAGATCTAGGTTTCTACTGTATCCATCACCCAAACAGCGAACATTGTACCCAAGAGGTAATTTTTCAACCCTCACTCCCCTCCTACCTTCCCACCTTTTGTAGTCTCCAGTGTCTGTTATTTTACTCTGTATGTCTGTGTGTACCCATTGTTTAGCTCCCACTTATAAATGAGCACATGCGGTATTTGACTTCCTGTTTCTGAGTTATTTCACATAGGATAATGGCCTTCAGTTCTATCCATGTTGCTGCAAAAGACATGGTTTCATTTTTATATGCATTAATTATCTCAATTAAGGCCATAAGGTTGGAGCTATTATTAACCCCATCTTCACCATGAGCCTGGTGATGCTCACAATTTTCCCAAAGCCCCTTGGTTAATAAGTGGAAGAGGTAGAGTTCAAATCAGTTTCTCTGACTGCATAGGCCAGACTCCTGGACCTCTGCACCATCCTGGTCTTTGACACCATGATAGAGTAAAAGAGGAGATGTTTCAGAACCTACCATAGAATCATCTATCTTCAAGATTACCCATGGGATGAGACTGTTAATGGACACAGTGTCTCATTGAAGAGCTCCTGAACTTTGTGAAGACAGTTGAGTGTTTACAAATAAGAATGAAGCAACAACAACAATAATAAATTGAGTCATTGTGTTGTGTTAGGTACTGTGCTAACTGTCTAGATTCTCTCACTTAATGCACTGATGTAAGAATTATTGTCCCCATTTCACAGATGAGAAAATAGAAGCTCAGAGAAGGTAAGTCACATGGCCAGGATCTCACAGTCAAGGAGTAGCAGAGTTAGAACTCAAACCCAGGTGTGAGACCAAAGAGCAGGCTCTTTGTTTATTGTTCTGAGGTGCCTCCTTAAGTGGGCAACTTGGTCACTCATTGCTTCATTCACCCTTCAGATATAGACTACTACTCACTGTGTTTGGAAAATTTTTTAATTTCTAAAATTGAGGTGGGGGACTAGAAAGAAACCCATTGCATTTTTGTTTGACTGAGGGACACAAACCTTTTATTTGTAAAAAAATGTAATAACTGCAAAGCACAATAAAGCCAAGTGCAATAAAATGAGATATACCTGTAATCGGTTTTTTTATAAGCTAATTTCAGAAGTGACAGCCCATCAGGACAGCCATATTGCATTCACTACAAGTGAGTCAGTAAGTCCAGCCCATGCTAAGGGGAGGGTATTACACAAAGGCATGAATACCAGGAGACAGGGATCACTGGGGTCCCTCATAGAGGCTGCCTGCCACATTGTACCTTTCATAAGATCACAAATACCTTTCAGTCATCCTATCACCTAATCTCTTAACATGCAACCTGCTTTCTCAATGAAAATCATGGTGTAAATTGAGTTCTCCATCATTCTCAAGACTATGAAATCAAGGTAGAGCCCTGGTTTTCAAGCTTTTTGATGACAAAGATTTCTTCAAATAAAATCTTCCTCAAGGTGAATGGACATACTCATTGTTTTGTACTATAAAACAGAATACTTCTCAAGGTGAGAAAATAGAAAAACATGACTGATACACACAATAAATAGCACAGATGAATAACCAAAGCATTATTCTAAGCAAAAGAAGCCAGGAGCACATACTGTATGATTTCATTCATATGAAACTCCTAGAAAGAAAAATCTAATGTATTGGGATAGAAAGTAGTTCAGTGGGCCAGGCCTGGTGACTCATGCCTGTAATCCCAGAACTTTGGGAGGTTGAGCCGGGTGGATTGCTTGACCCCAGGAGTTCGAGACCAGCCTGGACAACATGGAGAAACCCCATCTCTTTGAAAAATACAACAAATTAGCCAGGCATGGTGGTATGTGCCTGTAGTCCCAGCTGCTCAGGAGGCTGAGGTGGGAGAATTGCTTGAGCCCAGGAGGCAGAGGCTGCAGTGAGCAAAGACCATGCCACTGCACTCTAGTCTGGGTAACTGACAGACACCTCAGGGAGGGGAAGGGGAAGAAGGAGAGGAAGGGGAAGGGGAGGTTAAGTTCAGTGGTTGCCTGGAGTTGGGGTCGAGATTAAGGATTAACTGGGAAGAGGAGCAAGGAGCCCCACCCAACTCTTACTTAATCCCCACTGTTGGAGGTGGGGCCTCCTGGGAGGTATTGGGATCATGGGGGCGGATCTCTCATGAATGGTTTAGCACTATCCCTTTGGTGCTGTTCTTGTGATAGTGAGTGAGTTTACACGACACATGATCATTTACAAGTATGTGGCACCTCCCCACCTACTGATATGCCTCCTCCCCCTTGCCTTCCACCATGATTACAAGCTTGAGGCCTCCCTAGAAGCTGATGCTGGAGCTATGCTTCCAGTACAGCCTGCAGAACCGTAAGCCAAATAAACCTCTTCTCTTATAAATTACCCAGTCTCAGCTATTTCATTACAGCAATGCAAGAACAGCCTAATACATCATCACGAAAGCTTCTTTGCCTAAGACTTGCAGAGATAGATATGTCCTATCAGGCCCTCCTCAGCCCAACCTCTAACACCCACAGAAAACCCTGAAAAGTGAGAACCCAGTGAACATCCTGAACATCCTCTGATGGCTGTGAAAAGTTAGTGCACTTCTGCTGTTATTGACACCTGATAACTCATTAAAACCAGACTAATCATCAACAAGCAGCAGGTTTCTTTCACACTCAAAGCATACCAGCTCCATTCTGAAATGATGGCTAAATTAACTGCAGAGAAGCAGCCAATAACCTCCTCCTCTCACCCTGTTCACTCTTTGGGCTAATAAGTGTCTTCTTCATCAGCTGCCTTGGATAAAAAACAAATGACTGGGTTATACATTTTCTTGTACTTGATACATAAGCCTTTCTGCAGAATATGATAACAACGTAAATAATAAAGATGGCCATTGCTTATTGAATCATTTACTGTGTGTTGTGTCTTTTGTACAGCATATAACACTATATGCTGTGGCCTCTATATATGCTAGAGTTATAACCCTCACCCTGAGCCGATTTAACTTTATCAATATGAAAATGGATACAAAGAATGTAATCTAGTCACCCAATGTCATGCAGCTAATGTGGTGTCTCAGGTCCCTCTATTCCAAGCCCCAGGTTTAGAGTGAGACTAACTGGACCTGACCGTCAGGAAAAATTAATAAACAAATAAGGACTTCCCTGCTGAGATACCCCAGGATAATTTGTACAAGTCTCCAAAGCCTAGCACACTGCTGGCACATAGTAGGTGCTCAATAAAATCTTGTGATACGAGAAAACTGGAACTCCTCATGCACTGTTTTGTCGGTTACAAAATGTGACCCCGGACAGAGCATCATGATTTGATTAGAGTAAGCGGACTTGTTTTCAACTCCACAGGTAGTCAAATGGGGAGAGTGGGCATCAGAAAATACATAGGTATATATAAGATAATCCATCTTTCAAAGGAGGCTGAATGGCAGCTCAAAGGCATAGAGAGAACCTAGGGCAAGGTTATCCAACCTGTGGCCCAAGACAGCTTTGAATGGGGCTCAACATAAATTCATCAACTTTCTTAGCTCATCAGCTGTCGTCGGTGTTAGCGTATTCTATGTGTGGCCCAAGACAATTCTTCTTCTTCCAATGTGGCCCAGGAAAGCCAAAAGACTGGACACCTCTGACCTGGGAAAAAAGTACATTTTCTCCCCAGTGTCAGAAAGGGATGTCATAACAAAATATTCTAAAATCAGAAAGGACCAAAAAAAATTGGGTAACTATCCAAAATGAAATAAATTCATGAAATTATGAAATATTAGTCATGGTTTGATTTATTCTGCAGCTATATAACATCACTCCATCAACAACACAGAAACAAAAAATTCTCTCAAAAATGAATAATGGATATGTTCAATCAATCATGGCATAACCAGGGAATGGAATGCTTTGAAGCTATTAAAAAAGTGTAATTGGCCAGGCGCAATGGCTCACGCCTATAATCCCAGCAACGTGGGAGGCTGAGGCACGTGGATCACTTGTGCCTAGGAGTTCGAGACCAGCCTGGCCAACATGGCAAAACTCTGTCTCTACTAAAAATACAAAAAGTTAGCGGGCATGGTGGTACATGCCTATGGTCTCAGCTACTCAGGAGACTGAAACGGGAAGATCACTTGAACCTGAGAGGCGGAGGTTGCAGTCAGCGAGATTGCACCACCGCACTCCAGCCTGGGCAACAGAGCAAGACCTTGTCTAAAAAAAAAAAAAGAAAAAAATTAAGTAAACAATGTAATCAACACATATTTAAGGAGTTTTAATAACTAAATGAATAAAGTCAGTAACAAAACAGAAGATGAAGTATAATACCACTTTGCATAAGTATAAACTGATAAGAAAAATAATCTGGAAGGATGCGGAATAGAGAAATGTACAGTTTTTTCTAGATGGTCAGCTTATGGGTGATTTTTTAAATTTTAATTGGCATATCTGTGTTTTGAATTTTTATATAGTAAATGTGAATTGATTGCTGAATTTAAACTAAATAAGGGCCGGGCACAGTGGCTCATGCCTGTAATCCTAGCACTTTGGGAGACCGAGGTGGATGGATCTACAAGGTCAAGAGATCAAGACCATCCTGGCCAACATGGTGAAAACCCATCTCTACTAAAAATACAAAAATTAGCCAGGCGTGGTGGCGTGCACACGTAGTCCCAGCTTCTTGGAAGGCTGAGGCAGGATAATCGCTGGAACCCAGGAGGCAGAGGTTGCAGTGAGTGGAGATCGCACCACTGCACTCCAACCTGGCGAAAGAGTGAGACTCCGTCTTAAAAAGAAAAAAAAAAAAAACTAAATAAAACCCGTTGTAATGGTGGTGTTTAAACAGAGACCTAAGGAGAAGTCAGTCAGAGCCTAAAGGGGTCCCAGGAAAGGAATAAGGAACTGGAAATTCAACCAGGCTTGGCAATTAGCAAAGGATCTGAGACAATTTAGGTGGAAATTAGAAACAGCTAAAAAATGAAGAAGGGGCTTTTTAAGACCTCACACTACTATGGTTCACAATAATGCCTCTCAAAACTCTGTCATAACTATTTTTCAATATGTCAAAGTAAATGTCATCTCTAGTTATCTAAAAACATCTTGATGCCTGATACCTACTAGAAAAAACAGCCCGAGTTTGTCCACAGTTTTCAGTTCCTGTGTCATTTCAGTTGCCTGGCGAGGAACTTTTCTTACTATATTGGCTCTCAGGTAACTCTCTAACTAGACCATTCCATCTCCCCAAAAACTGTCATGGAAAAAGAACAGTCTTGAAAGTCGAGAGAGGCAGCCCAGCTCTGCTATTCAGGCTGTGTGACCTTGGGCAAGTCTCTCCCCATGGTCTCAGTGGGTTGATCTATGGAGCCCAAGCAATAGGATTCTCTCCCCCAGGAATTTGAAACTTGGAATCCGAGATTGGAAAGTGAGACACATTAATGGTAGAACTCAAGAAAGGTAGGGGCTGGGGGCCGTGGCTCACACCTCTAATCCCAGAACTTCGGGAGGCCGAGGTAGGAGGATTGCTTGAGGCCAAGAGCTCAAGACCAGCTTGGGCAACAGAGCAAGACCCTGTCTCTACAAAAAGCAAATTAAAAATTAGCCAGGCATGGTGGCATAGTGGCATTAGCTACTTGGAAGGCTGAGGCAGCAGGATTGCTTGAGCCCAGGAGGTCAAGGATACAGAGAGCTATGATGGTGCCACTAGATTCTGGTCTGGGTGATGGAGTAAAACCGTGTCTCTAAAAAAATTTTTTTAAGAGAGGTAGATCATGAATTCCATCTGCTGCTAAGCTTCCAAAACTCTATTAGTATTTTCCTTCCTATGCAAACTCCTCTCTCATTCAGTGAGAGCACCTGTTATCCTAACAATCACGAATTTATTTTCCTTACATTAATCAGAGTCAGTTTCTATTGCATGGAACCAGGCAACACTTAGCTACTGTGGCTTAGATAGAAGGAAGTCCTTCCTGCCAGCATGAAAGGAATTGGTCAGTCAGGCAAAGGAGTCTGACCCAAAGGGAAAAGCTGCCACAAAGAGTGACTTTCATCCTTGGGCTAAGAAGCAGGGGCCCAATGGGGCAACTTGTCACATTCAATAAGGATTCTTGGTCAGCCCAACCATGCTCTCCAAGCATCCAGGCATGAATCCCCACAGGGCAAGGCAGCAGAGAGGAGCAACAGTGAGCATGATGGGTTATCTATTCTCCCAGCTCCCCACAGCCCACTGACTGCACTCAGCTGAGTGCAGGCACCAACTTCTTGCATCTGAGTTTTTGCAGCTGCTGTTGGAATCTCTCTAACACAGAGCTTCTCAACTGGGAACCATTTTGCTCCCCAAGGAGCATCTGACAATGTCTGTGGACATTTTTGGTGATCACAAATTGGGAATGGGGGCTGGAAAGGGTGGCTCATGCCTGTAATCCCAGCACTTTGGGAGGCCAAGGCAGGTGGATCACTTGAGGTCAGGAGTTTGAGACCAGCCTGGCCAACATGGCGAAATTGCATCTCTACAAAAAATACAAAAATTAGTTTGGCAGCCAAGATGGCCAAATAGGAACAGCTCTGGTCTATAGCTCCCAGCATGAGTGTTGCAGAAGATAGGTGATTTCTGCATTTCCATCTGAGGTACCGGGTTCATCTCACTAGGGAGTGCCAGACAGTGGATGCACGACAGTGGGTGCAGCACACCGTGTGTGACCCAAAGCAGGGTGAGGCATTGCCTCACACGGGAAGTGCAAGGGATCATGGAGTTCCCTTTCCTAGTCAAAGAAAGGGGTGACACATGGCACCTGGAAAATCGGGTCACTCCCACCCTAATACTGCACTTTTCCAATGGGCTTAAAAAACGGCGCACCAGGAGATTATATCCCACACATGGCTCGGAGGGTCCTACGCCCACAGAGTCTCGCTGATTGCTAGCACAGCAGTCTGAGATCAAACTGCAAGGCAGCAGTGAGGCTGGGGGAGGGGCACCCACCATTGTCCAGGCTTGCTTAGGTAAACAAAGCAGCTGGGAAGCTCCAACTGGGTGGAGCCCACCACAGCTCAAGGAGGCCTGCCTGCCTCTCTAGGCTCCACCTCTGGGGGCAGGGCACAGACAAACAAAAAGACAGCAGTAACCTCTGCAGACTTAAATGCCCCTGTCTGACAGCTTTGAAGAGAGCAGTGGTTCTCCCAGCACGCAGCTGGAGATCTGAGAATGGGCAGACTGCCTCCTCAAGTAGGTCCCTGACCCCTGACCCCCGAGCACCCTAACTGGGAGGCACCCCCCAATAGGGCCAGACTGACACCTCACACAGCCAGGTACTCCTCTGAGACAAAACTTCCAGAGGAACAATCAGACAGCAGCATTCGCAGTTCACGAAAATCCGCTGTTCTGCAGCCACCGCTGCTGATACCCAGGCAAACAGGGTCTGGAGTGGACCTCTAGCAAACTCCAACAGACCTGCAGCTGAGGGTCCTGTCTGTTAGAAGGAAAGCTAACAAACAGAAAGGACATCCACACCAAAAACCCATCTGTACATCACCATCATCAAAGACCAAAAGTAGATAAAATCACAAAGATGGGGAAAAAACAGAGCAGAAAAACTGGAAACTCTAAAAACAGAGTGCCTCTCCTCCTCCAAAGGAATGCAGTTCCTCACCAGCAACAGAACAAAGCTTGACGGAGAATGACTTTGACGAGTTGAGAGAAGAAGGCTTCAGACGATCAAACTACTCCGAGCTACAGGAGGAAATTCAAAGCAAAGGCAAAAAAGTTAAACACTTTGAAAAAAATTTAGACGAATGTATAACTAGAATCACCAATAGAGAGAAGTGCTTAAAGGAGCTGATGGAGCTGAAAGCCAAGGCTCGAGAACTACGTGAAGAATGCAGAAGCCTCAGGAGCCAATGCGATCGACTGGAAGAAAGGGTATCAGTGATGGAAGATGAAATGAATGAAATGAAGCGAGAAGGGAAGTTTAGAGAAAAAGGAATAAAAAGAAACGAACAAAGCCTCCAAGAAATATGGGACTATGTGAAAAGACCAAATCTACATCTGATTGGTGTACCTGAAAGTGACAGGGAGAATGGAACTAAGTTGGAAAACACTCTGCAGGATATTATCCAGGAGAACTTCCCCAATCTAGCAAGGCAGGCCAACATTCAGATTCAGGAAATACAGAGAATGCCACAAAGATACTCCTCGAGAAGAGCAACTCCAAGACACATAATTGTTAGATACACCAAAGTTGAAATGAAGGAAAAAATGTTAAGGGCAGCCAGAGAGAAAGGTCGAGTTACCCACAAAGGGAAGCCCATCAGACTAACAGCTGATCTCTTGGCAGAAACTCTACAAGCCAGAAGAGAGTGGGGGCCAATATTCAACATTCTTAAAGAAAAGAATTTTCAACCCAGAATTTCATATCCAGACAAACTACGCTTCATAAGTGAAGGAGAAATAAAATACTTTACAGACAAGCAAATGCTGAGAGATTTTGTCACCACCAGGCCTGCCCTAAAAGAGCTCCTGAAGCACTAAACATGGAAAGGAATAACCGGTACCAGCCACTGCAAAATCATGCCAAACTGTAAAGACCATCGAGGCTAGGAAGAAACTGCATCAACTAATGAGCAAAATAACCAGCTAACATCATAATGATAGGATCAAATTCACACATAACAATATTAACTTTAAATGTAAATGCACTAAATGCTACAAGTAAAAGACACAGACTGGCAAATTGGATAAAGAGTCAAGACCCATCAGTGTGCTGTATTCAGGAAACCATCTCACATGCAGAGACACACATAGGCTCAAAATAAAAGGACGGAGGAAGATCTAACAAGCAAACGGAAAACAAAAAAAGGCAGGGGTTGCAATCCTAGTCTCTGATAAAACAGACTTTAAACCAACAAAGATCAAAAGAGACAAAGAAGGCCATTACATAATGGTCAAGGGATCAATTCAACAAGAACAGCTAACTATCCTAAATATATATGCACCCAATACAGGAGCACCCAGATTCATAAAGCAAGTCCTGAGTGATCTACAAAGAGACTTAGACTCCCACACAATAATAATGGGAGACTTTAACACCCACTGTCAACATTAGACAGATCAACGAGACAGAAAGTCAACAAGGATACCCAGGAATTGAACTCAGCTCTGCACCAAGCGGACCTAATAGACATCTACAGAACTCTCCACCCCAAATCAACAGAATATACATTTTTTTCAGCACCACACCACACCTATTCCAAAATTGACCACATAGTTGGAAGTAAAGCTCTCCTCAGCAAATGTAAAAGAACAGAAATTATAACAAACTGTCTCTCAGACCACAGTGCAATCAAACTAGAACTGAAGATTAAGAAACTCACTCAAAATCGCTCAACTACATGGAAACTGAACAACCTGCTCCTGAATGACTACTGGGTACATAACAAAATGAAGGCAGAAATAAAGATGTTCTTTGAAACCAACGAGAACAAAGACACCACATACCAGAATCTCTGGGACACATTCAAAGCAGTGTGTAGAGGGAAATTTATAGCACTAAATGCCCACAAGAGAAAGCAGGAAAGATCCAAAATTGACACCCTAACATCACAATTAAAAGAACTAGAAAAGCAAGAGCAAACACATTCAAAAGCTAGCAGAAGACAAGAAATAACTAAAATCAGAGCAGAACTGAAGGAAATAGAGACACAAAAAACCCTTCAAAAAATTAATGAATCCAGGAGCTGGTTTTTTGAAAGGATCAACAAAATTGATAGACCACTAGCAAGACTAATAAAGAAGAAAAGAGAGAAGAATCAAATAGATGCAATAAAAAATGATAAAGGGAATATCACCACCGATCCCACAGAAATACAAACTACCATCAGAGAACACTACAAACACCTCTACACAAATAAACTAGAAAATCTAGAAGAAATGGATAAATTCCTCGACACATACACCCTCCAAAGACTAAACCAGGAAGAAGTTGAATATCTGAATAGACCAATAACAGGCTCTGAAATTGTGGCAATAATCAATACCTTACCAACCAAAAAGAGTCCAGGACCAGAGGGATTCACAGCCGAATTCTACCAGAGGTACAAGGAGGAACTGGTACCATTCCTTCTGAAACTATTCCAATCAATAGAAAAAGAGGGAATCCTCCCTAACTCATTTTATGAGGCCAGCATCATCCTGATACCAAAACCTGGCAGAGACACAACCAAAAAAGAGAATTTTAGACCAATATCCTTGATGAACATTGATGCAAAAATTCTCAATAAAATACTGGCAAACAGAATCCAGCAGCACATCAAAAAGCTTATCCACCATGATCAAGTGGGCTTCATCCCTGGGATGCAAGGCTGGTTCAATATACGCAAATCAATAAATGGAATCCAGCATATAAACAGAACCAAAGACAAAAACCACATGATTATCTCAACAGATGCAGAAAAAGCCTTTGACAAAATTCAACAACCCTTCATGCTAAAAACTCTCAATAAATTAGGTATTGATGGGACGTATCTCAAAGTAATAAGAGCTATCTATGACAAACCCACAGCCAGTATCATACTGAATGGTCAAAAACTGGAAGCATTCCCTTTGAAAACGGGCACAAGACAGGGATGCCCTCTCTCACCACTCCTATTCAACATAATGTTGGAAGTTCTGGCCAGGGCAATTAGGCAGGAGAAGGAAATAAAGGGTATTCAATTAGGAAAAGAGGAAGTCAAATTGTCTCTGTTTGCAGACGACATGATTGTGTATCTAGAAAACCCCATTGTCTCAGCCCAAAATCTCCTTAAGCTGATAAGCAACTTCAGCAAAGTCTCGGGATACAAAATCAATGTACAAAAATCACAAGCATTCTTATACACCAATAACAGACAAACAGAGAGCCAAATCATGAGTGAACTCCCATTCACAATTGCTTCAAAGAGAATAAAATACCTAGGAATCCAACTTACAAGGGACGTGAAGGACCTCTTCAAGGAGAACTACAAACCACTGCTCAATGAAATAAAAGAGGATACAAAGAAATGGAAGAACATTCCATGCTCATGGGTAGGAAGAATCAATATCGTGAAAATGGCCATACTGCCCAAGGTAATTTGTAGATTCAATGCCATACCCATCAAGCTACCAATGACTTTCTTCACAGAATTGGAAAAAACTACTTTAAAGTTCATATGGAACCAAAAAAGAGCCCGCATTGCCAAGTCAATCCTAAGCCAAAACAAAGCTGGAGGCATCATGCTACCTGACTTCAAACTATACTACAAGGCTACAGTAACCAAAACAGCATGGTACTGGGACCAAAACAGAGATATAGATCAATGGAACAGAACAGAGCCCTCAGAAATAATGCCGCATATCTACAACCATCTGATCTTTGACAAACCTGAGAAAAACAAGCAATGGGGAAAGGATTCCCTATTTAATACATGGTGCTGGGAAAACTGGCTAGCCATATGTAGAAAGCTGAAACTGGATCCCTTCCTTACACCTTATACAAAAATTAATTCAAGATGGATTAAAGACTTCAACGTTAGACCTAAAACCATAAAAACCCTAGAAGGAAACCTAGGCATTACCATTCAGGACATAGGCATGGGAAAGGACTTCATGTCTAAAACACCAAAAGCAATGGCAACAAAAGCCAAAATTGACAAATGGGATCTAATTAAACTAAAGAGCTTCTGCACAGCAAAAGAAACTACCATCAGAATGAACAGGCAACCTACAACATGGGAGAAAATTTTTGCAACCTACTCATCTGACAAAGGGCTAATATCCAGAATCTACAATGAACTCAAACAAATTTACAAGAAAAAAACAAACAACCCCATCAAAAAGTGGGCGAAGGACATGAACAGACACTTCTCAAAAGAAGACATTTATGCAGCCAAAAAACACATGAAAAAATGCTCACCATCACTGGCCATCAGAGAAATGCAAATCAAAACCACAATGAGATACCATCTCACACCAGTTAGAATGGCAATCATTGAAAAGTCAGGAAACAACAGGTGCTGGAGAGGATGTGGAGAAATAGGAACACTTTTAACTGTTGGTGGGACTGTAAACTAGTTCAACCATTGTGGAAGTCAGTGTGGCGATTCCTCAGGGATCTAGAACTAGAAATACCATTTGACCCAGCCATCCCATTACTGGGTATATACCCAAAGGACTATAAATCATGCTGTTATAAAGACACATGCACACGTATGTTTATTGCGGCACTATTCACAATAGCAAAGACTTGGAACCAACCCAAATGTCCAATAATGATAGACTGGATTAAGAAAATGTGGCACATATACACCATGGAATACTATGCAGCCATAAAAAATGATGAGTTCATGTCCTTTGTAGGGACATGGATGAAATTGGAAATCATCATTCTCAGTAAACTATCGCAAGAACAAAAAACCAAACACCACATATTCTCACTTACAGGTGGGAATTGAACAATAAGAACATATGGACACAGGAAGGGGAACATCACACTCTGGGGACTGTTGTGGGGTGGGGGGAGGGGGGAGGGATAGCATTAGGAGATATACCTAATGCTAAATGACGAGTTAATGGGTGCAGCACACCAGCATGGCACATGTATACATATGTAACTAACCTGCACATTGTGCACATGTACCCTAAAACTTAAAGTATAATAATAATAAAATAAAAAATAAAAATTAAAAAAAATACAAAAATTAGCCAGGAGTGGTGGTGGGCACCTGTAATCCCAGCTACTTGGGAGATTGAGGCAGGAGAATTGCTTGAACTCGGGAAGCAGAAGTTGCAATGGGCCGAGACCACGCCACTGCACTCCAGCCTGGGTGACAGAGGGAGACTCCATCTCAAAAAAAAAAAAAAAGAAAAGAAAAGAAAAAAAGGGGGGGTGGGGGGAATGCGGTGTTACTGGCATCCAGTAGGTAGAGACCAGGTGTAACCATTTCTTATTGTAACTGTAAAAACTTGCCATGAATTTAGTGGTTTCATTTTTATTTTTTTATTTTGAGACAGGGTCTTGCCCTGTCACCCAGGCTGTAGTGCAGTGGCACCATCATAGCTCACTGTAGCCATGACCTCCTAGGCTCAGGCCATCCTCCCATCTTAGCCTCCTGAGTTGCTACAACTACAGGGCATGCCACCATACCCAGCTAATTGTTATTTTTTGGAGAGATGGGGCCCAGGCTAGTCTCTAACTCCTAGGCTCATGCAATACTCCTGCCTCAGCCTCCCAAAGCACTGGGATCACAGGCATGAGCCACCACACCCAGCCAATTAAGTGGTTTTAAACAACTCAAATTTGTTCTTATAATTCTAGAGGTCAGAAGACAAAAATGAGTCCACAGGGCTGCATGTCTTCTGGAGGCTCTAGGGGAGAATCTATTCCCCACCTTTCCCAGCTTCTAGAGGTTGCCTGCATTCCTTGGCTCATGGCTCCTTCCTCCATCTTCAAAGCAACAGGGTAACATCTTCTCTTCCCACTCTTATTCTATCATCATGTCACATCATCTTCTAAGGACCCTTGCAATTACCTGAGTCTCACCTGAATAACTCAGAATAATCTCCTCATCTCAAGATTTTTCATTCCAATCACATCTGCGAGAGTTTTCTCTTGCTTTGTTTTCGTTTGGATTTTGCCATCTTAATGTAATGTATTCACAGATTCTAGGAGTTGAGATATGAACATCTTTGAGGAGAGGGGGCATTGTTCTGTCTACCACACCAGGTAGACATCCTGCAGCCCGCACAACAAAGGATCATCCAGCTTAAAATGTCAGGAGTACAGAGGTTGAGAAGCCTGCATGCTCTGATACTACCAGATTTCCCACAGACCCTAATTCAATGCCACTGCTTAATGTGCATGACAACTGCAGACCCCCTATTCCTTGATACCATCCATCCAAAACACTCCCTACAATGTTTTTTAAATATGTGTGAGTGTTATTGAGTCCAAGTAAGTGACAGAAATCCTGTTTCCCTAAAAAGTTTGATAACAGGAAAAAACAGTCATTTATTAGGCTTGACATGATTCTTGTGACTTCTAAGTTTGGGGCTTCAGGTGTTTGAAAGTTACTCAGAAGCCAGGCACGGTGGCTCACACCTGTAATCCCAGCACTTTGGGAGGCCAAGGTGGGCGGATCACTTGAGGTCAGGAGTTCGATACCAGCCTGACCAACATGTTGAAACCCTGTCTCTACTCAAAAAATACAAAAATCAGCTGGGAGTGGTGGTGCACGCCTGTAGTCCCAGCTACTAGGGAGGCTGAGGCAGGAGACTAGCTTGAACCTGGGAGGCGGAGCTTGCAGTGAGCCTAGACCATGCCACTGCACTCCAGCCTGGGCAACAGAGCAAGACTCTGTCTCAAAAAAAAAAAAAAATTTTTTTTACTCAGAAGGGAAAAAATGAACTCCTCAAACTTTGGGACAGAAAATGGGAAGTAAAAGCAGAGAAAAGCTATCACCAACCCGGTGCCTCATACCTGCCCATTTTCTGCTTCCACTTCCTGGGAGTAAAAGTCTTTAGGAAGGGAAGGTGAATTAGTATTGATTATACATGCACCAAAAGACAAACACCAGGCTGTATGCCTTACGTATGTGACTCTTCCAGGTTGGTGTCATCATTCCCACGTTAACATAAGTGGTAAAGTGAATGGAGACACCAAAGAGGTGTAATATAACTTCTTTAATGAAATAAACCAGGAGGCAGCAAACGTTTTCTGTAAACCATCAGTTAGTAAATATTTGAGGCTCTTTTGACCATGTGGGCTCTGTTGCAATCACTTAACTCTGCCCTTGTAGGGCCAAAGCAATCATTGATGCTATGTAAATGAACGGGTGTATGAGGCTGTTCCAATAAAACTTTATTTACAAAAATAGGCAGAGACCAGATTTGGCCCTGGAGCTATAGTTTGCTGCCCCCTGAAATACATTTTTTTAATTCCCAAAATAGCCTTCATCAGCAAATATTTCCCAAGCACCTACTATATGTCGATATACAACTGAACAGCCCAGAAACTACAAAGATGAATAAAGAAGCCAATAAAAGTCCAGGTGCAGTGGCTCACTCCTGTAATCCCAGCACTTTGGGAGACCAAGGCAGTGGATCACCTGAGGTCAGGAGTTCGAGACCAGCCTGTCCAATGCAGTGAAACCCCATCTCTACTAAAATTACAAAAATCAGCCAGGCATGGTGGCGGGTGCCTGTAATCCCAGCTACTCAGGAGGCTGAGGCAGGAGAATCGCTTGAACCCAGGAGACAGAAGTCGCAGTGAGCCTAGATCACACCGCTGCACTCCAGCCGGGGTGACAGAGCAAGACTCCATCTCAATTAAAAAAAAAAAAAAGCCAATTAAAAATAAAACAGTTCAAATGCCACCACCCAGAAATAACCACTATAAACATTTGGTATTTATCATGAATGATTTTTTTAAACTCTATGAACATATATTTTCAAGACAAAAATAAGATGATTGCATACATAATTTTTATGACCTAATTTCAAAATAAATCCAAGACTGCTTTCTCTGTCACCAACTGTAAATGTAGATTTAACATTTAATATTTCATGACTATGCAACGATTTGCATGTAGCAGGATTTGCTGAGTGACCTCCCTATTGATAGACAGTGAGACTGTCTCCTTTTTATCACCAATAGCATTTACCCAGTTTCCTCCTCCGCCCCCTTCTCCTCCCACTCCCAACCTCCCGCCCTCTTTCTGGCATACCTTACATTGCTCGTGGGAATATAAGTCAGCACAATCTTCCTAAAAACAGTTTAACAATGTGACCCAGAAATTCTAGGTCTAAGACAAGAGGGCAAAGATAGAGATGTAAAGATGTTCTTGGTAGCATTGCTTAGAATGGTGGAAGAGGGAGGATAGTCTCACTGTCCATCCACAAGGAGTCATTTCACAAACCCTGCTACATGTAAATCATTGCCATAGTTAAATGTTAAATCTACATTTACAGTTAGTAACAGAGAAAGAAGTCTTGGATATATTTTGAAATCAGGTCAGAAAAATTATGTGTACAATAATCTTATTTTTATCTTAAAAATATGTGCTTATGGAGTTTTTTATTAAAAAAATTCATGATAATACCAAGTGTTTATGGTGGTTACTTCTGGGTAGTGGAATTTGAACTTTTACTGGCTTCTTAGTCTTTGTAGCTTCTGTGCTGTTCAGTTCTACACTGACACATAGGAGGTGCTGGGGAAATATTTGCCGATAAGGTGAACACAACACTCCAGCATCAGGGGTTTCATGTGGCTATAAGGAAGGTATTTCTACCATGATGCTTGGCAAACACAGGAAAGGATCATTAAAGTCGCATCTGGAATCCCCTTTTCTGAAGGTGTTTTTTTAAAGAATAGAATTATCTTATGATCTTGAAATGACAAAGGTTTTTCTTAGTATGTCACAAACCCGGGAGACCCCCCCGCAAAAAAAAATTTGATTACATAGAAGTTTTTTAAAAAACAGAGCTGCGGAACCAAAACCACCCTAAGCAAAGTCAAAATACAAAAGAAAACCCAGGAAATAATGTTTGTGAAGCAAGGCGTGGAAAATGGCTAATTCCCCTAATGTATAAAATCAATAAGCAAAAGAGCAGATTCATAGAAAAATGGACAAAAGATAAGAACAGTTTGTAAGAAAAGAAACACAAGTGATTCTTGGGCAAATGAAAACATGCTCTGTGTTATTCAGAGTAAGATAAATGCAAATTAAAACTATGCTGAGATATCAATTTTCACCTATCAGATTGGCAAAATTAAAAAGAACTCAATAATACATGGTGCTTGATGCCACTATGGGAACTCAAACATTCCTTGAGGGATGGGTGTAAATTTTTTACAACCTCTATGGAGAAAAGTGTGTCATTTGACCCAACTATTACACTTTTAGAAATTTATCCCACAGACATTTGCACAGGAGCAAATTGCACCGGTATCAGATTATCGATTATAGTTTTTTTAAATAATAGCAGAAGAGTAGAAATAACCCAAACATCCATCAGTAGGAGGTTGCTTAAACAAATTATAGGGTACTACATGGTGTACTCTGCCACTCAGAAAAGAAAATAAGAAAGTTAACTGTGTACTCATAAGGAAGGATCTCCAAGATATGTATTTAAGAGAAAGGTGAAAAAAGCAAATAACGGAGAAGCATTTTTCATATTAAAAAATAAAAGGAGATGATATGTGAATATCATATATATACTATATATAGTGTGGATATGTATATACATAAACTATACACACTATATATACACATATACATATACACACTATATATAGTATATATGTGTGTATATATACACATATACATATACACACTATATGTAGTATATATATACACATATACATATACACACTATATGTAGTATATATATACACATATACACACTATATATAGTATATATACATATACACACTATATATAGTGTATATATGTATATACACCATACACACATACATTTTGCTTATGTATGCACAGGATATTTCTAGAAGAATACCAAAGAAATTGGTTCATTTGTTGCTTCAGGGATAGAGGTAGGGGGAAGGTGGTAAATGGAAAAAGGGAGACATTTCACTGTTTATCCTTTTGTATTTTTTGGAATTTGGACCATGCAAAAGTATTACCTATTCAAAACATTAATGGGTCAGGCATGGTGGCTCACACTTGTAATCCCAGCACTTTGGGAGGCTGAGGCAGGCAGATCACTTGAGGCCAGGAGTTTGAGAAACCCTATCTCTATTAAGAATACAAAATTATTGGGGCATGGTGGTGCATACCTGTAATCCCAGCTACTCAGGAGGCTGAAGTACGAGAATTGCTTGAACCTGGGAGGCAGAGGTTGCAGTGAGCTGAGACTGTGCCACTGCATTCCAGCCTGGGCAACAGACTGAGACTCTGTCTCGAAGAGGGAAAACAACAAAAAAAAAACCATTAACAGAGGATCCTTCCTACTTCAGAGCTTCCTATACACTGTTTCCACTGCTGGAGGTGTTCTGATGTTGACTGACTTACACACACACACACACTCCTCCTGGAAGTATTTTATCTTTCAGATCTCTGTTCAAATGTTACTTCCTCCAGGAAGTCTTACCTATCACCTCCACCTCCTCCGCAGAAAGGGAGCTGTTATACCCATTCATGGTACCTTGTGAGATTTATCACAATGGGTATCAATTAATAATTAACATCTGTCTTCCTTGCTGGAGGTACCAGAGGGACTAGTCTGCCAATGAACCCCAGGCACCAAGTCCAGCATATGCCACATAAGACACGCATCTCAGAGACTTTCTTCTGTTGGAAGGGAGGGAAGAAAATAGGAAGAAATAACCACAGTTACACTCCTAGCATGAGCCAGACAGTGGTCTATGCGCTTTATGCAGATTAGCACATTAAATTCTCACAAGAGAGTTGTGATTCTTGCACAGATGAAAAAAACAGGCTCAGAGAGACCAAGCAACCTGCCCAAGATCCCCAGGCAGAGGCATGATTCAAACCAGGCAGGCTGGTTCCAGAGCCTATGCTCTTGGCTCCTAGAAGGGAAAACAGAAGAAAGGGAAGAAGAGGAGAGAGGGAAGAAGAGAGGAGGTTGCTCACAATATCAGGAGGATGCATTTTTCTGCTGTCTCCAGTTCAGTATCTCACAAGACCAGCAAGCCTTCCAGTCTGGGAAGTTATAAGAACATCATTGTATTACTCCATTTTCATACTGCTGTAAAGAACTGCCTGAGACCGTGTAATTTATAAAGGAAAGAGGTTTAACTGACTTACAGTTCAGCATGGCTGGGGAGGCCTCAGGAAACTTACAATTGTGGCAGAAAGTGAAGAGGAAAACAATGCATCTTCTTCACAAGGCAGCAGGAAGGAGAAATGCCAAGCAAAGAGGGAAGCGTTCCTTATAAAACCATCAGATCTCGTGAGAACGCACTGTCATGAAAACAGCGTGGGGGAAACTGCCCCCATGATTTAATTATCTCCACCTGGTCTCTCCCTTGACATGTGGGGATTATAGGGAATGTAATTCAAGATGAGATTTGGGTGGGGACACAAAGCCTAATCATATCAACCATTAATGGGGATTCTGTAATGTATATGAAACACTTGCAGACTGACACTACTGGACCTCAACAAAGAGACAGCAGACTTGAAGTATGACAGCTGTCTTATCTAGAGGAGCAGGTAACATGCATTGTAGATAAATACACTATCTGATGTGGGTTAATAGGCTTCATTGAATTAATGATGACAGAATAATTACAGCGACAAGCAACAGCAGCAGGGACTCTAATTGAGGATAATTCAAGCACACGGCAAGATCGGAAGTTTTGACTTTAGGACTATGGAAACTTCCCTGAGATTGGAGATTTATTATTTCTATTATTTTAAATCAACAATATCCACCACTGGCAAGGTGCAGTGTCTCACACCTATAATCCCAGCACGTTGGGAGGCTGAGGTGGGCAGATCACTTGAAGTCAGGAGTTCAAGACGAGCCTAGTCTGTTTAGTAAAGATGGTTAAACCTTGTCTCTACTAAAAATACAAAAATTAGCTGGGTGTGGTGGCATCTGCTTGTAATCCCAGCTACTCGGGAGGCTGAGTCAGGAGAATCACTTGAACCTGGGAGGCGGAGTTTGCAGTGGGCTGAGATCATGCCACTGCACTCCAGCCTGGGTGACTGAGCAAGACTCCATCTCAAAAAACAAAAACAAAACAGTATCCATATCTACCATAGCATGTCTGAGCTCTCTGCAAGTCAATGGGAAGTTATCCACAGGACAGGATTTCCTTACTTTTATTTGTTAATAAGAGAAATGGAAGGGAATGGGAAATCAGAAAAGCAGAGGCATACCAATTTTTGCCATTTCTCCTCACATAGAATTTGTTCCTCATCTTAAAGGCTTGGACAGGATGCTGAAAAGTATAAGAGAATGGGGATTACATTCAGGTAATCACAACAGCAATAATAATAGTTATCATTTATTGAACCTTTACCTCCAAACAGCATCTAAAGTAAGCACTATTTATACCTTAGCCCACTGAATTCCCAAACTAATTTTGTAGAGTGGGAACAAATGTGTTTGCCCATTTTATGGGTAAGACAACTGAGGCTCTGAGAAGTAAAGTGATTTGCCTAAGCTAGGAAAATGCAGAAGTTAAGAAATGAAAGCATTAGAATAATACCCAAGAAGGGGTCATTTCTGAAGGAGGAGATGGATTCATGAACAAACAAGCAGGCAGGCCAATATGTAATTTGTTGATAAGCATGAATATATTTAATTAAATAAGGATCTACTGGATACCTGTCACAAGCCCAGTGCAAGGTCCTTGTGGCAGATGGTTTTTTTCCAAAGGTGGCCATAGTGATATCTCCCATACCACATGCTGTCATAATGTGACCTTTTATTTCTCTTGTTGAGTGATGAAGTCCATGATCCCTCCCCTTTTAACCTTAGAAACTGCCTCAATCATTAAGATTACAGCAGAAAATATGCTATTTGATTTCCAGGGCTAGAACATAAAAAGCATATGCACTTCCTCCTTGTTTTCTTGAGCTACTCGCTGTTGGACCCCAGCTACTATGTTGTGAGGAAGTCCAGTTAGCCCACCTGAAGAGACCACCTAGGGAGGCCACATGCAGACGTTTTGGCTAACTGGCTAGCTGAGGTCTCAGCTAACAGTGAGTATGAAATACAGGCATGTGACAGAAGATTCCTCTAGATGCCTTTAGTCCCCAGCCATCAAGTCACCCTCAACTTTTGAGTTTTCCCAGCTGGGTCCCCAGACATCATGAGGCAGAGCAAGCCACTCTCTCTGGTCTGATTCTTGACCTACAGGATCTGTGAGTGTAATAAAATTGTGGCTTATAGCACTAAAAATTGGTGTGATTTGTTACCCAGTAATAGCAACTGGAAGAGCCCTCATATATTTTTAATACAAAAAAAAAGTGTGTGAAACAGGACCTGCCCTTCTGTTTAATTTGGAAAACAAGACTTCTATAACAATGTTATTTACAAAATGTATCTTATAATAGCCAAAAGGTGGAAATAATCCAAATGTCTGTAAACAGATAAATAAACAAAATGGGGTCTATCCATACAATGGAAAGTTATTTAGCCATAAAAAGAAATGAAGTACTGATATATTCTACGACAGAAATGTAGAAATTAGAAATTAGAAAACACTGTGTTTCGTGAAAGAACCAAGACACAAAAGGCCACATATTGTATGACTCCATGTGTATCAAATACTCAGAATGGGCAAATCCACAGAGACAGAAAGTAAATTAGTGGTTGCCAGAGGCTGGGGGACAGGAGTGAAAGAGTGGCTGCTTAATGGTAGAGGTCTGGGGTTGGAGGGTGATGAAAACATCCTAGAATTAGACAGTGGTGATAGTTGAAAAATCTTGAGAATACACTAAGACCACTAAATTATACACTTTTAAATGGTGAGTTTTATAAGACATGAATTATATCCCAATGTAAAAAAAAGCAATGTGCCATATTAGGACCTTCTGTGAGGGTGGAAACTCATCAGCTTTGGGGTCAAGTAGATCTGGGTTGTTGTCCAGGGACTACCAGTGCCTAATTGTATGGACTTGAGCAAGTTTCTCAGTACCCAAGGGCTCAGATTATCCATCTGTGAAATGGGAATAATAAGACTCACTTTGCAAGGCTGCTGTCAGGATTAATGATTGTCTTTATCAAAGATGGTAACAGAAACTCACTCGAGCAGCATAAGCCAAAATAAGCATTTTATGAAAGGAATCAGGGACATTTTACAGAAGCCCAGGTCACTAAGAACAATTTGGCCACATAAGAAACTTGAACCAGGAATTTAAAATATATCAAAAGCCAAGGTTGATATTCTTTCTGGCGTATATGTAGTGAACAGAGAAATTTCTTTCAAATTATTCATTCGTGGAAAATCAAGATTTGGCATTGCATTTTAAAGTTAATCCATTAGAGTCACTTAGTTATTTGCAAAATAACATTTTGGTAAAGGAGAATTTATTTGAATATCAAATAAGAAAAGGTTCAATACCCTACCTGGTAGAGCTGGAAAACAGTTAATGATCACAGGCTTGGAACACAAAATCAACCTCCTGTAACAAATTTAGTTTATGACTTTAAAAGGAAAAATGGACTTTTCTACAATAAACATTCAAACAAACATGGTTCAAACAAACATGGTTTCCAATAATAAATGTTTTTAAATCTCAAGGTCATAATAAATCAGTCCTGGGACTCTTAAAGCAAACTTTTTTATAGTATAGGAAAGTGCTTTCCTATTTTATAATCAAAATTAGAAGGAAACTAGACTCTATGTTGACAAGAGACAAACTTACACATAGACTTTAAGTTAATTCTTTAGGGTAGTTGCCTTAATAGCCATTGACCTTCTTTATTAGTCTGAAGGAGTGATTCTCAGCTCTAGCTACACATTGAAATCACTGAGTACCTTTTTAAAAATACCAATGTCACCGGCCGGGCCCAGTGGCTCACATCTGCAATCCCAGCACTTTGGGAGGCCAAGGCGGGTGGATCACTTGAGCCCAGGAATTCAAGACCAACCTGGGCAACATAGTGAGACTCTGTCTCTCCAAAAAATTCAAAAAATTAGCCAGGCATGGTGGCACATGCTTGTAGTCCCAGCTACTTGGGAGGCTGAGGACAGGTGGTTGTAAGCTTCTATTTCTCATGTTGAGTGATGAAGTCTATGATCCCTTCCACTTGAACCTTAGCAACTGCCTCAATCATTAAGATTAAGATTACAGCAGAAAAGATGCTATTTGACTTCCAGGGCTAGAGCATAAAAAATCATAGGCATGTCCTCCTTGCTTTCTGGAGCCACTCACTCTTGCACACCAGCCACCATGTAGTGAGGAAGTCCAACTAGCCCATGTGAAGAGAACACCTGGGGAGGCCACATGCATACATTTTGGCTAACTGGCTGGCTGAGGTCCCAGCTAACGGTGAGTATTAGAAGGATCGCATGAGCCTGGGAGGTCGAGGCTGCAGCGAGCCGTGTTCGTGCCACTGCACTCCAGCCTGGGCAACAGAGTGACCCTGTCTCAAAACATAAAATTAAATTAAAAACAAATAAAATACTAATGTCCTGATCCCACTCAAAAAGTCTGATTTAATCCGTATGAAGTAGGGCCTGGCACGTTTGACGAACAAGCAAGGAGGCAGGAATGGCTGCAGCGGAGTAAGCAATGGCGAGAGGGACGGGAGATGAGGCCATTGAGGCTAGGGCAGGTGTGTCCTGGCATGCCAACGTGAGGGCTTGGGATTTTCATCTAAAGAAATGGGGAGCCATCACGGGGACCACTTGGCTAAAGTAGCAAAAAACCAACTCAAATCAGTCCAAGAAAAGTGGGAAGTTATTGGCTTTTCTAAGTCTAGATAGAGCTGATTTAAAGCTCAACATTATATTATGTCTCTCTCTTTCTCTCCCCCACTTCAATGTCCCTCTCCCTCTCCCTCTCAATGACTTTCCATCTTTTGGCTCGTTCTCCCTATAGACGAGATTTCTCCTCATGGTATAGGAGACAGCCCCTGGCAGTCCCTGACTCACTTCTTTCAGCCCCATTATTCAAAAGCCAAGACCCTGTCTCTCACAGCTCTGTATTAAAGAACAAAAAACATTCTGAATAGGTGATTGGCTTAGCTAAGGTCACGTGCCCATAGCTGGACCAATCCACATGGCCAGGATATTGGGGAACTCTGATTGGCCTGGTCACTTGCCCAGTCCTTCTACGGGAGTGAGGGAGAAGGCAGGATGCTGGGACTGGAAATTATCAGGACTGATGTGGGTAAAAGAAAGTGAGGCCGGGTGCAGTGGCTTACGTCTGTAATCCCAGCATTTTGGAAGGCTGAGGTGGGTGGATTATCTGAGGTCAGGGGTTCGAGACCAGCCTGACCAACATGGTGAAACCCCATCTCTGCTAAAAATACAAAATTAGCTGGGTGTGGTAGCACACACCTGTAGTCCCAGCTACTTGGGAGGCTAAGGCAGGATAATCGCTTGAACCCGGGAGGTGGAGGTTTCAGTAAGCCGAGATTGCGCCACTGCACTCCAGCCTGGGCAACAAGAGTGAAACTCCGTCTCAAAAGAAAAGAAAAGAAGAGAGAGAGGGAGAGAGAGAGAGAGAGAGAGAAAGAAAGAGAGAAAGAAAGAGAAAGCGAGAAAGAAAGAGAGAGAGAGAGAGAAAGAAAGAAAGAAAGAAAGAAAGAAAGAAAGAAGGAAAGAAAGAAAGAAAGAGAAAGAAAAAGAATAGAAAAGAGAGAGGAGATGCTCAACAGTCAAAACAATCCAGGTTTACGGCATGGTGGTGTAAAATTCTACTCTTGCTTTGCCCATTTGATTCACCCATGTGTGTGATGGGCCGTAGAGGAATAGTAACATTTTTTTTCTTTATTCTTATCCCTCTACTAACTCGGGCAGACCAGATAGAACACTTAGAGCTCCATAGAACCTTCTCTTCCTCTCTCTTCTCTCTTCTTTTCTCCTTTCTTCACTCCTTCTCTCTCTCACCCCAGTTTATTCTCCTGTCTTTGAATATTGCCTTTCTGAGCTAAAAGAAGAACTACCATCAACCCAGCAATCCCATTACTGGGTGTATACCCAGACGAATATAAAGCATTTTACCATAAAGACACATACACGTGAATGGTCACTGCAGCACTGTTCACGATAGCAAAGACATGGAATCAACCTAAATGCCTGTCAATGACAGACTGGATAAAGAAAATGTGGTACATATACACCATGGAATATTATGCAGCCATAAAAAAGAACAAGATCATGGCTTTTGTGGGAACATGGATGGAGCTGGAGCCTATCATCCTCAGCAAACTAACGCAGGAACAGAAAACCAAACACCACATGTTCTTACATATAAGTGGGAGCTAAATGATAAGAGCTTACGAACAGAAAGAAGGAAATAACAGACACTGGAGTCTACTTGAGTGGGGAGGGTGGGAGGAGGAAGAGGAGCAGAAAAGATAACTATTGGGGACTGAGCTTAATACCTGGGTGATGTAATGATATGTACAACAAACCTCTGTGACAAATCTTTATGTAACAAACTTTCACATGTATCCTCAAACCTAAAATAAAAAAAAAATTTAATAATAAAAAATTAAGAATTAAAAAAGATCACCTTTCTCTACTTTTCTGCTTTTCTTTCCAACAAACATTCAAACAAATATGGTTTCCTATAACATTTTTTTAACCTCAAGGTTCTAAGTCAACAGAGCAGAAAGTGGTCACTCAAGGACGCTTGACATCACTTCCCAGTCTACATATCCAACCCTGAATGACAAATATTGGTGTCCAATTTCAAAATTCCAGGAGAAATAATACAATTGTCCTGGCTTGGTTCAGGGAACCAAGGTCCCAAGGTCTTACGGTCCACCGTTTTTTTCATCACAGGTACAAAGGCAAACTCTGATAAACTAAGCAGAGAAACATATAGTTCTATTGAATCATTGGTAGTCAATAGCATACCAACTGCTGGCCAGATACCAGGCTAAAAGTTTTTTCATGCTTTTTTTTTTTTTTTTTTTTTTTTGAGACAGAGTCTTGCTCTGTCGCTCAGGCTAGAGTGCAGTGGCGCGATCTCGGCTCACTGCAATCTCCGCCTCCCAGGTTCAAGCGATTCTCCTGCCTCAGCCTCCTGAGTAGCTGGGATTACAGGCATGCACCACCACACCTGGCTAATTTTTTTATTTTTAGTAGAGATGGGGTTTAACCATGTTGGTCAGGCTGGTCTCAAACTCCTGACCTCAGATAATCCACCCACCTCGGCCTCCCAAAGTGCTGGGATTACAGGTGTGAGCCACCGCACCCGGCCTCATGCATTATTTCATTGGTGCATCATAATTGCCCTATAAGTTAGGCACTATTATTACCCCCATTTTACAGATGAGGGAGTCGAGGCTAGGGTGGTCAAGTGAACTTGCTCAAGGTCACACAACTAAAATGATTTTCTGAATAAAGAGCACTTGTTCTTTTTTTTAAGAGACAGGGTCTCGCTATGTTGCCCAGGCTGGTCTCGAACTCTCGGACTCAAGCAATACTCCTGCCTCGGCTTCCCAAAGTGCTGGGTTTACTGGCGTGAGCCACCACGCCTGACCTCAAGATCATTTGTTCTTAACCACCATACTCTACTGCCACTTACCACACCATGGTGCTGTGATTATCCCCGCAAAAGATAGGAGGCTAATGTAATAAATGCTCTCAATTGTGTGAACACACTGGACTACCTTACTTTACATGAGAAAAGTACTGGAAGGAGCAAATCCAAAGCTAGTGATAAAGAGGAAAGCAGCCCCTGACAGCAGGGAACTGGCCTGGTACTGACAGGTCAATCTCGGTGTTTTCCTAAACATAAACAATTTCACAGAGCATCAATGTTAGACAAAGCCACTCTGTAGTCATGATGAATCAGGACAGAAAGAAGACTCCGTAATCACACGTGAACACAGACAAAACAGGAACATTGTTCAAGCCACAAAATGCCAAACATGACCTTCTCCTGGTGAATGCGAGTAACTAGTGTTCTTCACCAATCATAGTTTTAGCCTCGCTCTAGTCTGCTTTCCCTCCCTTCCTTATAGATAAAATTTATTGAGAGAGTCAATGGTAACATTGCCTCTTTCAGGCTGCACCCATGCCAGTGCACATCCCAGCTTGCTTGGACTCTCCCCAAAATCACACAACCAAAGTCCAATTCCATAATGAGTCCTTTCCAACACCTTCCATGGTTCCCCATGTGTGTGTCCTCTCTTGCTGCAATGAACATGAAACACAACTTGTTCAATATGGGTGTGTTCCTGGAGGTCTTTGGCTGGAGGGCATCAATACTGTTCACTTGTCAGGGGCCTGTTCTGACAGACTCAAGACTGCTCTCTCTCCCTTGACCAAAGAGCTTGAAAACCAGTCCTTGGTCCTAGAAGGCAGCGCAATGCAAACAGAATTCCAGTAACCAGAGACATCCACTAAACCTCCCCTCCACACATACACACATAAGGAAAGTAGAGAGGGCCATTTCTGCATCTTGCTCTACAGCAGAGTGACCCCAACACCATAGAATGGATGGAACCCAGTGAGATGCACCCAAGGTGCCACACCGCGTTCCTGCTTGAAGTTGCTCCAATTCTTTCCCAACCCCAAAGTTCTTCTCTGTCACTCTGAGCTATACAATTGTAGGCCCATAACAGTTGGACAGCTGAGAAAAAAACTCAAGGCTCAATTTCATGCTTCCTGTAAGACTGTGGTGAAGTTCAAGTTTTCCATAAATGTAACAAACCTTCACAGATTGAAAAGGAAATGGTTTCCCTTATCCTCTTGTCCTCAATCTAGTTGCATGGGACTGACTCAGCATCTCACGGGGGTGAAAATCAAGGATCAGTGTTTCTTAAAGCACCCCCGAGTGACTCTCCTGTGCAGCCAGGGTTGAGAATCACTACTCTAGTCATTCAACTGATCGTTGCTGGGCACGCACTGGGTTCCATGAACTGTGTTGTATGCTGGAGACGCTCTGGCAAATAACACAGATGCAATTCCTGTCCTTGAGACTCTACACTCTAGGGGGAGAGAAAAGCAACAAATAAACAAAGAAACGTCTAATTATACATTGTGGTAAGTGCAATAAAGAAAATTTACAGTGTGTTAGGGTAGAGAACAACAGGCAGAACTCTTTAGGTAAGAAAGGAATTAAAAGCTTCACTAAAGGGGTGAAATGAGGCTGAGAGTGGAGGAATAAGAGGGAATGAGCATTGAGGAAGGGAAGTAAGACTGTTCTAGAGGCTGGTTGTGGTGGCTCATGCCTGTAATCCCAGCACTTTGGGAAGCCAAGGTAGGAGGATCTCCTGAGCCCAGGAATTTGAGACCAGCCCGAGCAACATAGCAAGACCCTGTCTCTACAAAAAAAGTTAGCTGGGAGGCCGAGGCAGGTGGATCACGAGGTCAGGAGATGGATACCATCCTGGCTAATATGGTGAAACCCATCTCTACTAAAAATACAAAAAATTAGCCAGGCGTAGTGGCACATGCCTGTAGTCCCAGCTACTCAGGAGGCTGACGCAGGAGAATAGCTTGAACCCAGGAGGCAGAGGTTACAGTGAGCAGAGATCACGCCACTGCACTCCAGCCTGGGCAACAAAGCAAGACTCCGTCTCAAAAAAAAAAAAAAAAAATTAGCTGGGAGTGGTGGCACATGCCTGTAGTCCTAGCTCGTCAGGAGGCTGAGGTAGGAGAATCACTTGAGCCCAGGGAGGTTGAGGCTGCAGTGAGCTATGATCACGTCACTGCACTCCAGCGTGAGTGACAGAGTAAGACTCTGTCTCAAAACAAGAAGAAAAAAATGTTCTAGGCAGAAAAAAAACACACATGCAAAGGCCCTAAGATGGAAGAGTATTTGCAAAGAAGTGAAAGGAGGCTGCCATGGCTTAGGTGAGCCAGGAGCAAGTGGCAGGCATCTGCTTCCTCGAGCTGCCACACAAAGTGCCGCTGGCAGGGTGGCTTAAAGTGACTGAAATGTATTTTCTTGCAGTTCAAAGGCTAGAAGTTGAAGATCAAGGTGTCAGCAGGGTTGGTTCCTTCTGAGGGCTGTGAGACAAGGATCTGTTCTGGGCTGCTCTCTTTGGTTTGTAGAATGCTGACTTTTCCCTATGTCTTCACGTGGTCTGCCTTCTGCTTGTGTCGGTGTATGCCTTTCTTATAAGGATGCCAGTCATATCGGATTAAGGCCCAGTCAAATGAAATCATTTTAACATAAGTACCTCCACAGAGGCCCTAACTCTAAAGAAGGTAGGATTTGGAAGGAAACAATGAGGGTTAGGACTTAGAATTTGGAGGGGGTTAGGGTGAGGGATACATAATTCAGCCCACAGCATCATAGTAGGGGGATTTGGAACTTATTTAAAGTGGAATAGGATTGGAGGGTTTTAAATGAGATGGCATGTCTGATTTAAATGAATGCTCTGGGCCAGGTGCAGTGGCTCATGCCTGTAACCCCAGCACTTTGGGAGGCCAAGGTGGGTGGATCACTTGAGGCCAGGAGTTCGAGACCAGCCTAACCAACATGGTGAAACCCTGTCTCCACTAAATATACAAAAATTAGCTGGGTGTGGTGGCACACACCTGTAATCCCAGCTACTAAGGAGGCTGGGGCATGAGAATAGTTTGAACCTGGGAGGCGGAGGTTGCAGTGGGCTGAGATCACACCACTGCACTCCAGCCTGGGTGACAGAGCAAATGCTCTGGCTATTGTGTTGGTAGCAGATTGGAGGAAAACAAGAGTGGGAGGGTGAGACCTCTGAGCGAGTTACTTATGTTCAGATAGCAGTCCTGTCCTTTACTTGTTATGTGACCCTGGGCACATTACTTGACCTTTCTGAGACTCGGTCTCCCCGTCTGTAAAATTGGAATAATTATAATACCTCACACACACATTTGTTGAGAGAATTAATGAATCATCCGTGTTTAGTATATACTAACTGCAAATGCTAGATAAATGTTAAATATTATTATATTTTAGCCATCTTAGGAAGAGACAGCAGTGCCCGTGATAGGCAGCCTCTAAGTGGCTTCCAACCCTCTCATTCTCGTATTTATGCCCTTGTGGAACCTCCTCCCTAGAGTGTGGGCTGAACCTGATGACTTGCTTCTAAGGAATAGAACTGGCAAAAGTGGTGAGATGTCACTTCCAAGATCAGGTTATCATATTAGGCAGCTCAGGCTGCCAAAACAAAATATCACAGACTGGGAGATTAAACAACAGGCACTTATTTTCTCACAGTTCTGGAGGGTAGAAGTCCAAGATCAAGGTAGGACAGCAGGGTTGGTTTCTGGTGAGGGCTCTCTTCCTGCCTTGCAGACGGCCACCTTCTCACTGTGTTCTCACATGGTCTTTCCTATCATGTTTCTTCCTCTTCTTGTAAGGACACAGGTCCTATCAGATTAGGGCCCCACCCTTATAACCTGGCTTATTTTAAGTATCTCTGAAAGGGCCCTGTCTCCAAATACAGGCACATTGGGAGTGAGAACTTCAACATGTGGATTTGGGAGATTGGGAGAGGGCTGCAATTCTGTCCATAACCGTTAAAAAAAAAAAAAAAAAAAAAAAAAACCTGTGAGTTCTGTCTTCTTTCTCTATGTAGATATAGACATATAGATAGATAAAGGCAGAGATAGAGATATTTTCTCACAAGCTTGCTTTGATGGAACAAGCTTCCCTGTTGTCAGGGAGAACCATCTAGCAGGAAACAGGGCAGCTTCTGGCCAGCAGCCAGCAATGAAAGGAGGCCCTCAGCCCAACAACTCTCAAGGAACTGAATTCTGCCAATGACCACATGAGCCTGGAAGCAGAGCCTCTCCAAGTTGAATCTTGAGATAACTGCAGCCTTGTGGGCACCGTGATTGCAGCCTGTGAGAGCCTCTGAGTAGAGGTCCCAGTTAAGCTGTACCTGGATGCCTGACCCCTAGAAACTGCGTGTTGTTTTAAGCTACTAAGTTTTTGGGTGCTTTGTTATGCCATAATCAAAAACAAATACATTAGCTAGACATGGTGGCATGCACCTGTAGTCCCAGCTATTTGGGAAGCTGAGGAAGGAGAATCACTTGAGTCCAGGAGTTCAGGGTAAGCCTGGACAGCAAAGTGAGACCCCATCTCTATTGAAAAGAAAGAGAGAGGAAAGGTAGGCAGGGAGGCACAAAGGGAGGGGAGGGGAGGGGAGGGAAGGGAAGGGAAGGGAAGGGAAGGGAAGGGAAGGGAAGGGAAGGGGAGAAAAAATTTTAAAAAGTGAGTAATTCGCCCAAATTCACACAGTAAATGGCAGAGCCAAGAAAAATAAAATAAAAAAATGATAACAGGTCAGGCATGTTGGCTCTCGCCTGTAGCTCCAGTACTTCGGGAGGCCAAGGAAGGAGGATCTCTTGTGCCCAAAAGTTCGAGACCAACCTGGGCAACATAGGGAGATCTCCATGTCTACAAAAAATTTTAAAAATTAGCAAGGCATGGTGGCATGCACCTGTAGTCCCGGCTACTTGGGAGGCTGAAGTGGGAGGATCGCTTGAGCCTGGGAGGTCAAGGTTGCAATGAGCTATGATTATGCCACTTGCACTCCAGCCTGGGCAACAGAGCGGGACACTGTCTCAAATGAAGAAAAAAAAAGAAAAAAAATGATGATAATAATATTAAGGAAAGACAAAAACAAAGAATCCTACCAAGTCTCTTGGATTCCAGAACCAATGTTAAAAAAATCATGAAACCAAAGTAAACTACTGCTATCCTGAAACAATGATAAATAATCCACAGATCATAAAACCAGGGACTCTGGAGCATGTACATTAATATAATTGTATGTCCCTTAGACTGAAGTTCTATCAAAGCTTAATGACCAAACAAATTAGCTATTGGCATTATTTTGCCTCCACTAAAACCTAAGCAGTAGCAGAAGTACAGATCCACAATTCTAAAAACTTCATCATGCGGGCTCCTTTTATAATAGCAGGTGGTTGTGATTTTCTTGTTTCTCGTTTCCTTTTCTCTATCCTTTGGGGGAGCCATCTGTAAGTGTTTGGTTTCAAGTTTCAAAAACAATCTCCATGACCTTGAACAATGGGTTAAAAGGGTTGTCCACATGTGAACTGAAAAAGGAACAAGTTATAGAAAAACATTCCAGGCCGGGCATGGTGGCTCACGCCTGTAATCCCAGCACTTTGGGAGGCTGAGGCGGGTGGATCACCCGAGGTCAGGAGTTCGAGACCAGCCTGGCCAACGTGGTGAAACCCCCGCCTCTACTAAAAATACAAAAAATTAGCTGGACATGGTGGTGGGTGCCTGTAATCCTAGCTACTAGGAGGGCTGAGACAGGGGAATCACTTGAACCCGGGAGGCGGAGGTTGCAGTGAGCTGAGATCGCACCATTGCCCTCCGGCCTGGGTGACAAGAGGGAAACTCTGTCTCAGAAAAAAACAAAAACAAACAACAAAAAAGAAAAAACAAAGAACATTCCAAAAGAAATTTCTTCTGACCATTTTCTTAGGAAACATCAGTGCTGCAAATTAATCCTTCCATCCAAAGTCCTGTCTTCTAACATTTTACATCTGTATATGTGCTTTACATAGTTGTTGAATTGCTCTCATATTCAGTATGTCTTGGTATTTCAATGCCTCCATTTCCTTCTCTATAAAAAAATTTTAAAAAAGAAGCAATAAAGTGCTTATTCCAGTACCTGGGCTGCTTGAATGATAGCACTGTTGTTAATCATATTCAACATTCATTCATTCAACAAACACCTAGGTAGCAGCATGAGAGCCAGTTTTCTATCAATTCATGGTCCTAAAATGGAGGATCCAGAATTTCCATGTATAGCAGCAGCAACCTAGCTAGAAATAGAAGACAAGGCTGTCATCTGGAAGTGGTGATGGGGAAGGGCAGCTGACAGATGCTTAAGAAGGCTTAAACCATCCTGCTGCTGCTGTTGCTTGGTCTTTTCAGAAAAGGAAAGCATTGGTTGGGTGCCCTGGCTTACATTTGTAATCCCAACACTTCAAGAGGCCGAGGCAGGAGGATCCACTGAGGCCAGAGTTCGAGATCAGCCTGAGCAAAATAGTAAAACCTTGGGTCTAAAAAAAAATTTTTTTTTTCTTAAATTAGCCAGGTATGGTAGAATGTACCTATAGTCCCAGCTACTCCAGAGGCTGAGGTCAGAGGATCACTTGAGCCTAGGAGTTCAAGGCTGCAGTATGGTGGAATCATGCCAGTGCACTCCAGCCTGGGTGACAGTGCAAGACTAAAAAATAGAAGGAAAAAAGTAAAGACAAGCACTGTTACCACCATTCGATTGATAAGAAATTTGAGGCTCGCATAGCTCCAGCGACTTCTCAAAATTACAAGACTAGGGGCCGGGTGTGGTGGCTCATGCTTGTAATCCCAGCACTTTAGGAGGCCAAGGCAGGTGGATCACAAGGTCAGGAGATCGAGACCATCCTGGCTAACACAGTGAAACCCCGTCTCTGCTAAAAAAAATACAAAAAATTAGCCGGGCATGGTGGCATGCAGCTGTAGTCCCAGCTACTCGGGAGGCTGAGGCAGGAGAATCGCTTGAACCCGGGAGGCAGAGGTTGCAGTGAGTTGAGATCACGCCACTGCACTCCAGCCTGGGTGGCAGAGCAAGACTCCGTCTCAGAAAAAGAAAAAAGAAAAAACAAATTACAAGACTAGGATATGGAAAATCAGACCCCCTAGAAGGCACTGAGCTGCCTTGGGGCAGAGACTTTGCTCGAAGGGTTTAACACTCTATCTCCAAGGCATAGACACAGTGCCCAACACACAGCAGGTCTTAGGCAGGTTCTGCAGGAGCAAAGCCTGAAACAGGGACTTATGCCCTGCTTTATTGAGGGAGTGTTCTTGTTACCGGAAAGGGGTCCCAATCTAGACCCCAAGAGAGCATTCTTGGATCTCATGCAAGAAAGAATTCAGGGCGAGTCCACAGAGTAAAGTAAAAGCAAGTTTATTTAAAAAGAAAAGGAATAAAAGAATGGCTGCTCCATGGGCAGAGCAGCCCCAAGGGCTGCTAGTTGGCTATTTTTATGGTTATTTCTTAATCATATGCTAAACCAGGGATGGATTATTCATGAGTTTGCTAGGAAAGGGGCCAGGAATTCCTGGAACTGAGGGTTCCTCTTCCTCTTAGAGCATATAGGGTAATTTCTGGACGTTGCCATGGCATTTGTAAACTGTCATGGCACTAGTGGGAGTGTCTTTTAGCATGCTAATGCATTATAATTAGCATATAATTAGCAGCAAGGATAACAAGAGGTCACTATCGTCACCATGTTGGTTTGGGTGGGTTTTGACTGGCTTCTTTATTGAATCCCGTTTTATCAGCAGGGTCTTTTATTTATTTATTTTTGAGACAGAGTCTCACTCTGTCGCCCGGGCTGGAGTGCAGTGGCATGATCTCTGCTCACTGCAACCTCCGCCTCCCTCGTTCAAGTGATTCTCTTGCCTCAGCCTCCCAAAGAGCTGGGATTACAGGCGCTCGCCACCACGCCCAGCTGATTTTTGTATTTTTAGTAGAGATGGGGTTTCACCATGTTGGTCACGCTAGTATTGAACTAGCTGGTCTTGACCTGCTGACCTCAGGTGATACACCCACCTCAGCCTCCCAAAGTGCTGGGATTACAGGTGGAAGCCGCAGCGCCCGGCCATCGGCAGGGTCTTTATGACTTGTATCTTGTCCTGCTGACCTCCAACCTCTTCCTGTGACTAAGGATACCTAACTTCCTGGGAATGCGGCCCAGCAAATCTCAGCTTCATTTCACCCAGCTCATATTAAGATGGAGTCACTCTCGTTTGAATACTTCTGACACCCTCAGGAGAAAGAGAGTGAGGGAAGTGAGATAGAAAAGGAAAGTATATAGATTCAGCAGGAGCCTATTCTCAGACCAACTCCACAAGGAGCTCTGGGGCATGAAGCCATCACAGAATTATCCAGCCTGTATCAAGGGGCCAGCTTTACATATGGCCTCTCCATTGGCAGGGGGCTGCCCCTGGGGAGGGTGCAAAATGTAACCTCCCAGGCATTCCTCAGCACCATCAGCTGAGCACAATTCCCTGGCAGCTGCCTTAGACTCCTAAGTGGGATCCAGGTGGGAAACCAATCGTATCCGGGACAATGCTCAATAAATATTTGTTGGATGAATGACTCATAACTAGAACACAATTCTCTACTCTCTCTATATCTTTTCTCTATACCCAAGAGAGGACTTTCAACCCACAAACATTTTACAGTCATCATCTCTAATTCAGAGACCTTGCCCAGCACAACTAAACAGCCTGGCAAGAGTCACATCTGACCGTGTTTAATTACCACTTTGGAGGAGGAAGGACACGCTGTTGAGGTTTTAAGCTACAGACTAATACTTTCACCCATCATCCAAGGCCACCACAAATTAACAGTTGCATTGGGTTTTTGTCTGACGGCTGGACAAAGCCAATTCATGTCAAGGGACCTGAGACATAACATAAAAAGTCCCCTAGAATTTTATCTCCTGGAGAGAGTATTTGCTTCTCACATTCTTGTACCGCCCCTGGGCGGAGAACTCAGCCTAGGGACTAATATACCTTTCACAGAAAATCGGTGTTAAAGCGGGAATGTGTAGTACAATCATTCCTGGCAAGAGAAATCAAGCCAGGTCTTTCCACCTTTTTTCTTTTAATTACACCCATTCTCCATTCAGCTCTCAAATGTCCTGCCATTCTGGTAGAGCTGCTAGCAGCCCTCATCTACCACTACTCTGTTCTTGCTCTTCATCTCACAAACAAAAGCAGCCCATATGAGGGAAAGAGAATTTGGCAAGAGAAGGGTTACAATGTGATCCTTTCCAAAAAAGGAGAGATCCATCCCCTCTCCACCCTGCTGCCAGAGTGAGCTCCTGCTAATATGCTAATATTAACATCCTGTTTAAAACCCTTCAATCTTTGGACAACATGTGCAATCTTTCATAGGGCTCACAAGGTTTGATGTAGGAGGGTTTGCACCTGCTCTCCCTCCAGCCACATTGACTTTCTTTCAGTTCCTCCAGCCTGCCACAGGATCTTTGCATATGCTGAATGCACTCACCTCCAGCTACTTCTTCAGATCAGAGCTTAAATGTTATATCTTGAGCTCCCTGTCCCACTCAGATCTGCTCTGGTTGTCACAGCACATTTTCTTCACGGCACGTCACAGTTACTATCGTTTTATGTGGGTGTTCTCCAGCGCAGGTGCACCAGAAGAAAGCTCTTAGTTTGATGATTATCAAATAGCTAGCTCTACTTCTCAGTTAGTTCCTGGCATGGAGGGAATAAAGGATACACTCTCTCATTTTAGAGATGAGGAAATTGAGCTGGATAGGAAACAATATTTATCTGAGGTCACATGGTTTGTTGGTTAATTGGCTGATTTTTTTAAAGACAAGATTAGCTATTTTCTCCTGAAATATTCAACCCTTTTGCAAACATCCTGTGTTACCACCTCAGCTCTAAGGACTGCTGTCTTCCTGATTTACTGCTGGCCAGGGAAGAGTGTCCTGGAACTCAGTGAAGAACCACATAGAAACCTCATAAGGAGGTGGGGCGTGGTGGCTCACGCCTGTAATCCCAGCACTTTAGGAGGCTGAGGCAGGTGGATCACATGAGGTCAGGAGCTCGAGACTAGCCTGGCCAACATGGCGAAACCCCGTCTCTACTAAAAATACAAAAAAATTAGCCGGCATGATGGCGTGCGCCTGTAGTCCCAGCTACTTGGGAGGCAGTGGCACGAGAATCGCTTGAACCTGGGTGGCAAAGGTTGCAGTGAGCCGAGATCACGCCACTGCACTCCAGCCTGGGCGACACAGCGAGACTCCATCTCAGTTAAAAAAAAAGAAGAAAGAAAGAAAAAGAAACCTCCATAAGAGCTCTGTAGACCTTGCTGTTTTCATCACCAATCTCTTCTAGAAGTGCCTTCTTCAAACTCCTGAAACTATCAAATTTCCCATCCACGCTCTCCCCCGGCATCACCTCAAAGCTTATCTTTAAATCATATAAAATAAAACAATTTATCAACATCATATTAATGCCTAGCCTTTATTCAGCACTGACTGTAATGTGCCAAGCCCCATGCTGAGCATGTTACACATCTTAATCCATGAGCTCCTGTGCTCACCAAGGCAGGCCGGGCAGAGGCCATTCTCTGGGGGAAGGGGAGGGCACAGCATCCTCCCTGAGGTGACACAGCTGCTGAGTGGCAGCTCCTGGCTTTACACCCAGCTTGGTCTGACGTGAAAGTCCATGGACTACCCCATCATGTTACTCTGAGGTGATCAGTTCCAGACTGGGACAGAGTCCTTTATCCTCTCAGCCACAGGACTTGGTCCCCGGCTCCATGACCGTCTTCCAGAATGTACATGGGCCTTCATGAGCCAAGACATCTGCATAGAGCAAGCATCAAACTAGTATACAGGAAATGGGGCAATGCAAAGTCTGACAGACTCCATGTCCTTGTTGAATATCTCTCCACATTGACACAAAATCACATAAAGAGAATGTGTTCTGTGCCAGGCACGGTGGCTTGCGCCTGTAATCTGGCACTTTGGAAGGCCGAGGCAGGCGGATCACTTGAGGTCAGGAGTTTGAGACCAGCCTGGCCAACATGGTGAAACCCAGTGTCTACTAAAAATACAAAAATTAGTTGGGCATAGTGGTGGGCACTTGTAATCCCAGCTACTCGGGAGGCTGAGCCAGGAGAATGGCATGAACCAGGGAGGCAGAGGTTGCAGTGAGCCAAGATCACACCACTGCACTCCAGCCTGGGCAACAGAGTGAGACTCCATCTCAAAAAAAAAAAACAAAAACAAAAAAACAAAAAAAAAGATGAGTTCCACTGCTTGTGATTGTAGATGATTTTGTTCTTTGCTTCTTGTGTTTTTCAGTTTCCGATAATGCACATATTAACTTTTTTTAAATGAAGGTTATTTAAAAAGAAAAGAAAATGAGCCCCAAACAAAGGGTACACATGGACATATAGAGCGGAATAATAGACTAGACACTGGAGACTCCAAAAGGTAGGAGAGCGGGAGGGGAATGAGAAGTGAAAAATTACCTATTGGATACAATGTTCACTATTCGGGTGATGTTTACCCTAAAATCCCAGAATAGGCATGTAAGAAATCTTCGCTTGTACCCCCTAAATCTATAATTTTTTTTTTTTTTGAGACAGTCTCACTCTGTTGCCCAGGCTGGAGTGCAGTGGTACGACCTCGGCTCACTGCAACCTCTGCCTCCCGGGTTCCAGCGATTCTCCTGGCTCAGCCTCCCGAGTAGCTGGGATTACAGGCACCTGCCACCACGCCCAGCTAATTTTTGTATTTTTGGCAGAGACAGGGTTTCACTATGTTGGCCAGAATGGTCTAAAACTCCTGACCTCAGGTGATCTGCCCATCTCGGCCTTATAAAACATTTTTAAATATATTTTTAAAAAAGAAAATGAGCTCCCTCTGTAACCAGCACTCCAATCATCAAAAACAGTTGGCTTTTTGACTGCCTGGCATACAATCCAGCTTCTCCTTTCCATGGCAGTGCCCATTTTCTTTTTTGAAGCTTAAAAAAATATATAATGGGTGCAGTGGCTCATGCCTGTAATCCCAACACTTTGGGAGGCAGAGGCGAGTGGATCACGTGAGGTAGGAGTTCGAGACCAGCCTGGCCAACATGGTGAAACCCCCTCTCTACTAAAAATACAACAATTCGCCGGGCACAGTGGCACAGGCCTGTAATCCCAGCTACTCTGGAGGCTGAGGCATGAGAATAGCTTGAACCTGGGAGGCAGAGGTTGCAGTGAGCCAAGATCATGCCATTGCACTCCAGCCCGGCCAACAAGAGTGAAACTTCGTCTCAAAAAAAAAAAATTAGCTGGGCATGTCAGCTCGGGAGGCTGACGTGGGAGGATTGCTTGAGCCCAGGAGTTCGAGGTTGCAGTGCGCCATGATTGCACCCCAGAATTCCAGCCTGGATGACAGAGTGAAACCCTGCCTCAAAAAAAAAAAAATTCAAAACAAAAGACAAAAACAAAAATCAAAATGCAGATTTGGATTCTGTAGGTCCCTGAGGGGGACCTGAGCCTCTGCTTTTCTTATGAGCTCCCAGGCTGGTGCTGATGCTGCTGGCCCAGGCACTACACTTTGAGTAGCAAGTGTCTAGCAAGGCATACAGTGGTTCCAGGGCTCTCTAAGCACAAAAGCCGCTCGTGCATCACCCTCACAGGGCCAGGCCCCCATGCAGGACAGATGCTGCTTTGGGTCAGTTTGCTCAGAACATCTGGGCCTTCCTACAATCACAAGTCACCCCCTGTCTCCCCACTCAGATGGCAAGAGGTGTTCCCAGGGGCACAGAAGGAAACATACTGTCACTCAGGGCCACCCCAGATGCTCCCTCAGCCTCAGATCGAGTCAGTCTGAGACCCCCTGAGCCAAGTTGCTCCCATTCACCCCTCCTTGTCCAATGCCCAACCCCTGTGCACTGAGCCTCCTCTCAAAATAAACTCACAGAGCCCCCCACCCCCACTTTCCATTGCACCTGAGGCAATTATTACTTGTCAAAAACAAGAACTGCCAGCTGTGCGTAGCATTCAGCTTGCTGTTCTTAAAATCCCTTATAATCATTTCCCTCGGAGAAGAATTCTCCAGCCCCACAATGGTTCTGCACAGCCAATCACAGTGTAGTCCCGGACCCGTGTTTTGATAAGACAATCTGACACTGTCAGTCAGAGGGATTCAAGACTCTTGCTGCAGGGAGGAGGGAGAGAGGAAGAAAAGAGGAGAGAGAGAGAGAGAAAGCGTATGCCTCTTCTCCCTCTGGAAGTGCAGCTGACTGCAGAGTCTCCCAGGAGCCTGTCCCTGCAGAGGCCTTGACAAATGTCAACAGACAGGACGAGATTTCTGCCTCTCCAATACCTGTAGGCCCCATCCCACCCCAGCTATACTCACACTCATTTCTTGTTTGTTTGTCTTCAAGCTCCATTCAGAGAGAATGGAGATGTCTTCTTGGTCTAAATTAAAGTTGAAGCCCGGCTGGGTGCGGTGGCTCATGCCTGTAATCTCAAAACTTTGGGAGGCTGAGGTGGGCAGATCACAAGGTCAGGAGATCGAGACCATCCTGGCTAACACGGTGAAACCCCATCTCTATTAAAAATACAAAAAATTAGCCCAACATGGTGTGGCGGGCGCCTGTAGTCCCAGCTACTCGGGAGGCTGAGGCAGGAGAATCCCTTGATCTCGGGAGGTGGAAGTTGCAGTGAGCCGAGATCACACCACTGCACTGCAGCCTGGGTGACAGAGTGAGACTCTGTCTCAAAAACAAACAAACAAACAAAAAAAAAAGTTGAAGCCAAGAGGGAAAAGTTGGAGGGCACTTGGAGGAACAGGGAGGCCCTCTATGGCCCAACCTGCAAGATGGTCCCAATTATTCTTGCCTCCAGGTATTCATCCCCTTGTGTGGCATCCCCCACCATGCACAGACCAGGGCTAGTCTGCATCATGAATAGAATAGGGTTGTGCTTGCTCTCTCCCTCTCTCTCTCTCTCTCTCTCTCTCTCTCTCTCTCTCTCGGGAACCAGCTGCCATGTTGCAGAGACATTCAGGCCATCAATGGCGAGGTTCGCATGGGGAGGCACAGCCCCCATGTGAAGGAACTTCGGAGCAGAGTCTCCTCTGGTTGAGTCCCAGTGTGACAGCAGCTCTAGCCAACAGCCTGACTTGCAGCCTCATGAGAGATCCTGAGTCAGAACCACCCAGCTAAGCTGCTCCTGGGTTCCTGACCCGTAGAAGCTGTGAGATAATAGGTATTTATTGTTTTCAGCTACTGCATTTGGGGTAACTTTTTACACAACAATAGATGATGAATACACTATCCCAAATCAATCCACAAATTTGGTGTCCCCACAAGTGTGGGGTGTGTCTTTCAATTTTTTGAGACAGGGTCTCGCTCTGTCACACAGACTGGAGTGTAGTGGCACAGTTACAGCTCACTGAAACCTCAACTTCCTGGGCTCAAGCAATCTTCCCACCTCACCCTCCCCAGTAGCTGGGACCACAGATTTGCACCACCGCAGCTGGCTGATTTTTTAATTTTTGTAGAGACTAGATCTCATTGTGTTGCCCAGGTTGGTCTCAACCTCCTGGGCTCAAGTAATACTCCCGCCTAGGCCTCTAAACACGCTGGAATTACAGGCATGAGCCAATGTGCCCAGCAAGTATGGGGTCTTTCTATGGCAAGATGTGGTGCCCATCACTGTGAGGGACAAAGATAATATTATTAATAATAATAGGCCTGTAATGGTGCCTCACACCTGTACTCCCACCTACTCAGGAGGCTAAAGTGGGAGGATTGCTTGACCCCAGGAGGTTGAGGCTACAGTGAGCCATGATCACACCACTGCACTCCAGCCTGGGCAACACAGCAAGACGCTATTCCGAATAATAATAACAATAATAATAATATCTAACATTTTAATAGACCTTACTTGGAGCCAGGCATCATTCTAAGCATATTGCATGCATGAACTCATTTAAACCTATAGCCATCTATTATTATTCCTGTCATGCTCATCAGCCAGAAGCCACCAGAAACACACCTGTAGTTGAACAGAAATGGGTTTAGTAACCTGTTGCAACAAGGAAGACCACACACCATGGGGAGTGGGAGCTGTGTCCCAGTAAGAGTGTGTTGGGGCGCTTCTGGTTAGCTGGCAGAAAGCAGTGTTAATTCCATGGCTGGGCATCATCATAATTTTTATGTAGGAGGCAGGAGGAATAGAGTGGGGCTAAAGCTGTCATTGGAAAACCAGCAGTAACTGCATGTGTCAGTCAGAAGGAGAGGATGCGTTTGGCCATTTTTTTGTGGTTTGCCCACTGCTCATACTTTCATGCTCAGATAGGATTCATTACAGACTGTCTTGTTTTTGTCTTGTTTCATCATGGTCAGCATGACATCTTCCAGTGTGACCATCCTATGAAATTGCTTAAGTAGGGAACACCACAGCCTAGCAGTAGTACCAGGCCAGCTACTAGCTGACAACGATCAAGACTGGGCTCCCGGCCGGGCACAGTGGCTCACGCCTGTAATCCCAGCACTTTGGGAGCTCCAGGTGGGCGGATCACTTGAGGTCAGGAGTTCAAGACCAGCCTGGCCAACATGGTGAAACCACATCTCTACTAAAAGTGCAAAAATTAGCCGGGCATGATGGCACAAGACTGTAATCCCAGCTACTCAGGAGGCTGAGGCACGAGAATCGCTTGAACCCAGGAGGTGGAGGTGGTAGTGAGCCAAGATCGCGCCACTGCATGATCCACCCTGAGCAACAGAGCCAGACTCTGTCTCAAAAATAAAATAAAATGAAGACTGAGCTTTCCTTTTCTTATCCTCATTTTATAGATGGAAAATCTGAGGCCAAAATAAGTTCAGTAGTTATGTTGCCAAGCCTGGGCGGAACTGTAGAGCTTCTCAGACTGTCAGGGCTGCAGGGCCAGCTTTGCTTTGTCTTCTTTTGTTTGCCAATCCATCGTGGGCCAATACGTTCATAAAATACAATAAAAGCAAATTACTAGAATAACGATCATGCATTCAGATGTTTTAGGAATGTTAAATTGCTATCCTTCTAAACAGGTACCCTCAAGTTCTGTCTTATCTGGTCTCAGACAAGGAACAGTTCTCAGGCCATTACTGACCACAGACCACACTTTGGGCAGCTTTAGAAGTTGTCTGATCAAGAGTTTTCCAGGTTGGGCATGATAGCTCACACCTCTAATCCCATCACTTTTGGGAGGCCGAGGCGGGCAGATCACTTGAGGTCAGGAGTTCGAGACCAGCCTGGCCAACAATGTGAAACCACATCTCTACTAAAAATGCAAAAATTAGCTGGACATGGTGGCAGGTGTCCGTAATCCCAGCTACTTGGGAGGCTGGAGAATCGCTTGAACCTGGGAGGCAGAGGTTGCAGTGAGCCAAGATCGTGCCACTGCACTCCAGCCTGAGTGACAGAGACTGTCCAAAAAAAAAAAAAAAAGAGGTTTCCAAACTTCATGCATTGGTACATCTTCATTTTTGCCATTTCTATTGAACACCTCTACTATTATTTACTTAATATTATCTTGAAATATCCTCATCTCATATCACCTCACACCCATTATGATGGCCACAATTAAAAAAAAACAGAAAATAACAAGTGTTGGCGAGGACGTGAAGAATTGGAACTTCTGTGCACAGTTGGTGGGAATGAAAATGGTGCAGTTGCTACAGGAAAACGGTATGGAAACTCCTCAAAAAGTTAAAAATAGAAATACCATATGATCCAGAAATTCCATTTCTGGGTATATATCCCAAAAATTTGAAAGCAGGATTTCAAAGAAATATTTGCACACCCATGTTCATTGCAGGGTTATTCACAATAATCAAGAGGTGAAAGCAACCCAAATGCCCATTGGCAAATGAAGGGATAACGAAAATCTGATATCTACGTACGATGGAATGTTATTCAGCCTTTAAAAAGAGGGATATTTGGCCAGGCACAGTGGCTCACGCCTGTAATCCCAGCACTTTGGGAGGCTGAGGCGGGCCAATTGCTGGAGCTCAGGAGTTTGAGACCAGCCTGGGCAACATGGCGAGACCATGTGTTGCATCATTTAGAAACATTTATAGCTACAAAAGCTTCAGAGATCTTGTATTTCAATGTACAAACAAACTGCCAAATGCCAAAAAAAAAAAAAAAGCCAGGCATGGTGGTGTGTGCCTATAGTACCAGCTACTCAGGAGGCTGAGGTGGGAGTATCACTTGAGTCGAGGGAGCAGAAGTTGCAGTGAACCGAGATGATGCCACTGCACTCCAGCCTGGGTGACAGCGTGAGACCCTGTCTTTAAAAAAAAAAAAAAAAAAAGAGAGAGAGAGGGAAATCTTGTGGGGTGCTGCACCATAGACAAACCTCGACGACTTTATGTGATAAGCCAGTCACAAAAGGACAAATACCGAACAATTCCACTCCAATGAGGTATCTCAAGTAGTCAAACTCCTAGAAACAGAAAGTAGAATCATGGTTGCCAAGGGCTGGAGGTATTTAGTGTTTAATGGGTCTAGAGTTTCCGTTTTGCAAGATGAAATACTTCTACAGATCTATTGCACAACGTGAATACACTTAACACAACTGAACTGTACATTATAAAATGGTGAAGATGGTAAGTACAATGTCATGTCCTTTTCAGCACAGTTATAAAAAGAAGAAAAGTCCTCATCCTAGGCAATAATAACCCATATTATGTATTAAGATGGCTAGTTCTATATGTTTTCTTTTATTTTTTTAAGAGATAGGGTCTTGCTATATTGCCCAGGCTGGTCCGGAACACCTGGACTCAAGCAATTCTCCCACCTCGGCCTCCCAAAGTGCTAAGATTACAGGTGTGAGCCATCACACCCAGCTGAGTTCTATATATTTTCTTATCTGCATTAACATAAATGTTTAACTGTTAAATAATAAAATGTTTTTTTCCATGAACGACCGAAAATCGTTTTGTGTAAACATTGATCTTTGAACCTCCTGTTTCTTCAATGCCTATCATCTGAGGCCTGACAAGAGAAGGGACTTAGAACCACTCCCAGCCTTCAAGGAGTTTGCAATTACACTGAAGGGTGAAGACACTCTCCCCCCAGAAGGAAGGCGGGAAAATCTTAAAAGAAATCTATCTGTTCCTTGAAGGCCAGCTCTGTGTGTTCAGTGCTCTCTCCCAAGTCCCTAGCACATGCCTTGCCCACAGTGGGGTCTCAACAGGTATTTGCTAGAGTCTATCAAATTAAGAGAAACACGAAACAGGCCCGGTGCAGTGGCTCACACCTGGAATCCTAGCACTTTGAGAGGCCGAGGCGGGTGGACTGCTTGAGCTCAGGAGTTTGAGACTAGCCTGGGCAACATGGTGAAACCCCATCTCTACAAAAAATTACAAAAATTAGTTGGGCGTGGTGACTCATGCCTGTAGTCCCTGCCACTTAGTGGGCTGAGGTGGGAGGATTGCTTGAGCCCGGGAAGCAGAGGTTGCAGCCAGCTCTGATCGTGCCACTGCACTTCAGCCTGGGTGACAGAGTGAGACTTTGTCTCCAAAAAAAAAAAAAAAAAAAAAGAGAGAGAGAGAGAGAGAAATACTAAATAAGCAGCACAAACCAATGGGGTACTAGGCCAGGGCTCCCAACTTGAGGTTTGTGGGTAGAATTCAGAGGGTCCATAAACCTGCCTCATTTTCTCTGATTGCTAACTAAAATTTAGCATTTCCTTCTATTATAAATGGAAGCAACAAACCACAGTAGTATTTGCAATATCTGTGATTTTTGTCACCGATATAAATCACGATATTTTCATATCTCATTACAATCATAGCAGACATCTCATTATATTGTACGTGTGCATCACTAATTGGAATTACATAGTTATTAGACTCACCACTAAATCTTGTTATTTGATGCATTAGTAAAGATTCACATATTACTATGACACAAATTTGGTGAGTTTTTTTATATTTTGATAACCATATTTTAGTATAATTGGTTTCCTTTGTAATTCCATGCACTTTATTTTTTGCATAGATAAATAATTTAAACAATATTACAAAGAACAATCAATCAAATCTAGTATAGAATATTTCATAGCCTAAATAACATTTTCCCAAAACTGAATGGACCAAAAATAAAAAGTGCTAATGGTTAAATATTGTTTTGGAGTTAGAAAGATTTATATATATAAAAAAGGAAATATGTGAATTTTGGGCCTTAATTTAAACAAACAAACTGCCAAAGGGAATCTTTAAGGCAATAGGGAAAATTTGAGTATAACTAGTATGATGATACTTAAGCTATAGTTGTCTAATATGAAGATTACTAAGTAGAAGAAGTTATATAATATGTTTACTAGCAGATTTATAATTGTAAACATATTTACCTATAGGTTGAGATAAACGTCTGACACCAAGAAGATCTCAGTTTAAATAAAATAAGGGCATGCAATAATACTTTAAAAAAAGTAAGTTATATTGAGAACAAGTTATGTTATTCAGTTTGAGTTGAATAGAAGATCAATATTAGTAGGCATATTTAGGTTTGTTGCCCAGAAAGCTAATGTAATCATCCATTAATAAACATATCTTCTCCAAAAAAAAAAAAAAAAAAAAAGGATATTGTTCTCAGAAGGAGGTCATAGACTCCGCCAGATGCCAAAAGGGTACATGGTACCAAAAAGAGGTCAGGGTCCAGCGTGGGGTTAATTCAGTGGGTAACTGACTGGGCCTAAGAAGAAACAGACTGAACCAAGGACAAGCCCACTGTTACCACCTTTTAGGAGGGAAACACTAACTTACCATCGGAAAGAACGGTGAATTCACCGGCTAACATTTGTGTGCAGAAATCCCCTGACAACCGCAGGATTCAATGTTCCTAAAAACATATGTTCATTGGCAAGATCGAGGTCTCAGAGGAAATTCAGTGTTGAGCACTAAGTGATCTCACATCTGCTGGGTTCAAAGCATGGACTCTGGAGCCAGACTCTCTCTGTTTGTATCCAAGCTCCACCAGTTAGGACCTGTGTGAATTTGGATGAGTTATTTCCCCTCGATGTATCTCAGTTTCCTTGTCTGTAAAACAGGAACCAAAGAGCCTAGTGGTGGCTGGCAGAATAATGTCCCTTCAGAGATGTCTGTGTCCTAATTCCTGGAACCTATGAATATGTTAGATTCTACAGCAAAAGGGAATCAAAGTTGCAGATGGAATCAATGTTGACCTTAAAACCAGGAGGTTGTGCAGGTAGAACCGATGTAATCAAAAGGGTCCTTAAGTGTGGAAGAGGGAGGAAGAAGAGAATCAGAGAGAGATTTAAAGATGTTATGCTAGTAGCTCTGAATATGGAGAAAGAGGCCACAAGCCAAGGACTGCAGGTGGTCTCTAGAATTTGGAAGAGGCAAAGGTTCTCCCCAGAGCCTCCAGAAATAATGCAGCCCTGTCAATGCCTTGATATTAACCAAGTGAGACCTCTTTGGGACTTCTGACCTCCAACACTGTAAGATAATAATTTGGATTGTTCCAAGCCACTAAGTTTGTGGCAATTTGTTACAGCAGCAATAGGAAATGAATACACAGTTTTAAAGATTTTTGTGAGGATCAATAAATGCATTCATTTATGTAAAGCCCTTAGAACAGTTCCTGGCACATAATTGGTGCAATATACCATTAATTTTATAGAAATGGTGAATAAAAATTAGAGAATTAATCACTTCCAAAATAAACTGGATCCACTCAAGTCAAAGCCTTGCTCTGTTTTGCAACCCTTAATGAATTCATGGATCTAGGCATTATCATACAGCAGATAGATAACATCACAAATGAGGCTGGGCATGGTAGCTCATGCCTGTAGTCCCAGCAAATTAGGAGGCCAAAGTGGGAGGATCACTTGAGCCCAGGAGTTCCAGACCAGCCTAGGCAACACAGTGAGACCCCATCACTACAAATTAGTTTTGTAAAAAACTAACCGGGTATGTTAGTGCATGCCTGTGGTGCCAGCTACTCAGGAGGCTGAGGTAAGATGACTACTTGAGCCTGCAAGGTCAAAGCTGCAGTGAGCCATGATCATGCCACTGCACTCCAGCCTGGGCAACTGAGCAAGACACCATCTCAAAAATTAAATAAATAAATAATAAAAATAATTTTAAAAAATAAAAACACAATGGGAGATAACCAGACATCAGTTACCTCCTCATGGAAAAACATAACAATCTAAAAAGTGGTCTTGCTAAAAAAAAAAAAAAAAGAAAAAGAAAAAATCAGACCTAAATCTGATAAAAATGTATAGATACAACTTATCAACTTACAGAAATGTGGACAATGGGCCAGGCACGGTGGCTCCCACCTGTAATCCCAGCACTTCGGGAGGCTGAGGTGGGTGGATCACAAGGTCAGGAGTTTGAAACCAGCTTGGCTAAGAGACCAGCCTGGCCAATAAGGTGAAACCCCGTCTCTACTAAAAATACAAAAATTAGCGGGGCGTGGTGGTGGGTGCCTGTAATCCCAGCTACTTGGGAGGCTGAGGCAGGAGAATTGCTTGAACCCGGGAGGCAGCGGTTGCAGTGAGCCGAAGATCACACCATTGCACTCCAGCATGGGTGACAGAGTGAGACTCCAACTCAAACAAAAAAGAAAGAAAGAGAGAGGAAAAAAGGAAGGAAGGAAGGAAGGAAGGAAGGAAGGAAGGAAGGAAGGAAGGAAGGGAGGGAGGGAGGGAGGGAGGGAGGGAGGGTAGGGGAGGGAGGGAGGGAAGGAAGGAAGGGAGGAAGGAGGGAAGGAAGGAAGGAAAAGAAAGAAGGAAGGAGGGAAGGAAGGAAGGGAGGGAGGGAGGGAGGGAGGGAGGAATGAAAGAAAGAAAGACAGAAAGGAAGGAAGAGAAAAAGAAAGAAAGAAAGAAAGAAAAAGAAAGAAAGAAAAGAAAGAAAAGTGGAAGATGAAGGAATGCACTAAAGGACACCACAGAGATGCAACTGGCAATGTCTAGACTGCGGGGGACTCTACAGCAGTGCTTCTCAAACTTAATTGTGCATACAAAACACCCAGGGACCTTGTGAAAATGTAGTTTCTAACCCAGGAGGTCTGGGATGGGATCTGAGATGCTGCATTTCTACCGAGTTCCCAGGTGATGCTGATGATCCTGGTTCACTGACCACATTTTGAATTACACAAGATGAATAACCTATTTTTCCAGCAATAAAAGAACTGAAGGGGAAACCTATAGATTAAAAGACACATGAGCCAATCACTATGTGTAGGACTTTAGTTGGATTCTGATTCAAAGAAATTATTATTAAAATGTATTAGGCAGAGCCGGGAGTGGTGGCTTATGCCTGTAATCCCAGCACTTTGGGAGGCCAAGGCGGGCGGCAGATCACTTGAGGCCAAGAGTTCAAGACCATCCTGACCATATGGCAAAACCTTGTCTTTACTAAAAATACAAAAACTAGACTAGCCAGGTGTGGCGGCATGCACCTGTAATCCCAGCTACTGGGGAGGCTGAGGCACGAGAATGACTTGAACCCAGGGGAAAGAGGTTGCAGTGAGCCGAGATTGTGCCACTGCACTTCAGCCTGGGTGAGAGAGCTTACTGCAGCACTATTTACAATAGCAAAGACTTGGAACCAACCTAAATGCCCATCAATGATAGACTAGTTAAAGAAAATGTGGCACATATACACTATGAAATACTATGCAGACATAAAAAAGAATGAGTTCGTGTCCTTTGCAGGGACATGGATGAAGCTGGAAACCATCATTCTCAGCAAACTAACACAGGAACAGAAAACCAAACACCACATATTCTCACTCATAAGTGGGAGTTGAACAATGAAAACACATGGACGCAGGGAGGGGAACATCACATACCGGGGCCTGTTGGGGGGTGGGGGTCAAGGGGAGGGAGAGCATTAGGACAAATATCTAATGCATGCTGGGCTTAAAACCTAGATGACGGGTTGATAGGTGCAGCAAACCACCACGGCACTTGCATACCTACGTAACAAACCCGCACATTCTGCACATGTACCCAAGAACTTAAAGTAAAATAAAAATAAAAAAGAAAGAAAAAATTGTATTAGGCAGTAAGTAACCTGAACGGTGACTGGATAGTTGATGTTCTAAGGAATCATTGTTAATGTTTTGGGTGCACTGATGGTATTGTGCCTATGTTTTTAAGAGTTTATCTTTTCAAGATACACATTGTAATATTTACAGATGAAATGGTAGTGACTGGAATTGGCTTCAAAATAATGTATGTGGGGAAAACAGGTAGAGGTATAAGCAAAACTGGGCATGAGTTGTCCATTGTTGAAGCCAGGTAGTGAGTCCTGAGAATTCATTGTGCTATTCTTCTACTTTCATATACCTTTGGAATTTCCCATCATAAAATTATTTTTAAGACATATTTCTTAAAATCTTCTCTGCTAGCTAATCCTTCTCTTGAACCACATTCTTCAAAGGTTCTCCTGCGGCCCATAAGTTATAAAGAGCTCATAAGTTATAAAGAGTCTGTGACTTTTAGCAGTTACAGACTTGAAATCTCATGTTTTTCATGCTGGCATTCCCTCTGGTTTCCTTTTTGCAAGTCTCAGCAAAATACTTTGTGTACCCACCTAATTATCACAGTCCTTAAGGCACGTACCCCTTGACCCAGTCTTCTGTCTGTTACCGGGATGTTTCTGGCACCTGAAATGCTTTTCTGCAGAACTGCTCATGGCAGCTCCTCCCTCCCCTTCTGTTCAATTGGCCCTGCTCAGAGGGGCCTCCACTGACCACTCAATATAAGCAGACATCCCAGTGTCTCTCTGTGGCAATGCCTCAGGGCACTCTCAGCATCTGAGATGATCTTGTTCATTTATTCATCCGCTTTATTTTCTCCTTCTTCACACAACACTCCCTCATTCTCCCCTTATAATGTATTCAACAGGAAGACAGGGACCTTGCCTGTTCATTGCTGCAGACTCAGAATGTAACACACTAGCAGGCACAGCACAGAATGAGTGAGTAAATGAATGCTATAGCTGTGTGCATAGCTCCATAGACCTAGAAAATCAACTGCATTCTTGCTAAGAGGCATATACACATCCATATATCTGGATCACACGTTTGCAGTCTTTCTCATCAAATCATGGACCAATGGAGCTGCACATCCCAGGCCAATAGAGCTCTATAGCCCATTTCTTTCAAGAGAAGAGTAGCTCCCTGCGAACTTTCATTGGACACCTGAGCTCTTGACTCACAATAATTGGTCACAAGAAGGTCTCTGTGCAAATCAGAGATGGTGGGACTCAAAATGTCTGTGGTCACAGATCCAAATGCACTACTCCATTATTTAGAAGGCCCTCAATACCCACCTAACAAACCCTATGCCAGGGTCTAATCAAAGAACCGGGTACTGCATTGAAAGTTGGGATTTGGACTGGTCTATTGGAAAAGAAGGGTTTTCAGATAGAGGCTTCACTCTGTATTTCAGCTTCATCAGCTATGGGCTGGAAAATGGTTATAGTGTCCTGGAGACTAATGAACGTGGATTTGAATCTCTGCTTCTCCTTTATTAGCTGTGTGACCTTAGCTAAGTGATATCACTTCTATGATCCTCGGTGGCATTTATATAATGGGAATAACAATAATGATATCTACCTTGTAGATTTGTTGTGAAAATTAAATGAGATGATAGAAATAAATATTTCATCTAGTGCCTGGCATAGAGCAAATGTAATAAAATTTATCTATTACTACTACTGCTGCTGCTACTGCTACCACTATCTTCTGATCTTGGAAGAGTCACTTAATTCCTCCAATTCTCAGTAGACTCTTCTCTAAGAAGAAATAACAATGTCCTAGATCCACAGAAAGTCTGGTGCTTCTCTCCCTTATTTTCTTTAGTTCTCTGCTCAGATACCACTTTTGCAAAGAGAGCTTCCCTGACCAGTGTCCCCCTCCCACATAAAATAGTCCACACTCTCTCCATCTCATTACTCAGCTTGGTTTTTCCTCCTAGGACATATCCGCCTGATTTGTACTTACCTGTTTAATGTCTGTCTTGTCTTCCTTGTCAGAAAGTCAGCCCCAAGAGAGAAGAGGCTTTGTCCATTGTGTTCAATGCTTATTCCTGGGGCCCAGAACAATGTCTGGCATATAAAGACACTCAATGAATATTTCTTGTGGAATGAATGAATGAATGAATGAATGAATGAAATTAGGTAACTTGGGACCATAACTATCCAGTCCCTGCATTGCTGTTCAATAGATATTAGCTTCCTTCCTTCCCTCCTTCCTTCCTTCCTTCCATCCTTCCAAGGCCAGAAAAAAGAACAATAAGTGAGAGAAAAACGCCTATCGGCCTCTTTTTTCCCTGCTTCTCCTCCAAGCATCATGCAAACAATCAAAACAAAAATGCAGCAGCAGGTGCCAAGAAGTCAGGTGCATCCTTCATCCCCAGTCAGTCTTTCCTGGCTCTGAAATGTTTGCAGGAGCAAGGTGCCCCCGAGGCACACTGCTTTAAATGAGTCCAGGCAGGATTTAGACAGCTGCTCTGTAACCCCAATAAACGATGTCTGTCTAACTTTACGCAGGGGCACTGAGGGTTAGGGTTGTATGGCTCTTGGGGTCTCTGAAGTAGAAAATCAATGGGTTTGATGTATGGCCCCATTTATGGCACCTGAAACAGAACATCCACTACCAGGTCGGCTACCATCAAACCTCTCCTAATATAACAATACAAGCCATCTCTGAGCCTTGAAAACCTCTTTACAAAGCCAGTGGTCAAAGAGTAGAACCGTCTTTTTCAACAGCAATCAGTGAAGATGATCATGTCACTCTCCTGTGGCCAACCCTCCCCTGGCTTCTGATCGCACTAGGAATGAAGTGCAAACTCTTCTCCCAGGATCTCACCAGGTCAGCACAGCCTGGCCTCACGTGTCTCTTCACCATCTCAGACCATTCTCCTGTCTTGCTCCACTCCAACTGCATTCATCTCTGTGTTCCCAGGCACGTGCCACCACACCTGGCTAATTTTTTTTTTTTTTTCTTGGTGGAAACAGATTCTCAACATGCTGCTCAGGCTGATCTCAAATTCCTGGTCTCAAGTGATCCTCCTGCCTCAGCCTCCCAAAGTGCAAGGATTAAAGGCATGAGCCACTGTGCCCAGCTGCATTTTATTTTATTTGATTTTATTATTATTATTATTTTTGAGATGGAGTTTCACTCTTGTTGCCCATGCTGTGGTACAATCTCGGCTCACCACAACCTCCACCTCCCGAGTTCAAGTGATTCTCCTGCCTCAGCCTCCTGAGTAGCTGGGATTACAGGCATGCGCCACCACACCCGGCTAATTTTTTATTTTTAATAGAGACAGGGTTTCTCCATGTTGGTCAGGCTGGTCTCAAACTTCCAATCTCAGGTGATCTGCCCACCTCGGCCTCCCAAAATGCTGAGATTATAGGCATGAGCCGCCATGCCCAGCCTGCATTTCATTTTTCTAAGACAAAAATATTCTGGAGATGGATGGTGGTGATGGTTGCCCAACAATATGAATGCACTTAATACCACTGAACTGTACGCTTAAAAGTGGTTCCAATGGTAAATATTATATTATTTGTGTTTTACCACAATAAAAATGTGTTTTAAAAAAGGAAGAAATTCTGAAACATGTTACAACATGGATGAAACTTAAAGATATTATGCTGAGTGAAATAAGCCAGTTACAAAAAGACAAATATCATATGATTCCACTTATATGAGGTATCTAGAGCAGCTGAATTCATAGAGAAAGAGAATAGAACAGTGGTTGCCCAGGGATGGGGAAATGGAGGCATAGGGAATTGGTGTTTAATAAGGACAGAGTTTCAGTTTGAGATGATGAGAAGCGTCTGAAGATGGATGGTGGTGATGGTTGCCCAACAATGTGAATGTACTTAATGCCACTTAATTGTACACTTAAAATTGTACACTTCAAAATGGTTAAAATGGGCCTGGCGCAGTGGCTCACGCCTGTAATGCCAGCACTTTGGGAGGCCGAGGTGGACGGATCATGAGGTCAGGAGATTGTGACCATCCTGGCCAACATGCTGAAACCCCGTCTCTACTAAAAATACAAAAATTAGCTGGGCATGGTGGCGCATGCCTGTAATCCAAGCTACTCAGGAGGCTGAGGCAGGAGAATTGCTTGAAACCGGGAGGTGGAGTTTGCAGTGAGTCAAGATGGCACCACTGCACTCCAGCCTGGCAACAGAGTGAGACTCCATCTCAAAAAAAAAAAAAAAAAAAAAGGTTAAAATGGTAAGTTTTATATTACCCTATATTTTTATCACGATTAAAAAAAAAAATCACACTATCCCAGGCTGGACACAGTGGCTCATGCCTGTAATCCCAGCACTTTGGGAGGTTTGGGAGGTCAAGACAGATGGGTCATTTAAGGCCAGGAGTTCAAGACCAGCCTGACCAACATAACAAAACCCCATCTCTACTAAAAATCTTTTAAAAAGCTAGTCAGATGTGGTGGTGCACACCTGTAGTCCCAGCTATTCAGGAGGATGAAGCACGAGAATTGCTTGAACCTAGGAGGCAGAGGTTACAGTGAGCTGAGATTGTACCACTGCACTCCAACCGGGACAACACAGCAAGAGACTCTGTCTCAAAAAAAAATTTTTTTAATCATGCTACCTAGCCCAGGCAACACAGTGAGACCTGTCTCTACAGAAAAATAAAACAATTCGCTAAATGTATGCTACTCTCAGCTACTCAGGAGTTTGAAGTGAGAGGATTGCTGGAGCATGGGAGGCAGAGGTGGCAGTGAGCCAAGTACCTCTGCACTCCAGCCTGGGCGACAGAGATCCTACCTCAAAAATAAAAATCGCAGTACAAAAACAATTTTAAGAGGAGGGGTGTAGAGTATTTTATCCAAAGGCATGAGATAAACTAGCTCATTGATCCATTTTCTTTCTTTGTCCTGGGTGATCTCTGAGCCTCACCTAGTAAGAGTTAATATTTATGCCAGGCACCATTATAAGCACTTCGCCAGTGTTTCCTTCATTTAATCCTCTCTACCGTCCTACAAGATGGGGAGCCTAATCATCTCCATTTAAAGGATGAGAAAACAGAGGCCCAGAGAGGTTTCGTGACTTAACCTACAAAGTCTGACTCCAGAGTCTAGGCAATTTTCCAGACCACTTTTCCCACAAGACTTGACCTCACCCTTTGATATTCAAAATAGGCTCCTCAGATCTACATAAAATATTCTAAAGTATCAGGAATGTATAAGTCAGGTTAAGGAGAATAAACTTTTTTTTCTGTATTCACCCCATCTTTGTTGAAAAAGTGCTGTTACTGGCTTCAAGGCCTGCAGGCTACATTGCTTAACACAGGTGTACTAAGTTAAAGTTCAGCAAACTTCTGTAAAACTCCATAAAAATTAATCTTTGAGGCTTTAGGGGCAGATGGCGTATGTTGCAACTACTTGACTCTGCCGTTGTCGCACAGAAGCAGTCATAGACGAGAAGTAAATGAATGGCCTTGACCGTGTGCCAATAAAACTTTATTTACAACAACAGGCACTGGGTTTGGTGGCTCCTGAAAGGGTTAAACACAGAATTGCCATATGACCCGGCAACTCCCCTCTTAGGCATGGGCCGAAAATAATTACAAATAGGAGTTCAAACAAAAACTTGTACACAAATGTTCACAGCAGCCCTATTTATAGTAGCTAAAAGGTGGAGACAATCCAAAGATCAATCAACTGAAAAATGGATGCACAAAATGTGGCATATGCATCCAATGGAATAGTATTCAGCCATGAATAGGAAGTATGGACGCATACTGCCAGGTGGATAAACCTGGAGAACAATATGCTAAATGAAAGAAGCAGACACAAAAGGCAACGTAGGCCGGGCATGGTGGCTCACGCCTGTGATCCCAGCACTTTGGGAGGTTGAGTCGGGTGGATCACCTGAGGTCAGGAGTTCAAGACCAGCCTGACCAACATGGCAAAACCCTGCCTCTACTAAAAATACAAAAATTAGCTAGGTGTGGTGGCGCATGCCTGTAATCCCCACTACTGGGGAGGCTAAGGCAGGAGAATCACTTAACCCAGGAGGCAGAGGTTGCAGTGAGCCGAGATCGCACCACTGCACTCCAGCCTGGGCGACGGAGCGAGACTCCGTCTCAAAAAATAAATAAATGAATAAAAGACCATGCAATGCATGACTCTCCATTGATATAAATTGTCCAGAATAGGCAAATCCACAGACACAGAAGGTAGCTTGGTGGTTGCCGAGGACTGAGGAGAAGAAAATTGAGAACACCTGCTCAACAGTTATGGGCTTTCTTTTTGGAGTGATGAAAATGTTCTGGAACTAAGCAGATGTGATGGTTACAGAATATTGGAAATGTGGCCAGGCATGGTGGCGCACACCTACAATCCCAGCATTTTGGGAGGCCGAAGCAGGTGGATTGCTTGAGCCCAGGAGTTCAAGACCAGCCTGGGCCACATGGTAAAACCCTGACTCTACAAAATACTCTACTAAAAGGTGGAGACAATCCACCTTTGTTCAAAATAAAATAAAATATAAATTAATAATACAAAAATTAGTTGGGAGTGGTGACACATGCCTATAGGCCCAGCTACTCAGGAGGCTAAGGTGGGAGGATCGCTTGAGCCCAGGATGTCGAGGCTGTAGTGAGCCAAGATCACATTACTGCATTCCAATCTGGGCGACAGAGTCAAATTGTCTCAAAAAAAAAAAAAAAGTGAATGTCCTAAATGCCACTGAATTGTATGTTTTTAAATGGTTAACTTTACGTTGTGTGAATTTTCTCTCAATTTTAAAAAATGTTTTAAAAAAACAGGTGGCTGATTGCTTTTGGCACACAGACCAAAGTTTGTTGCCCCCTATTCTAAGCCAAACAGCCAAGAAGGGGAGAAACAGAAGCATACTATGACCTATATGCAAAATATTCAAAGCCATTCATTTACCAGTGCTTGGGGAAGAAGCGCGTATCGTATGCAGTCTTATACCTCCCTGAAATTAACATCAGGCACCACCCTTGGACCTGAGAAGATAGGAAAGCTCCTAGGACTCGGTGCCCACACTGAAGCCTGAATCAGGGAGGAGAGGGCATTTCATTTACAGCACATGCTATAGCTTGAGGTGAGGTGGCACAGTCTCTCTGCAAAACCAAAACAAGTTTAATACGATCAGACTGCAGAAGGAGATGGAGTGAGGAGAGATAAAGCCAGATGAGGAAATAAGGGTCATGGCATTAAGACATGATAAGAAATCTGGATTTTATCCTGAGCGCAATGGGAAGCCTATCAAGGTTTTTCAGCAAAGGAGGTGGAAAGCCAGACTTGCTTTTTAGAAACATGATTCTCAGTGTATCCAGATAATGGATTGGGAGAGAGAGATGCTAGAAACCAGGAGAGGTTTTGCAGAAAATCTTGAGTGGCTTACGGTGCACAAATAAAGCTTCAAGACAACTCAGGAAAGTTGGCCTAAGGCAGGAGGCTCGCTTGAACCCAGAAGTCTGAGGCAGCAGTGAGCCATGATAGTACCAATGCACTCCAGCCTGGATGTCAGAGCAAGACGCTGCCTCTAAAAAAACTTTAAAAATTAAAAATTAAAAAAGTTGGCCTATTGAAGGTTTTCCACCTCTGACAGACTCCTCTTTCAAACAGGAGAATAAAGAAACTTCTTTATTTTTCCAAAAAAAAAAAAAAAATCCAATAAGGACCTCATAAGGGGTCCAGCTGCCAAGCATAGGAGTTGAGCAGAGCAAAAATGACAGGGAAATAAAACATAAAATGAGAATCTATTTCGCACTTTTAACCGAGGCCAATAGATAGAAAAGAGCTTGCAGTTTTCCATGAATAACAACTGATGCAGGCAATAATGCTAATTATTATTATTACGTATGTTAATAATGATATTCAATTGAACTGCTTAAACAGAGGATGCCTCGGAGGGCAAAGATAGTCTAAGGAATTCCATTATGAAAATTTCATTTTCAGCCCATAGCCTCCTTAATATCACTAATTAATATTCTTTCCCTAAACAAATGCGGGTGGAGGAGGTTGGCAAAGTACAGAAGTAGCACTTATCACAGGAAACGGTAGAGAATAAACAGGATAAAAGGACTGAGGTCACATTTGTGATTATTATCATAATAAAATGCTTCGGAGGAACGACTTGGCAAAGCTTACCTGCACCATATGCCTGGCAGACTAGCAGCTTCAAAACAATCGCAAAATTAAAACAAGTCTTAGGGTCAGTTGCTGAGTTTAAACATTAGGAAAACACTTATTTTCCTCCAGTAACCAACACATGGCAGGTTTTTGTATTCTGGGTTTTGGGGATTCGGTTTTGGTTTTGTTTTTTCATTAGCTTGGTTTTGATTGTATGTTTGCTTTACATGCTGGCATTTAATTCTGTAACCAGGTTTCCTCTGTCTCGTTCACAATCTTTTTCAAATATACACCTGAGAGCAGCGGATTCCTGGTGCCGCTGAGGCAGTGACTCACAGGAGTTAAAAGTGTGAGCTCTAGAGTCTGTGGAATGTGTTCAACTTCTGATTCTGCTCTTTAACCAGCTATGGCCTTAATCGCTCCATGCTTCCATTTCCTCATCTATAAAATGGGTATGACAGGACCATCTAACCTTGTAGGATTTTAAAGGATAATTGTGCTGAGACAATTTAGCCTGGCACTTGACATACATTTCAGTAAGTGGTAGTTATTATGGAATTATTATGCTGCATCCCTTCCCCTGCCCACATTGACAAATAACCCACACTAAATCAGATCCTACACCTAGACCACTGGCTTTCAACAAATGTGTTTTTTGTATATGAAAGAATACATGATCCTGGCAACTATTCTGGTCACTTCAAATCCTCACCCAGCTTTTGGAACCATCTTACTTTCACTAGTGTAAATAATAAGTGGGTGGTCCTGTGTGTCAATCATATAAGTCCCATGTCACAGAGAGAGAGAGAGAGAGAGAGAGATTAAATCTCTGGAAAGGGACAAAGATGGAACAGAGCCTCAGACCATTAACCTAGAGAGCAGGGGTCAGAGGGAAGGGAAAATGTCAATCATTTCTTAAGTGTGCTCTGGGAAGAAAGTTTAAAATATAGATAGTAAAGGATTCTTTGGGGCTTTAGGGCAACAGTAAATGTTGCCATTCATTACTAATAATAACCATTATAATAACCACCACCCATCACGTGTTTACTATGTGCCAGGTATTTCTTTGGCTTAGTGCTTTAAATACATTATCTCATTTAATCGTCATGACAGTACTATCAGGTCTAGATTTATTATATTCTCTATCTTATTTTAAGGAAATTGGAAGCCTAGAGATGATGAGTAATTTTCCCAGATTATCCGCCTGGGTGTCTGGTTCTAAAAACCCAAGTATTTAACCACTATGCTATATCACCTCTCAAGTAAATAGAGACCTTTAGACAAACATCGTGAGAGTATCACCTATATTAGTTTCCTAGGACTTCTATAAAAACAAAGACCACAAATTAGGTGACTTGAACAACAGAAATGTATTGTTTCACAGTTCTAGAGGCTAGGAGTCTGAGATCAAAGTACTGGCAGGGTAGGTTCCTTTTTTTTTTTTTTTTTTTTTTTTTTTTGAGACGGAGTCTCATTCTGTCACCCAGGCTGGAGTGCAATGGTGTGATCTCACTGCAACCTCCACCTCCCAGGTTCAAGCGATTCTCCTGCCTCAGCCTCCCAAGTAGCTGGGATTACAGGTGCGTGCCACCATGCCCGGCTAATTTTGTATTTTTAGTAGAGACATGGTTTCACCATGTTGGCCAGGCTGGTCTTGAGCTGACCTCAGGTGATCCGCCCGCCTTGGCCTCCCAAAGTGCTGAGATTACAGGCGCGAGCCACAGCGCCCGGCCGGATAGTTTCCTTCTGTGGGCTGTGAGAAAGAATCCGTCCCGTGCCTCTCTCATAGCTTTGGTGGTTTGTTGGCAATTTGGGGCATTTCTTGGCTTCTAGACCTCTGCCTTAATCTCCATGTGGAGTTCTTTTGTGTGCGTCTGTCTCCAAATTCCCTCTTTTAATGAAGACAACAATCATATTGAATTAGGGCCCCAGCCTACTCCAGTACAACCTCATCTTCACTAATTATATCCCCAAGAAACCTATTTTCAAAGAAGGTCACATTCTGAGGTACTGGGGGATAGAATTTCCACATACAAATTTGGGTAGATATAATTCAACCCATAACCTCACTCATAAGCATTTGTCTCTGCTGATTATTCCTTCATCTTCCAACCCAGGGGCACAGGGGAGGGGGCAGGGAGGAGCCCAGGGTCTCCACACACGCACTTGCTGCAAGACATAACTCTTCATTTCAAACCCCACAGTGCCGTTTGTCCTACATGAGAAAGGAGAGTTGAAAAGGGATACAGTGCAAAAGATGTCAAACCCAAGATAAATGTTTCCTCAGATGCAATGACTTCCAGAGATTTGGAGTCGTAAGTTTTTGAAAAATGGACACATGAGGAACAAAGGTTGAGTTTTCTGAAATCATTGATAACCCCCAAGACAACACCCAGCTTTCTCCCATGATTATAAATGGGGGGATTTGAAATGGAACTTCTATTGTGTGGCTTTCAAAGCCCACGATGGCCCAGGAGTAGTGAATCATTTCTAAGGTAAAGCACTTCCTCTGAACTCAGGGGAAGCAGAAGTAGGCAGATAAGAAATGGTAATGCAGGAGGCAGATTTATGAACAACCTGAAATGTGAACATTTTTTTTCATATTCCATAAGATGGACCAGTCCTGTGGCCCATGTGGGAGTATAAGATTAAACACCAAAAATAAAATGTCTTAGCATTTCCCAAATTCACACAGGCAATGTCACATAGGCCCCTCCCCAGTAAACAATAGACATGATGTAAAATGCAGATTCTTTTGTCTGGCAATGAACATAAGCAGATGAACATTTGTTCATTCTTTCAACAATTGCTTCCTGAGTGACTGTCATATGCTGGGCTCTGTCCCAGGTGCTGAAAATAAATATCTCGAGTAGGGTTTACAGATTAGGTGGATACCAAACTCTGAATAATTAAATCATAGCTCTACAAAGGAATTCAGGGCAGTCATTTATGCAGACAGAAGAATGGAAAGGGAGATAGAGGAAAGTGCATCTTGTGTATTTCTATCAGGTGTTATCTAATGAATTCCTCACAGCATCCTTTCAAGATGGTGTCTTTCCTGCAAACCATTATTATTAATCTCATTGTTACCATTCTGTGGCAACCCTCAGTGACTGAATTTCTCCTCTTTTGGTCTAGCATATATACCACTAGGAACTATCATTTTGCTTTTGAGCTCCTCCTATCTAGCTGAAGACAAAGTTATTCAAGGAAGAAGCTAGCTCCCTGCCTTGGAGAAACAGTCTTGAAGAAACCATAGATGTATGAAAAGACTATTTCCATTAACAAAGGGAATAAGATCAGGAAATATTTTTGATCTTACTATATGACCTAAGCATATATCCCAGAGAAATTTTTTAAAAAGTACTCAAACAAATACTTGTACATGAATGATCCTGGTAGCTCTATTCACAATAGCCAAAAGATGGAAAGAGCTCAAATGTCCATAAATGGAAGACTGGATAAATACATTGTGGTATAATACATACATACAATTAACTATTACTTAGCCATAAGAAACTAATATATGCTACAATGGGGATGAACCTCAAAAGTATTATAAGTGTAAGAAGACATAAAAGGTGTATAATTCCATGTATATGAAATATCCAGAATAGGTATATCCACAAATGCAGAAAGCAGGTTGGTAGTACCCCTTTCTGGGGAAAGAGAAAAATGAAGAGTAACTGTTTAATGGGTACAGGTTTTTATTTGGGGGTGATGAAGCTATTTTGGAAAAAGGCAGAGGTGGTCATATAACACTGTGAAGGTACTAAATGCCACTAATTTGTTCACCTTAAAATGATCAATTTTGTCATGTGAATTTAACCTCTATAACACAGGGTACTTCAAAAAATAGACCTTCAATAAATGTTTGTAGAATGAATGAACAATAAACAAAGGAATGTATGTGGTCTTGGCAAACGGCTCATACTGAAAGGTGGTCTATGAAAAGAGACTTTGTAAGTGGAGATGGTGTTGACCAGCAGAGTCTAAAATGATTCTTAGTGGCCTTGGCTCGGTTTTATTATTCTGTTCATGGAGAACAGGAATCAGAGCCTAGGGTTCTATCCAGGAGGAAAAAAATCTTCCTGTCTTGGAATTTTCAGAACCTAGTGTCTTCCTACATAGCAAAAGACATTTCTGGCTGCCAGGAGGGAGTAAAGCCAGTGGGAGTTAGTCCCATCTGCCTGCAGAGAGGCAGAAACATTATCTGTCTAAATTCTTCTTCATCAGAAAGTCTTATGGCTGGGGGCGCTTCCCAGCTCTCATTGTGACCTAGCCTTAGGACCACATTAAAGAGCACTACCATGCCGCAGAGAGGGGGTTGGAGGGAGGAGACTGGCTGCCAGACTGAAACTAAATTAAAAATAAAGCTCCCCTTATTAAATTCATAATTATTGTGAAGCTGTGAAATCTTATTTTAAACCTCTGGCTCCTTTCTTTGTCCAGAGTAGAGGCTGCCTGCTTCTGAATCCCTATTTTGCTTTATGGACAATTTCTTTTTAGCATTCTGAGCATTTAACCTTGAAAAATAGTGTTGTTTTGCTGCTGTATTTTCTGATTGTTAGTCTCCAGGCATCTCCATGGCATCTTTATAAATCTGCAGGAGCTGGTAAATATTTCTTGCCGACCAGCCGCTGAAATCTGAAAATACCAGCTCACTTTTTAGCTGTCAGGCAATTAATGTAATTCAAAGGAAATGAAAGGTGTGGGCAACTGGGACTGCTTTTAATAACAGGAGGGTTCCTGGCTCAGGCTTAGAAACACAAGAGAGAAGAATCAATAAAAGACTAACAGAAAGGGTAGAAGAGGGCGTGGAGTTCTCTAGAAACATTTTGTCAGCATCCTGGCAATGCTGCAAATCTGTGCCAAGAGAAACTGATAAATGCAGCTACTGATGATCGACTTGGAGATGAGTCAAACTTCGAGGCCTGGGCCAGGGCATCCACTGGCCTAAAGGGTGCCTTTGTGTAAAATGGGAAACGATACCCCATCTGGGTAGCTGAATTAGGAGAAAGTGCTCCCTGAGTATAGATGCAGCCCCACGCCAAGGCACACAGCTTGGTGGGCAGAGTGCTACTGGATTTCAGCCTTCTTCCTCCAAATTTATTCTTATGGCCAGCAGCCTTCGTGCAGCGTACAAACTGAACATCGCTATCCAGATCAATTCCCACTTCCCTGTTTCTTGGATAATATTGGTTTTCCATTCTTCCCTGCTAAGTCAGGAATCAACTACATTGGCTTTGGACCCCAAAGGTGATTTAAGTGTAGTTGGATTCATAGGAGGAGATAGACTATGGAGAAGGAGGAGGAGCTCTCACATATGGCAATGCTATTTTGTTTCTCAAAGACAACAGGCTAGAAGAGGAAAAAGTCTTTCCTTCTAGTGAGGTATAGACTAGTCACTAAAGAAATACAATTTTCCAAGCATGGGAATGATAATTCTATCAATATCTGCCACCTTTCATATACTTCTTTTTTTTTAATATACATGGAGTCTCACTCTGTTTCCCAGGCTGGAGTGCACTGGCACAATCTTGGCTCACTGCAACCTCTGCCTCCTGAGTTCAAGTGATTCTCCTGCCTCAGCCTCCCAAGTAGCTGGGATTACAGGCGTGCGCCACCATACCCGGCTAATTTTTGTATTTTTAGTAGAGACGGGGTTTCACCATGTTAGCCAGGTTGGTCTCAAACTTCTGACCTTGGGTGATCCGCCTGCCTCAGCCTCCCAAAGTCCTGGGATTGAAGGCATGAGCCACCGTGCCCAGCTCATATACTTCTTACATGGCAGTCAAGGTTACACAATGCATAGAGCACAAATCATATTCTACTGTATATAAATAATGCCTCTCCTGACTACATGGATTACAATGTCATTGCTGCCCCCGGAGTTGTGCAATATGGCAACCTTGAGTCCCATAGGCAGTGCATCGGGGGAGGCCTACAGAGTATATTAGGGTACATGGATGAACCTACTTCCCAAGAGAAAGCAAGATTTCAAAACCCAGTTGATCAAAATAAATACAAAATCATCAAATGTATTTTGATATATCAATAAATGTTTAGCAAACAAAAAGTCCATCTATAATCATATTTTTAAATCAAATATCCAGGAGTAAATCTAGCAAAATATGTGCAAGACTGCTTCATGGAAAACTCTAAGATATTTTTGATAAAAATGTTTAAACACCTAAGTAAATGAAGGGATAAACCAAGGTCCTGGACTGGGGGACTCCGACTCCATGCTGTAGTAGCACTGTAGTAATATTAATTGTCTGCAAACTGATCTACAGATTTAATACAACTCCAGTCAAATTCCCAGCCTGTGCTGTTTGTTTGTTTTGGAAATTAGAAGCCGATTTTTAAATTTATATGTAAAGGCAGAGTCAAGACTAGCCAAGACAATCTTAGAGAATGACAACGTAGAAGGAAACGCTCTACCAGGTATTAAGACTTATTACAATGATAGACATTAAGAAAGTGGTACTGGTGGCTGGGCATGGTGGCTCATGCCTGTAATCCCAGCACTTTGGGAAGCCGAGGCAGGCAGATCACCTGAGGCCAGGAGTTCGAGACCAGCCTGGCCAACATGGTGAGACCCTGTCTCTACTAAAAATGCAAAAATTAGCTGGGCGTGGTGGCGTGCGCCTGTAATCCCAGCTACTCAGGAGGCTGAAGCAGGGGAATCACTTGAACCCAAAAGACGGAGGTTGCAGTGAGCGGAGATCGTGCCACTGCACTCTAACCTGGGCAACAGGGCGAGATTCCGACTCAAAAAAAAAAAAAAGAAAGAAAGAAAGAAAAGAAAAAGAAAGTGGTGTTGGCTTGAAAACAAACAATGGAAGATAATTGAGTCCAGAAATAGACCTTTGCATCTATTAACATGTGATTTATGATAAAATGGCAGAACAGTGAAGAAATAAGTCTTTTCAATAAAATGGTGCTGGGTCAACTGGATAAAACATGGTAAAAAAACAAAACTTGAGCCCTTCTTCACATCATACCTAAAAACAAATCCCAAATGGTATGTAGGTTTAGATGTAGAAGGTAAAACAAGCTTCCAGATGATAACATCAGAGTGTATCTATCTTCATTACTTTAAGGAGGAAAAGATTTCTTGGACAAGCCACAGAGAGTACTAATCATAAAGCAAACAACTGATAAACTTTTAATTTTAAAATTAAACTTTTGAAATTAAGAACATTTGTGTATTAAAAAAAAAAACCACACTATTACAAAAGTGAAAAGGGCCGGGCATGGTGACTCACGCCTGTAATCCCAGCTACTTGGGAGGCTGAAGCAAGAGTATTGTTTGAGGCCAGGAGTTTAAGGCCAGCCTAGGAAACATAGCAAGACCCCCATCTCTACAAAAATAAAAATTAAAAACTAGCCAGGTGCGGTGGCACATACCTGTAGTCCCAGCTACTCAGGAGGCTGAGTTGGGAGGATTGCTTGAGCCCAGGAGTTCAAGGTTGCAGTAAGCTATAATCACACCACTGCATTCTGGCCTAGATGACAAAGCAAGACCCCCTTCTCTTATTTAAAAAAAAAAAAAAAGTGAAAAGGTAAGCCTTATAGTGGGAAGAGATAATTGCAACATGTAAATGAAAAGGGATTCATACCAGATTACAAAATAATTTCTAAATCAAAACAAAAAACTACAGAAAAATGAAAAAAAGACTTGAACAGACAACAGATACTTCACAAAACAAGGATACCTAAATTGCCAGTAGGCAGATAAAAAGGTGTTCAACCTCATTAGTCTTTGGCAAATGCAAGATAAAATCATTATCAGATGCCACTACATACCCACTAGAATGGCTAAAATTTTAAAAAGACTAACACTATCAAGCACTGAGAGCAATGTAGAGGAACTAGAACTCCCATTATGCTTCTAGTGGGAGTTTAACACAAGCACTTTAGAAAACTGTTTAGCAGCATCTACTACATTTGAACATATGCTAATTCTATGACTCAGAAATTTATATTCTAGATGTATGTCCAACTATATTTACATATAGCCAAAAATTAAATATAAATTTTTTCATAGCAACACTTTAAATAATAGTCAAAACACTGGAAATAACATAAATATACAACAATAAAATGAATAAATAAATGGTAGTATAGTCACATGATGGAATACTACACAGCAATGAAAACTGACTATGGCTACATGCAAATACCTGGACGAATCTCATAACCATGTACAAAATAAGCAAAGACAAGTTGATTCATATTTCTTGATTCCATTTATATTGTTTTTAAAGTGGTAAAAACTAGTATCTGTGTTAAAACTCAGCATAGAAGTTACTTTTTGAGAAAAGAGGACACTATGGCATTTTTGAGATGCTGGTTATGCAAGCATGTTCACATTGTGATAATATATTGAGCCATATCCTTATAGCTTGTGCACTTTTCTTTAAATAGATTATATTTTACTTAAGTATTTTTTAAAAAGATTTTTAAACCCATTTCAAAGGCCATATCTGGGAAGCCTTCCCAGAACATGCAGATAGATTTAATTACTCCCTCATTGATATCTTGGACTTATTTAGGTTGTTATACTTCGAACAGTCTATTATAATTTGTGTTCTTCCATGCAGTTCTTCCCTGTTACACATGAAATTCTTGAGTTAAGAGCAATATGGATATTTATTGGGATGTTTGGTTGCCATTGTTTGTTTGCATTGTTTTTTGCCCACAGCATCATATGTTTTCCCATTCTAACAGAGCCCTAGTTTTTCTTTGAGAATTCATTCTTCTACATATAAGGTCTGTGTGATTTGAGTGAGGCTCCATTCCTAGTCACACAGGTAGAGGAGGTGACCCAGGTCCAAGACAATCACTGTGTATCACATGATATATTAGTCTATTCTCACACTGCTACAAATGAATACCTGAGACTAGCTAATTTATAAAGAAAAGAAGTTTAATTGGCTCACAGTTCTGCAGGCTGTACAGGAAGCATAGCAGCTTCTGCTTCTTGGGAAACCTCAGGAAACATTCAATCATGGCGGAAGGGGAAGGGGAAGCTGGTATGTCTTATGTGGCTAGATATAGAGAAAAGATGGGAAGGTGCCACACAATTTTAAATGACCAGATCTCATAATAACTCACTCACTCTCATGAGAGAAGCACCAAGGAGATGGTACTAAATGATTATGAAGGACCATCCCCATGATCCCATCCCCTTACACTTGGCCCCACCTCCAACATTGGGATTACAATTGAACATGAGATTTGGGTGGCGCACAGATCCAAACCATATCACATGACCTAAACTGATCTAATCAGACTGAAATTCATTCTGGATTAGAATCAATTTCAGGATTTTTGTGGAAAATACCAAGCCACAGATGCTCATCTTTTACTGAGCATGAAACTGAAAAATGAGGTTTCAGGAGCTACTGTCAGACACCTTGAAACCATGAGAAAGAGTCTTCCTGAAAATGGAGCCAACACTGAGGAAAAGTCAGGATAGAAAGCCCCGAAGGAAACCCATGCTTGTTTGGTCAACCGTGTTTCAGAAATGTGTGAGGTGGCCAGACGCAGTGGTTCACACCTGTAATCCCAGCACTTTGGGAGGCCAAGGCAGGCAGATCACTTGAGGCCAGGAGTTCGATACCAGCCTGACCAACAAGGCAAAACCCCATCTCTACTAAAAATACAAAAATCAGCCAAATGTGGTGGTATGCACCTGTAGTCCCAGCTATTTGGGAGGCTGAGGTGGGAGGATTGCTTGAACCTGGGAGGCGGAGGTTGCAGTGAACTGAAACAATGCCACTGCACTCCAGCCTGGGTGACAGAGCAAGACTCTGTCTCAAAACAAAAACAAATGTGTGAGGCAATTTAGTAGAGAAAGGATTGTCTTTTCAAAAATGGTGATGAATTGGATAACTATTTGCAAAAAAAAATAAAGAACTAAACCTCAACAAACACCTTATATAAAAATTAAACTCTAAGTGGATTAAAAAGCTAAATGTAAAATCTAAATCTATAAAATTTCTAGAAGAAAACATAGAATAAAATTTTTATGACCATGATTTAGGCAAAGATTTATTAGTTAGAACATGAAAAGCATCATCCATAAAAGAGAGAATGGATAAGTTGGACTTCATCAACATTTTACACTTCTGCTCCTCAAAAGACACTGTTAACATATTAAAAGGCAAGCCACGTTTTAAAAATGCAAGCCACTGGGATAAAAGTATTTGCAAAATACATATCTGATAAAGGATTTACATCTGGAATATATTTTTAAAACTCTCAAAGCCCAATAATGAAACAATAATACAATTTTTATCTAATGTTATGTTATTTTATGTCTCTGGAGCTCTATGTTCATTTACATGTTTTAGATTTTTTTTAACAAGTTCGACTTTTATTTTAGATTCAGGGGGTATATGTGCAAGTTTGTTACATGGGTATCTTGTTTAATGCTGAGGTTTAGGGTACAGCTGATCCCGTCACCAAGGTAGTAAGCATAGTACCCAATAGTTTTTCAACACTCACCTTCCTCCCTCCCCCACCCAGTAGTCCCCAGTGTTTATTGTTGCCATCTTTATGTCCATGACTACCCAATGTTTAGTTCTTACATATGAGTGAGAACATGTGGTATTTGGTCTTCTGTTCCTGCATTAATTTGCTTAGAGTAATGGCCTTCAGCCACATCCACGTTGTTGCAAAGGACATGATTTCATTCTTTTTTATGGCTGTGTAGGTTTTTTTAAAATAAGCCTCAGTTTCTAGTTATTGTTGTTTCTACTTGCTCAAACAACTTATGAGGGTTCTATCTAAGAATAACATTTATCCCCTGTTAGATTTTTCCTGCTTTCTCTTGCGGGCATTTAGTGGTATAAATTTCCCTCTACATGCTGCTTTTAATGTGTCCCAGAGATTCTGGTACATTGTGTCTTTGTTCTCATTGGTTTCAAAGAACATCTTTATTTCTGCCTTCATTTAGTTATTTACCCAGTAGTCATTCAGGAGCAGGTTGTTCAGTTTCCAGGTAGTTGTGCGGTTCTGAGTGAGTTTCTTAATCCTAACTTCTAATTTGATTGCACTGTGTCCGAGAGATAGTTTGTGGTGATTTCTGTTCTTTTACATTTGCTGAGGAGTGCTTTACTTCCAATTATGTGGTCAATTTTAGAATAAGTGGGATGTGATACTGAGAAGGATGTATATTCTGTTGATTTGGGGTGGAGAGTTCTGGAGATGTCTATTAGGTCTGCTTGGTGCAGAGCTGAGTTAAAGTCCTGGATATCCTTGTTAACCTTCTGTCTCGTTGATGTGTCTAATATTGACAGCGGGGTGTTAAAGTCTCCCGTGACACCCTAACATCACAACTAAAAGAACTAGAGAAGCAAGAGCAAACAAATTCAAAAGCTAGCAGAAGGCAAGAAATAACTAAGATCAGAGCAGAACTGAAAGAGATAGAGACACAAAAAAACCCTTCAAAAAAATCAATGATTCCAGGAGCTGGTTTTTTGAAAAGATCAACAAAATTGATAGACCACTAGCAAGACTAATAAAGAAGAAAAGAGAGAAGAATTAAATAGACACAATAAAAAGTGATAAAGGGGATATCACCACCGATCCCACAGAAATACAAACTACCATCAGAGAATACTATAAACACCCCCACGCAAATAAACTAGAAAATCTAGAAGAAATGGATAAATTCCTGGACACATACACCCTTCCAAGGCTAAACCAGGAAGAAGCTGAATATCTGAATAGACCAATAACAGGTTCTGAAATTGAGGCAATAATTAATAGCTTACCAACCAAAAACAGTCCAGGACCAGACAGATTCACAGCCAATTTCTACCAGAGGTACAAAGAGGAACTGGTACCATTCCTTCTGAAACTATTCCAATCAATAGAAAAAGAGGGAATCCTCCCTAACTCATTTTATGAAGCCAGCATCAACCTGATACCAAAGCCTGGCAGAGACACAACAAAAAAAAGAGAATTTTAGACCAATATCCCTGATGAACATTGATGCGAAAATCCTCAATAAAATACTGGCAAACCGAATCCAGCAGCACATCAAAAAGCTTATCCACCATGATCAAGTTGGCTTCAACCCTGGGACGCAAGGCTGGTTCAACATACGCAAATCAATAAACGTAATCCATCACATAAACAGAACCAATGACAAAAACCACATGATTATCTCAATAGATGCAGAAAAGGCCTTTGACAAAATTCAACAGCGCTTCATGCTAAAACCTCTCAATAAACTAGGTGTTGATGGGACATATCTCAAAATAATGAGAGCTATTTATGACAAACCCACAGCCAATATCATAATGAATGGGCAAAAACTGGAAGCATTCCCTTTGAAAACTGGCACAAGACAGGGATGCCCTCTCTCACCACTCCTATTCAACACAGTATTGGAAGTTCTGGCCAGGGCAATCAGGCAACAGAAAGAAAGAAAGGGTATTCAATTAGGAAAAGAGGAAGTCAAATTGACCCTGTTTGCAGATGACATGATTGTATATTTAAAAAACCCCATCGTCTCAGCCCAAAATCTCCTTAAGCTGATAAGCAACTTCAGCAAAATCTCAGGATACAAAGTCAATGTGCAAAAATCACAAGCATTCCTGTACACCAAGAACAGAAAGAGAGCCAAGTCATGAGTGAACTCCCATTCACAATTGCTTCAAAGAGAATAAAATACCTAGGAATCCAACTTACAAGGGATGTGAAGGACCTCTTCAAGGAGAACTACAAACCACTGCTCAACGAAATAAAAGAGGACACAAACAAATGAAAGAACATTCCATGCTCATGGATAGGAAGAATCAATATCGTGAAAATGGCCATACTGCCAAAGGTAATTTATAGATTCAATGCCATCCCCATCAAGCTACAAATGACTTTCTTCATAGAAGTGGAAAAAACTACTTTAAAGTTCATATGGAACCAAAAAAGAGCCTTTAGAGCCAAGACAATCCTAAGCAAAAAGAACAAAGCTGAAGGCATCACACACCTGACTTTACACTACAAGGTTATAGTAACCAAAACAGCATGGTACTGGTACCAAAACAGAGATACAGACCAATGGAACAGAACAGAGTCCTCAGAAATAACACCACACATCTATAACCATCTGATCTTTGACAAACCTGACAAAAACAAGAAATGGGGAAAGGATTCCCTATTTAATACATGGTGCTGGGAAAACTGGCTAGCCATGTTCGGAAAGCTGAAACTGGATCCCTTCCTTACGCCTTATACAAAAATTAATTCAAGATGGATTAAAGACTTAAATGTTAGACCTAAAACCATGAAAACCCTAGAAGAAAACCTAGACAATACCATTCAGGACATAGGCATGGGCAAGGACTTTATGACTAAAACACCAAAAGCAATGGCAACAAAAGCCAAAATAGACAAACGGGATCTAATTAAAGAGCTTCTGCACAGCAAAAGAAACTACCATCAGAGTGAACAGACAACCTACAGAGTGGGAGAAAATTTTTGCCATCTACCCATCTGACAAAGGGCTAATATCCAGAATCTACAAAGAACTCACACAAATTTACAAGAAAAAAACAAACAACCCTATCAAAAAGTAGGCAAAGGATATGAACAGACACTTCTCAAAGGAAAACATTTATGCAGCCAACAGACACATGAAAAAATGCTCATCTTCACTGGCCATCAGAGAAATGTAAATCAAAACCACAATGAAATACCATCTCATGCCAGTTAAAATGGTGATCATTAAAATGTCAGGAAACAACAGATGCTGGAGAGGATGTGGAAAAATAGGAATGCTTTTACACTGTTGGTGGGAGTGCAAACTAGTTCAACCATTGTGGAAGACAGTGTGGCGATTCCTCAAGGATCTAGAACTAGAAATACCATTTGACCCAGCAATCCCATTACAGGGTATATACCCAAAGGACTATAAATCATGCTGCTATAAAGACACATGCACACGTATGTTTATTGCGGCACTACTCACAATAGCAAAGACTTGGAACCAACCCAAATGTCCATCAGTCTTGACTGGATTAAGAAAATGTGGCACATATACACCATGGAACACTTTGCAGCCATAAAAAAGGATGAGTTCATGTCCTTTGCAGGGACATGGATGAAGCTGGAAACCATCATTCTCAGCAAACTATCACAAAGACAGAAAACCAAACACTGCATGTTCTCACTCATAGGTGGGAACCAGACAATGAGAACACTTGGACACAGGGCGAGGAACATCACACACCGGGACCTGTCGGGGGGTGGGGGACTGGGGGAGGGATAGCATTAGGAGAAATACCTAATGTAAATGATGAGTTCATGGGTGCAGCAAACCAACATGGCACATATATACCTATGTATCAAACCTGCACATTGTGCACATGTACCCTAGAACTTAAAGTATAATAATAATTTTAAAAAAGAATAACATTTATCCTCAAAATAGGTAAGTACACAATTATTAAAATGGGAAAAGATTTGCATGGACACTTCCCCAAGGAGGACATACAGATAGCACATAAACACATTAGGATGACTGACATCATTAGTTATCAGGAAAATGTAACTTAAAAGTACCTTGAGATAGCACTGCACACCTATTAGAATAGCTAAAATAAACCTTAAAAGGTGAGTGAGAACAAGTACTGGTGAGAATAGGAAGTAACTTTTATTTTATTTTATTTTATTTTATTATTTTTAGTAGAGATGGGGTTTCACTGTTTTGACCAGGCTAGTCTCAAACTCCTGGCCACAGGTGATCCACCCACCTCTACCTCCCAAAGTGCTGGGATTACAGGGGTGAGCCACTGTGCCCAGCACTGGTACAACCCATTTTGGAAAACAAATTGGTAGTTTCTTGTAAAATTAAATACAGATTTACTGTATCACTAAGCAACTTCCCTACTAGGTGTTTACCAGAACAATGAAAACTTACATTCACACACACACAAATAAAAAACATATGCACAAACGTTTCTAGTAGTTTTATTCACAGTTGCCAAAAATGGTAACAAATCAAATGTCCTGCAATTGGTTAATAGGTTTTAAAAATCACTGTACATCTGTACAATGGGCTACTCAGTGATAAAAAGAAATCAGAGGTGTGATTACACAGATGACTCCTACACAAAGGCAGGATAGTGAGTAACAGAGGCCAGACACATAATCTTACGAGTACATCTAGACTACTTAATTCCATTTAAAAGATATTCTGAAAAAGGCAAAACTATAGGTACTGAAAAGAGATGAGTGGTTGTCAGGGGCTGAGGGTAGCAGGAGAAGTTGACTACAAAGGGACAAGAAAAAAATTAGGGAGGGGGGATTGTGGAAATGTTCTATATCCCGATTATGTTGGTGAGTACACAACTGCACGTTTATCAAAACTCACTAAACTGTGTACGAAAAGGGTACCATACCCAAGTTACGTCTCAATAACCTTAACCAAAAAAGTAAACAAATAAAATATTTTGCTGAAGCCCTGAACCCAGCTACACCTGAAGTGAAATTTACTCTTGGAGTTTTCAGCTGTATAAGCTAATACATTCTCTCTTTCCTTAACCACTTGAGTTGGATTTTCTGTTGCTTGTCACTAAAAGAGACCCAACTGTTACACGGGCTCGGTTTACCCAATGTTATAGGCCAGCATCTAGATTTAATGAGGATAAATGGTCTCCCTACAGTTTAAACTTCTCAGAAACCAGAGTTTGTAGTTAGGAATAGCAACGGTATGATATATGCACACGTTATCCCTCCTCTTTGGCCCATGATACTCAATGATCACAACATCCTTCAGAGTAAATTCAGCTTCAGAGATCTTCTTATCAAGACAGTGTACTTTCTCTCATTACTACTTCACTGAAATCATTACTTCTCTCTTCCTGTAGCAGGTAGACTCTAAGATGTCCCCCGATCATCCTCTCCTCTTCACCTTCGTATCTTTGCATGGTTCCTTTTTTTTTGGTATGGACAGGACCTGTGACCTACTTCTAATCAATAGAATATGTCAACAATGATGGGCTGTCACTTCTATAATTAAGTTATGTAAGATTGTAACTTCCAGCCGGGCACAGTGCCTCACGCTTGTAATCCCAGCACTTTGGGAGGCCAGGGCGGGTGGATCATGAGGTCAGGAGATGGAGACCATCCTGGCTAACACGATGAAACCCTGTCTCTACTAAAAATACAAAAATAAAATTAGCTGGGCGTGGTGGCGGGCCCCTGTATTCCCAGCTACTTGGGAGGCTGAGGCAGGAGAATGGCATGAACCCAGGAAGTGGAGCTTGCACTCCACTTGCCGAGATTGGGCCACTGCACTCCAGCCTGGGCGACAGAGCAAGACTCCGTCTCCAGAGGAAAAAAAAAAGATTGTAACTTCCATCTTGCTAGCAGACTCTATTGTCTTCTTGGCTTGCATGGTTTGATGAAGCAAGCTGACATACTAGAGAGGCCTCCATGCCAAGGAACTGAGGGTAGCCTCTAGACAACAGCCAGCTAAGAACTGAGGGCCTCAGTACAACAACCCTTGAGGAACTGAACCCTACTAACAGCCATGGGAACTTGGAAGGGAGTTCATCCCCAGTAGAACCTTCAAATTAAACCTCAGCCAGGTTGACAACCTTAATTGCAGCCTTATCCAAAGACTCTTGACACAGAACACCTAACTAAATTGTGCCTACATTTTTGATCATGGAAATTGTGAGACAACAAATGTGTTTTGTGTTAAGCTGATAAGTTTGGGTGTGATTATCGTGTAGCAACAGATAACTAATACACATCCCCATCATAAACAATTCCAAAAGATGTAGGTAACTATGCACCTCACAGAGAGAATGTTTCATGGTGTTTTCTTGACTGTACACTTATCTGACAATGATTAAATCTCACTCTGCTAACCTCCCTGCAGCCTCTAAGTTTTGCCCTAATTAACTGTGGACTGATTTTCTCAAATGAAAGCAAGTCATCTTCAAGCACATTTTCTTTTCTTTCTGCTTATTTTTTGATACCCTAATAAAGCAAGCTAATCTTGGAAGCTAAGTGGATAATTCTCATCTTATAGATTAAAATTAATTGAGTTGCAGGGAGAGATAAAAGCTTGTCCTTTTATTTGGATGTTCTGGCAAGTTGTACCAGGAATGCCATGGTAACCAAAACTACATTACAGAATTTTTTCTCTTAATCCCACTGTTTAGGTAGAAAAATTTCCATCTCTATTTTCCCTCTTTTAGAAAATTATAAATAAAAAGAAACTGAGTTAGCTGGGATGGAAAAGTAAAGCTGGTTTTTGCCTAATCATCCTCATTACTTCACACACCACAGCTCTTTCCTCTGGCTACTTCTTCACATTAAGCATTTGGCTAATGGCTTCTGTTTCATGTAGAAGAGCATTTATTGCTCTGGTATTTCCCTTTAACACTTCAGCTGGGGATATCATAGAGCAGAGATTTGCAACCACAACCCATGGGCCAAATCTGGCCCACCACATATTTTATAAATAAAATTTTATTAAAACACAGTCACATCCATTCATTTGCACGCTGTCTATGGCTGCTTTCAGACTGTAATGGGAGAGTTGAGTGGTGGTAACAGACAGATGGCCAACAAAACCCAGAATAATTTACTATCAGGCCTTTTGCAGAAAGCATTTGCTGACCCTTATCATTAAAAAAAAATTTGAGAAGCTTCAGAGAGTGAACATCCTTTGGCTACAGGGCATTGCAAGGAACATGAACAGGGATCAGGAGAAGTATATTCTAGGTCTAGCCCTATATAACCCTGCATTAGTCAGTTCTCTGTGCTTCCGTTTACCCATCAAAATTTCAGTAAGTGGACTAGATCAAGTTTCTTCTGGTTTTGAGTAATATATCAACTCAAACAACCTGGGGTATTTTGTTCATGTGAATAGCCCAACTATTTTCATCTGAAATCTTATTATTTTGTTTTTCTTTTCTTGGTTTACCGTGCTAGACAGCTTAAACATGATATTACCAACTTAGAGTCTAAATTCACCATGTCTTCAAAGAAAATAAGAACTAATTCCTATTTGATTGGGCTTTGAGACTAAATGGGACATTACCATTTAGTACAAATGAACCAGAAGAAAGAAGGGAGTTTGTGTAGAGTAACTTTAATTATCACAATCATCATCGTCACATATATTGCACGTAAGATGTTCCAGGTACTGTTCTAAGTGCTTTAAATATTTTAATTCCTTTATACTCTCACAAAAACCTTATGAAATAGGTACTATTATTAATCCCATTTTACAGATAGGGAAGCTGAGGTACAGAGATGTTAAGTAACTTATCCAAGGTCAAGAAGCTGGTAAGTAGCAGAGCCGGGATTCAAACCCCATGCAGTCTGGCTCCAGAGTCCTTTCTATTAACTGACATCCCATATAAAAGAAAGAACATTCCTAGCCTTGACAACATGTCTTCAGCAAAAGCAAAAGAAAGAGAACAGTTTCTCCATCTGCCCCACCCCTTCCAGTCTAAAACAGTATTCCCCAGGTCTATGGGCAGGAGAGCAGATGAGAAAGAGATCCAAGAGTTAGGAATTATGGCTGAACTAAAAGCAACTTCCCTTAGATTTTTGTTTCTTGAGCTCAGACTTCCATCTGCTGGGGGCAGTTTTCACATACCCCAGAGCTGTGTAGCCTACAGACGGTCTCAGTCAAGACACTCCATCAGCTGTCTATCCAGCAATTGTCCATCTATGTCCAAAATTTTGCTCAGTCTGTCTGAACCAAATGTAGAAACAGTCCCTGGACATTTAAAGGGTAGAAGTGGGGGAGGAAGCCTCTGAACTGTATTTCTGAAAGGCTGAATGGAGACAGTTTGAGGGCACACTCTTCCAAGTTGGGCCACGGGTCTATGCAAGCCAGAACCTCAGCAAAAATGAGAATTTACTGAAGAATACTGAGGAACACAAGAAACTCGGGTCCTGAGTTGAATTACAAGTTTTGGGGACTTTAGCGGCAGGAATGCATTCTTACAATATTCAGTGAGCATCTACTGTGTACTGAGCACTGTGTGAACACCGGAAATCCTGAGATGACTAATACTTTTATAATTCCCTAAATAGCAATGCTCCCTCACCCCTAAGCCTTTGCATAGCCTTGTCTCTCTTCCTGGAGTTCCTTCCCCTGACTCCTTCATCTGGCCAAATCCTCACAGTCATGACATTGCTGGGCCTTGCCTCCTCCAGGGGGGCCACGTTGAGGCTGGAATTGTGAACACTTGGTAGCCTTATGTTCTTTCATGAGTTATAGTTTCTCCTTAGCTCAGGCTTTTCAATGGTAAAATGGGAATCCTCACAGATGCATCTAAGGTCATTTGGAAGACTAAACGAAAGCATTATGTAAGGTTTTACCTCAGTGCCTCGTTCTTTAATTGCTCCCACATTGTCTTGAGATCTCCCTTCCAGACCAGGGGCTGTGTCTAATTCATTTCTGTATCCACAGATCCTATCACAGGGTCTGACGCTTAATACATGTTTGATGAAGGAAGAGAGGGAGAGATGCTACTCTTGACTCAAAGTTTTCCCAGTATAAAGGGAAAGACGGATATGTACACAAAGAATGAGAGCCCAGTATGAAAAATGCTATAAAAGAAACATTAAAAAGAGCCTCACAGAATCAAAGAAGAAAGGGCCATCGAGGCTGGTGATCTTGAGAAATACTTTGCAAAGGTAATAGCTGGTTGAGGACTAAGAGCTTGCCAAGCATAGCAGCAGGCAGATTAGAGCATTCTAGGCAAGGAGAATTGTACACTTCATTCCCAAGCACAAGGATTAAATTCTTACAGGGAATGGTAGGTTGGAACAAAAATAAGTGAAAGAGATAGAATAAGGAATATATATCCTTAACATAAAAATGAGTTACAAGGACAAAGATAATGTATGTAAATGTGTGACTATTTTACCTTTAGTAAATAACAGAGAAAAAAGTGGAGAACAAAAAGAGGCCATCAGTGATTTTTATATGTCTTAAATTAGCAGCAATCAGTACTATACAACCCATTTTCTATTTACTGCCTCAAGACGGCAGGAAATTTTTCAGGCTCTCCCTCTGCTTCATCTGCAATAAGAAGCTCACAAATTTGTTTTGCTTTGTTGCAAATAACATGTATGCTGAGAGGCATTTTTCCTCTCTATAACTGTACAGCCATCTAAATGGGTCTTTTCTGGTTTTACAACTTGAATATGTTAACATGCACCCCTCAGGGTCCCCCTTGTATCCCAGAAACAGCACGCTTGTAAAACCTTATTCATGTGATATCCTTAATAGCTGCTGACATTTATTAAGTGTTTAAGATGTGCCAGGCATGGTGCTAAGTGTCTTAGAACTCTTCCAGCCTGTAATCCCCGAGCCTCCCTGTGAAAATACAAGCATCTTAAGAATGCCCCCTACTCTGGCATTTACCTTCAGATGACCGATGAGGAAAGTGAGGATCAGAAACATGAACTTATCCTAGGCCAGCCCACTAGCAAGTGATGGAGGCAGCATTTGGACTCAGGGCTGCCTGATTCCAGACAAAAAGCCTCCAACCATAAAGCTATGCTGCCAATTCCACTTGGCCCGGGTGAGTAGCTCTGTCTCCAGTCTCCTCAATACTCAGATTCTAGAGCCTTAGCTGTCCAGGTGATAACTTCAGGCCGGTTAATACCTGGGGCACTCAGCACCTGTGACACACAGAGTTCAGGAACCTCCTTCTATAGACAGGGGTTTCAGTGCCAAAGCTCTCTCAGGCATCAGTTTGTTTTCCGCCTCCAAGGCTCATTGCAGAAATATCTGCTTCTGCTTCACTATCCTCCTTACCACTCTTTTCCACTCAAAACCTCCAATTTCCTCTTCTCCAATTACACCCAACAGAGGGGGCTCACATTTACCTAGAACCAAAATTCCTCTTCTTCCAAGAAAATGTTCAGTGCCTTTGTTATTTTACAACATGGATATTCATGTCTGCTGTGGCCTAAGAGAAGCAGAGTTGCAATAATCTCTGGGTGGTGTCATGTAGTTGACCCTCTTAATAACAGCATTTTTAAGCAGTTACTGTGTCTGAACTGTGCTTAGTGCTTTGTTGGCATTAGCACCTGGAACTCTCCCAACTACTGTAGGCTGTAGGTATTCTTAGAGCCCCATCTTACAGGTGAGGAAACTAAGGCACAGTCATACAGCAAGCAAAAAGCAAGGAGTGAAAAGTAGCAGAGTAATTGGAGAATACGAATAAAACAATGCTATTCTCCCCTGCAAGTCGGTGCTGAGCAGATAGCCTCTACTTGAGCAGGTCTTCAAAACATGAGCCAGCCTTGGGGAAACAGGCACTCTCGTTTATTGCTAGTGGAATCGCAAAAGGCTACTATCACCATGGAGGATAATTTGGCAACATCTATCAGAATTACATATGCATGAAAAGTTGACCCAGAAATTCCATTTCTAGAAATTTATCCTAAATATATGTAAAAGTATATGCACGTGCCTCATGCAAGTACAAGTTTATTCCTTACAATGTGTTTGGCCTAAGAAATAGTTGGAAAAAATCCAATGTCCCTCTATAGCAGATTGGTTAAATAAAGTATGGTACAACCTACAACAGGTAGTATGGGGCTGGAAATAAAGAATGAGGGAGCTCTCTATGTGCTGATTTGGAATAATCTCCAGGATATATTGGAAAATAAGAAACAAAAGCAAAAGACCCACGGCTCAAAACTGTGTGAAATGAGTCAAAATTAGTATTTGCTGATATATACAAAGAAACCCTGAACAGGTACATAAAAATGATCATGACGTCAGTGATTACTTCTGGGGACGGAGCACTGTAGGCCAAAAAAGACAGAGAAAGAAGGAAGGGTTTTCGCTGTATTTTTTTTTTTTTTACTTTTTACTTTTTGAGCCATATGAATGTATTATCTATATTCCAAAAATATAGACCAGGTGCAGTGGCTCATGCCTTGTAATCCCAACACTTTAGGAGGCCAAGGCAGGAGGGTTGCTTCAGGCCAGGAGTTTGAGACCAGCCTGGGCAATAGAGCAAGACCCCATCTCTACAAAAAAAATTAAAAACTAGCCAGTCATGGTGGTATGTGTCTGTCGTCCTAGCTACTCAGGAGGCTGAGGTGGGAGAATTGCTTGAGCTCAAGAGTTCGAGGCTGCAGTAAGTGATAATTGCACCACTAAACTCCTGCCTGGATCACGAGCAAGACCCTGGCTCTTTTAAATGAATGAATGAATGAATGAATGAATGAATGAATGAATGAAAATGTGTTCACAAAAGGAAGTCATCCTGAGTTTCACCAATTAAAAAAAGGTATCCAGAGATCAGATATTTCTACATCAGATTTTACACCTCTCCCAATCACAACACCCATTCTTAAGTGGAAAATTAGAGCTAGATCCTCTAAAAAATTTTAGCAAAGGGAACATGGTTAAATTCCTATTTTGTACATCAGATGCTTTTAAGTAGCTTTACAACCCCCTCCAAATGCTGATATTACTGAAATGTAAATGATTATGTTAATAGCAGCTGCATCTTAATAATTGATGATCTGTTTGCTTAACATTCAGTTATTACTTGATGTAAGAAGTCTCTAGTGCAAAATATTCTCTGCTAATGGCCCAAATAAAATTGATCACGTGAGGTGAATGGTTTGTTTTTCACTTTTCCTATTCAAACACCACCGTGTGTGCTGAGTTCTTTATCTGTAGATAAGAATATTTCAGAATATGTACCTGTGACAATGCTTTTGGCCCACAGATGAAAACTGTCTGTTAGGAAAATAATGCTTGCATCCTCAAATAAAATGGAAAAGCCTATCACCACTTAACTCATAAAAGTTTCAACCCTTAGGATTATTCACAGAATGGTCAAATCAGAAGTTGAGAAAACACCATTTAGATAAGAAATATGGAGAGAAGTTTCCACAGGCATCCAAAGGGATGGTTTATGCATTCCGAGATGCTATCCAGGTGTTTCAGTCCTGAAGTTCTTCTCTGAACCTCTGTCTCCCCACATACATCTGCAAGGCCACCCTTAGACCTGAGCAACAGGGGCTCCTGTCCTGGGCCACTCAGTCACCTGGGACCTGGACCTAGCCCTGACAAAACGCATTGATTACTCCAAACACCCACCCTAATACATAACACCATTCAGGCCCCAGAGAAGCACTGCCTCCCAGATCTTGATCTCTGTCCTCAAAACAAAAGGCAACTGTGCCCAAACACCTTGAAGGTTCATGTGCAGTACTACAGCCTAAAGGAGAGATGGGTACTGCTCTGGTGTGCAGGGGTCACAAAAGCACTTAGGAAAGAAAAGGACAAATTAACTTGTCAAATATTTCCTCTCAAATAGAGTGGGTAATAGATTCTTGCAGAGCAGAACATAATTTCCCCATAGTGCTGACTGCCTGTTTCTTGCTTCTCTTTGTGTTCTAATTTGTGGTTCTAGAATCAGTATGGCATTTTTGACAGTTGCATATTACGGCCACGGAAAATGTTGCAGTAGAAAGAATTCATGGCCAGGTGCGGTGGCTCACACCTGTAATCCCAGCAATTTGGGAGGCCGAGGCTGGAGGATTGTTTGAGCCCAGGAGTTCAAGAACAGTTTGGGCAACATGATGAAATTCCATCTCTACAAAAATGCAAAAATTAACCAGGCGTGGTGGTGCACACCTGTAGTCTCAGCTACTCAGGAGGCTAAGGCAGAAGGATTGATAGAGCTCAGAGGGTCAAGGCTGCAACGAGCCATGATTGTGCCACTGCACTTCAGCCTTGGCAACAGAATGATGCCCTGTTTCAAAAAAAATGTACTCTTAATTATGTATATTCATAAATCTGGCCATAATACTGAATGACTCTTGAAACTGACAACTGAACAGACATAGAAAACTAGAATTATGAATAGTTTTTAAATAAAAATATGTAATAAGATCTAAATCAAATTTCAAAAATTAAATTTCAACTTTCATTTTTTTAATTGTTTAATATTTAATTGTTAATACTAACATAATTTTCATTGTACCTTTTAATTGTAATAAATAATTTCAAATACCTAAAGAAAAAATAATGTTTTGAAAACATATACGAAAAATAACTTTAATTTTTCCATTTTATCTTTACTATGATATACTTTCTTGGTGAAAATATATCCAAATAGTTTTAATCCAATAATATTTTATTTTGTAATGACTAAATCATTGCTGTCAATAGAAGCAAATTGGTAGAACTCTTGATTATAAAAACATTATTGGCTGGGCACAGTGGCTCATGCCTGTAGTCCCAGCAACTTGGGAGGCCAAGGCGGGTGGATCACTGGAGGTCAGGAGTTTGAGACCAGCCTGGCCAACATGGCGAAATGCCGTATCTACTCAAAATACAAAAACTAGCCAGGCATGGTGGCTTGCACCTGTAATTCCAGCTACTCTGAAGGCTGAGGCAGGAGAATCACTTGAACGCAAGAGGCAGAGGTTGCAGTGAGCCGAGATCATGCCAGCCTGGGCGACAGAGTGAGACTCGGTCTCAAAAGCAACATTATTAGTGACTTTGATAAAATTAAAGCCAGAGAAAGAAATTTTATGAAATATCTAATTTGTGAATTATATGTGTCTTTTTTCTTTTATTCATCCAAACATTGCCAGCCAGTCCACCAACAGAATATCCAAAAATAACAGGGGTTTAATTGAGTGATGTTTGATATTGTGTCAACTTCCAGTAACATTAGAGCTAAACCTTAGCTCTATTGTATGTTTTAATCTTATCATTATGGAGTTTTGCCAAGGTAAGAGGATATGACATATATTGGTTTATGCTTAAATGTGTAAACATACAGTACACAAGCCTCCATTTTTTTTGTTGTTGTTGTTGTTTGTTTCTTTGTTTGTTTGTTTGAGATAGGGTCCCGCTCTGTCGTATAGGCTGGAGTGCAGTGGTGCAATTCGGCTCAGTGTAGCCTCAACCTCCCAGGCTCAAGAGATCTTCCCACCTCAACCTCCCAAGTAGCTGGGACCACGGGCATGTGCCACAACGCCCAGCTAATTTTGTTTATTTTTTGTAGAGCCAAGGTCTCACTTTGTTGCCCAGGCTGGTCTTGAACTCCTGGGCTCAAGCAATCCTCCCACCTCAACCTCCCAAAGTGCTGGGATTACGGGCATGAGACACCGTGCCTGGACAGATTGTACACTTTAAATGAGTAAATTGCATGGTATGTGAATTACATCGCAATGCTGTAGGAAAAAAGAGAGAGAGAGAAAGAAACAAACATCCGCAGGAGAAGCAAGGATAATCAAATGATTTTGTCTTTGTTGTAGGTCGGGGGGCCGCCCAACTTTGTCCTTGGCCTGATTCCCCGCTGGCTGTCTGCCTCCTGATGTCAGAACTCCCCACCCTGGGAAGAGGGGAAAAAACTCCACTCTAACCTCACCACAATTTAACAGAAAATTAAACTGAAATATGTGTGTGAGCATTAAACCTAGCCCAGCACATCATCTCCCGCAGATTAAAAAGAGCCAGCGAAAATGAAATATTGTTCTCTAAGCTAATATGTAATCTTCATAGACACCATCTTATTAAAGTTTGAGAAGCCATGCCTTGAGGGTAAGCCCACCTATCGATTTACGGGCCTGGCTGGAATTCCTGCTATTAGGTCTCTCATATTTGTTTTGCTCCCTGTCTTGATGCCAGCACTGTCTACCTCCACCTCCCCACTCCCAAAGCTGGCCCCCTGTAACTCTCTAAAATCTCCCTCCTTGGACTAGGGGTGGGGACCACTTTCCCTGCCAACGTCAGGCCTGTGCGTATTAACGGGGCCGTGCGCTTGGATTTGATGGAAGTGGCAGCTTAGACACATAAGCTCCTCATATACAGATGAATAATCACAGATAAAAACTACTTTCAAATATGATTAGGCTCTAACAGAGACAGACAGAGGCCAGAGGGAACGCAGCTCTCAAAGAGCAAGGAGCTACCGGCATCCGAAGCCCAGAATAGGAGATTAAGGCCTCTACAAGAACCCCTGGGACTTTCCTAGGGAAAATATTACAGTGATTCGCAGCATCCTCTGCTCCTCCTCTCTTTCCTCGGGACACCGTCTCCCCGTCCTGAAGCTTTGTGCTATTTCTTTCCGTGGGCTGTCATTTGCCTCTGGGAACAGGACAGCTCTTCCCGCTGTGACTTCTCGACTCTTTAATCCAGGCCGCCTGTCACGGAAACGCACGTGGAAATCCAGCAGGGTTTTTATTTACCATGCTTTCTTCTCACAGATGATAACATGTTTCTTTACTGACAGGCGTGCTTGTTGCCTGTGTCCCCACTGTATCCCAACCCCATGATAACAGCTAAAACACGAGAACTATGTACCAGCTACTTCAAGCCCTTTCAAAATATTAGCTTAGTAAACCTTCATCATAATGATATGAGCTACAAACTATCATTATCCCATTTTACAGATGGGGAAATTAAGCCACAGAGAGGGTAAGGAATTTGCCCAGTGCCACACAGCTAGGGAGTAGCAAAGTTGGGATTTGAACCCAGACATCCTGGCACTAGGAGGCCCAATCCTTAACCATGAAGCCATAGAGTCTCTCAATAATGACTATGTCTCGTATGTCAACTACATGTTAGGCCCTGTTCTGAGAGATTTGTTGCATTAACACATTGAATCCTCTCAAAAAGTTGATGAGGTAGATATATTTATTATCCCCATTTCACAGATGAGGATACTGAGGCTCCCCCAGAAGAGCAGGAATTTTGTATTGTCTGCCTCTATTCTGTTTCTGGACTGATGAATAGCAGTTCCTTAAATACCAGAGTGAATGTCCTCCCATCAACCACTACCCTTTTCCCAGGAGCTTCTCAGGACATTTATTTATAGCTAACCTATTTTGGGAAAAGATTTGAGGCATGTAGGGTTCTAATTCTGGCTCTGTCACTTATGAGCTGTGTGACTTTGGGCAAGTCACTCAACCTCTCTGGGCCTCACTTTGCTCAGTTTAGACCAGGGATAATAATAAAGCCCACATCAAGGAGCTGGAGTGAGGATTCAATGAGATAGAGCAGGTAAGGTGTTTAGCATCTGTGTGGCACAGAACAGGTATAAATGCTGGCTGCCTTTACTGTTACTACTGTCAGAGCTATTGTTTACCACTGCTACAGGCCAAAATGAGTTTTAAAGGGGTGAAAAAATACAATAAGGGGAAATAAGGGAACTAAGTTCTTGAAATTCTTTCTGAACTGGTGCTAGGGTTCCCATCCTCCTGGTTTTCCTACCTAACCAGCTGCCCCTTCTGTGTCCCCTAATGCCTTTCCCAATCCTAGGTCTCCTCTATCTAAGGGATCTTATCCCCTCTTGTGATTTAATCAGCTATAGACCAATAACTCTCAACTATCTCCAGGCTCGTACCTCCTACACCTGCCTACTCCATGTCACTGAGATGTCTAACAGGCATCTCACACAGGGCATGTATCCATCATAATACAGTTGTTGAGGCTTCTTTCATAAACCGAGGCCTCTGAGGGTCTTCCCCCAACATGGCTCCCACCCACAGATTATTCAGCCTCGAGACCTTGGAGTCATCCTCAACTCCTCTCTTTCCTTCCCATCCACATATAATTCAAACCCTGGGAGTTCTACCTTCAAATGTATATGCCAGCTGCAACCACTCCTCACCCCTTCTGCTGACACCACATCATTTCTTGCATCAGATGACTTTGGAAGTCCCCTTGCTGGTCTCCCTCTTCCACTGTGACCACCCCATTGCCAACCTACTCCTGCCACAGTAGCAGGCAGAATCATGTTAAAATAGAAACCATCTTACCTCCTTTCCATTCCAAAGACTGTCATGGTTTCCCCCCACACTTAGGATAAAATCCTAGCTCCTCCTTAGGACCTACAAAGCCCAACATGCCCTGGGTCTGTCATCTCTGACCATTCTCCTCCTCTGTCCAGCAACCGAGATCTTCTTGCTGTCTCTGAAGCAAGCCACAGGGACTGCACTGTCCCCTCCCTCTGCCTGCAACACCCTTCCCCACGCTTTCTTCCTGGTGGCTTCATCTCATCATTCTTCTCTTGCTCAATTGTACTTTCTTGGGGAAGATGATTCTTACATGAATCAATTATTATTAGTATTAGTATCATTTGAAACAAAGTCTTACCCTGTCACCCAGGCTGGAGTACAGCAGCACGATCTTGGATCACTGCAACCTCCACCACCTGGGCTTGAGCGATCCTTCTGCCTCAGCCTCCTGAGTAGCTGGAACCACAGGTGTGCACCACCATGCCTACCTAATTTTTTTTATTTTTAGTAAAGACGGGTTTCACCATGTTGCCCAGGCTGGTCATGAATCAATTATTACAATGGGGCTTGAAACATGATTTTTATTTTATTATTTTTTTTTAGAGACAGGGTCTCTCTCTGTTGCCCAAGCCAGAATGCAGTAGCACGATCACAGCTCACTGCAGCCTCAGCCTCCCCAGGTTCAAGCGATCCTCCCTCCTCAGCCTCCCAAATAGCTGGGACTATAGGTGTGTGCTACTATGCCTGGATAATATTTTTTATTAGTAGTAGTAATGAGGGTCTCACTATGTTTCCTAGGCTGGTCTTGAACTTCTAGGATCAAGTGATCCATCCACTTCAGTCTCCCAAAGTGCTGGGATTACAGGCACGAGCCACCACTCCTGGCCATGATTTTTAATTCTACCGATCCTTTTACAAGGATTAGTTAGCTCCCTAACTAAGAGCTTTCCTCCTTCACTTCTCCCTTTCTCTTTAGACACACTATTGACTCATGGGTTTTTATTTCTCCAGTGTGCGACATTCAGTTACATCCTTTTTACCAATGCTCAAATTGCCCCTAATTTAACCTGACCATTCTATTTAAAAGAGCAGCCCCTAGGCTTCAACTCAGTCATTCAGCATTCCAGCACCCAGTTTAATTATTTTTCATGGAACACATCATCATGTGTGAAATGATATTATTCATTTACTTCTTTATTGTCTGTCTCTAGTCAAATATTCATTCATTTATAGTAAGCTTCATGTGGCCAAAGATATTGTCAGTCTCACTCACTGTGATATTCCCAGAATCCAGAATCATGCCTGTTACAGAGCAGGAATTCAATAAATATGAAGCAAAATTAAGATGAAACCAGGAATAATGCCCCTAGATCAGGGACTGGCCAACTCCATCCCACAGCCCCAATCTGGCTCGCCTCCTATTGTAATTTTTTTTTTTTTTTTTTGAGATGAAGTCTCGCTCTGTCACCCAGACTGGGATGCAGTGGTGTGACCTAAGTTCACTGCAACCTCCATCTCCTGGATTCAAGCGATTCTCCTGCCTCCGCCTTCTGAATAGTTGGGATTACAGGTGCATGCTACCATGCCCGGCTAATTTTTGTATTGTTAGTAGAGATGGGGTTTCACCATGTTGGCCAGGCTGGTCTTGAACTCCTGACCTCAACTGATCTGCCCTCCTCAGCCTCCCAAAGTGCTGGGATTACAGGCATGAGCCACTGCACCTGGCCTGTTGTAAATAAATTTTTATTGGAACAAAGCTCTGTCCATTCACTTAGGTATTTCCCCTGGCTGCTTTCACTACCACAACCAACTTGAATAATTCCGTGAGAGAATGTATGGCCCACAAAGCTAAAAATATTTACTATCTGGCCATTTCCAGAAAAAGCTTGCCAATTCCTGGTCTAGATCATTCCAAGTGCTAAATAGGGCTGACCCTTCAGGATCCTATTAGCATAGGGTCCCATTGGAGCCATTCAACAAGTCATTATTCATACATTTATTCAACAGATATTTATTGAGCACCTACTATGTGCTGGGCACTGTGCTAGGTGTTTTGGATATTTACAGGGATGAACAAAATTAGGCAGGCTTCTTGCCCTTATGGAGCTCAGCTTCTAGGGAGGGTAGGGGAGACTAATATAATAACCACATTAAAAATGAAAAATTTCCGTTGTGATGAGCCCTTACAAAAAGAACCTTATGTGGTACTTTGAGAACATTTGACAGCAGTATTTTGTCCAAACTGGGATGGGGAGGACAGTCTAGGAAGACACCCTTCAGGATAGGACCCCCTAGTGAATACCAGAAGTGTGAGAAGGGGTTAGCCGGGTGAGGCAGAGAGTGATGTGCTCCAGGCAAGGATAGGACAGAGGGAGCACGGTGCACTCCATGCAGTGAAAGATGGCCAGCATGGCTGACCTGCAACAGGAAAGAGGAGAATGTCCAAGATGACTCCAGGGAGGTGGCCAGGGCCACAGCATGCAGGGCCTTGAGAGCACCTAAGAGCAGTTGCATAATGTCCTGCTCTCAGGGCAGCTGATGCTTGAGTGGGGGCTCAAATGATGAGAAAGAGCCACGCAAAGGAAGACCACAGAGAGGCGTGTTCCAGACAGAGGGAGAAGCCTGCATATTATGCACTAATTCCAGAGGGGAAATGTACCTTTGCAATGGAGAGGTCTGGTGTTATGTCCCTAGCCAAGGGCTCAAACTTGGCATCACCAAGTGGGGAGCAAAGAAATACATGTTTCCTGGCATGATGCAATGTGAAAGATATGGCATCACCTTGAAGGATTCTTGCCAGAAATGTTTCACCCCAATCAAATCAAGCCTCTGAAACTAATCTTCAGGACAGAAGAAATATAGGGGAGAGAGGAACAAGTTCAATAACACCCAGAGGAAACTTCGGACAAATCCAAATGTGGGACATTCTACAAGACATCTGGCTGAGATTTTTCAAAAGTCAATGCCACATGCTGCAACTTTAAAAGGAAGGATTTTAAGCCAATTTCATTTAAAAGGGGAAGTGAGTTTGGTGTTATCCTGTGGACCAAATCTGGCCCACTACCTGTTTTTGTAAATAATGTTTTATTGGAATACAGCCATGTTCACTTGTTTACTTACTGTCCATGGCTGCTTTTGTATGAAAAGAGCAGAGTTAAGTGACTGCAACAGAGATGATATGGCCTGCAAAGCCAAAAATATTTGCTACCCGGCCCTTTCTAGAAAATGATTACCAAACTTTGTTATAGATTTAGACTAAAAACACCTAGTGACCAAATGCAGTGTGTAAGCCTTGATTATATCTGGGTTCAAGAAGAAAGCTATAAAAATATTTTTGGGCCAATGAGGAAAGCATGAATATGGACTATATATTAAATAATATCAGGCTCTATTGTTCATTTTCTCAGGTGTGAAATGGTATTATGATTATGTAGTAGAAGTTCCTGTTCTTAGACAACGCACACTATTATTTAAGAGTGAAGTACCATGTAATCTACTTTCAGGTGGTTATATACATACACATGCATGCACACATGGCAGGTGGCATCCTCAGTTACCCCTCAACTCATGCCAATATTTCCAAAATATGACATGCACACTGCTGGTACTTCCTGGGCTGTTTTTAGGTGGCAGAAGACAGGTTTTATTTTATTTTTATTTTTTTCATTTACTAAAACCAAAGAAAACTTTAATATTAGGCTGGGCACGATGGCTCACACCTGTAATCCCAGTACTTTGAGAGGCCAAAGCAGGCAGATCATTTGAGGTCAGGTGTTCGAGACTAGCCTGGCCAACATGGTGAAACCCCGTCTCTACTAAAAACACGAAAAAAATAGCCAGGCATGGTGGCACACACCTGTAATCCCAGCACTTTAGGAGGCCGAGGCAGGCGGATCATGAGGTCAGGAGTTCAAGACCAGTCTGGCCAACATAGTGAAACCCCATCTCTACTAAAAATACAAAAAATTAGCCAGGTGTGGTGGTGTGGGACTGTAATCCCAGCTACTCGGGAGGCTGAGGCAGGAGAATCGCGTGAACCCAGAAGGCAGAGGTTGTAGCGAGCCAAGATCACACTATTGCACTTCAGCCCAGGCAACAGTGTGAGACTCCCTCTCAAAAAAAAAAAAAAAAACAAAAACAAAAACAAAAAAAAAACCTTTATTATTAATTGCTAAAAGAGTAGATTTTAAATGTCTTCAACCCTCCAAAACTAAGTATGTGAGGTAATGAATTTTTTTAACTTTTACTTTAAATTCAGGGGTATAAGTGCAGGTTTGTTACATAGGTAAACTTGTGTCACGGGTGTTTGACTATTTCATCACCCAGTACCTAGTACTCATTAGTTATTTCTCCTGATCCTCTCCCTCCTCCCACCCTCCACCCTCTGAAAGGGTGTGTTGTTCCCTTCTATGTGTCCATGTGTTCTCATCATTTAGCTCCCACGTATAAATGAGAACATGTGACAGCTTTCATTTTAATAGTTATGTATTTATTCTTCTGATTAGTTTCCATTTCTGATAAGTGATACTGGCTTCCCACTTATTGTAGGAATATAAGGTCTTCATTTCAAATAAATATATTTAAGTTTAAAGCAATATGAGCCAACTAAAAAGGAAATATGAAGCAGACACTATTATAAGGCAAGGCAACAACCAAGAAAGGCTGAATTTGGATAACCACTTTGCCTTCAAAGCATTGATCATAGTCCATGATTACTTTGTTTTTTGTTTTTTTGTTTCTTAGATACAGGATCTCACTCTGTCACCCAGGCTGGAGTGCAGTGGCGTAATCATAGTTCACTGCAGCCTCAACCTCCTGGGCTCAAGCTATTTTCCCACCCCAGCCTCCCAAATAGCTGGGACTTCAGGGATATGCCACCACCATGCCTGGCTAATTTTTTCTGTTAGGTAGAGACGGGGTCTCTCTATGTTTCCCAGGCTGGTCTCAAACTCCTGGCCTTGAGCCATCCTCCCACCTCCACCTCCCAAAGTGCTGGGATTACAAGCACGAGCCATCGCACCCAGCCAAAGATTACCTTGTTTTAATAAACAAAAACAACACCTGTTTACTGTCCATTCTTCTCTCATTGGATTGCAAGCTAAACAGGCTCCTTGATGCTCTCATGTGATGTCACATACCAGCATAGTGCCCAGCATACAACAGGCAATCAATACATGTCTGAAGGCAGAGTGATGAAAGTACCATCCCCAACCAGAATCCCTACCATCTGACCAAGAAACAACTATTTGCAGGTAGGGTAAGAATTACTCATTTCCCTCCAATCACAGGATACATAATGACAGTTGATTCCTGAAACACAAGATAATCCTAATAACTATGCACATTTTAACATTTCTAAATAAAAGTTCAAGCTGGCTGGGTAGGGCGGCTCATGCCTGTAATCCTAGCATTTTGGGAGGCTGATCGCTTGAGCTCAGGAGTTCAAGACCAGCCTGGACAACATGGTGAAGCTTCGTCTTTATTAAAAATACAAAAAACTTAGCAGGATATGGTGGCACATGCCCGTAGTACCAGCTACTCAGGAGGCTGAGGTAGGAGGATCGCTTCAGCCTGGGAGGCTGAGGTTGCGATGAGTTGAGATTGCGCCACTGCACTCCAGCCTGGGTGACGGAGTTAGACCCTATCTCCAAAAAAAAAAAAAAAAAAAAAAAATCTGACAAATTACTGAATAAGACATATGAGGACTCTGTGAGACTTTCTACATAGAGACATTTGCAGATCCAAAAAAAGCATTTTGTCTAAGGCTACCTGGCTGCATTTCTGAATGAGAGGTTACCATTCCTGCATTTTTCTTTCAGGACATATAATCTCTGCATATATAAAGGACCCATCCCTGGCCCCATGCTCCTGGGGCAGCCAAGATTCCAGGGGGGAGCTAAAACACATCTACTGCTGACTTCGAGGTCAAACTCTCCCAGGTAAATGCAGACCACTAGGAAAGATGAGGACCACTAGGAAATGCCTCTGGATTTCATTTTTTTCCGGCATCATCATGAGCCTAGAGATCCAGACTGCTTCCGACACTCCATTCTTTTATGTTTAGTTTCCTCTTCTATTTTCTTTACCAATGCAAACTTTTGAAGAAGATATTGCTTTGGGGAGGTTTATAAGAGCTGCAAAGATCTCTATTAACCATCCTTTAACAGTGAGATAAAGACCAGCTGTTTCACTAATTGCCCTTAACTGCTTGGGCTTGGTTATTAATGAATGCCCTCGCCTTGAGTTCAAACAGCTTAATTAGCTAAAGTTAAGTGTTTCCAATAAATTTACTAACCTATGATAAGCTTTCCTTTAATAGGAAATGTGCAGTTCTTAATTAAATAGAATAATTTACAACTCCACGTCTATTATAAGTAATGGTTGCCCAGTTACCATGTTACCTAATTAGGTGATAGTGAAGTTTCTCCAAAGGGGAACGGAGGGTTACAGTTGAACATGCCCTTGGACAAACCAATTTGTTAGCAGCTCAACAGTAGCGGAGCTATGGGCAGCCTCTGGCACTGGCATCTGGGTTGGAATGTCCTCTCTGCCATGCAGAAGGGTCCGGCTGCCTCATCTGTAAAATGGAAACTAACTCCCTGAGGGGCCTCTCGGGAGTAGATTGGATAGCATTTGCAATCATTTAAATGAAGAATAAAAAGACAAGTTAATACCCCCATTTAATACCTCTAGGGGCTAGGCCTGGTATATCATGCCTGTAATCCCAGCACTTTGGAAGGCTGAGGCAGGAGGATCACTCGAAGCCAGGAGTTTCAGCCTGCACAACATAGTGAAACCACACGTCTAGAAAAAAAAAGAATTATCTAGCAGTGGTGGTGCACACCTGTAGTCCTAGCTACTCGGGAGGCTGAGGCAGGAGGATTGCTTGATACCACGAGATCAAGGTTGCAGTGAGCTATGATTGCACCACTGTACTCCAGCCTGGGGACAGAGACAGACCCTGCCTCTTATACACACACACACACACACACACACACACACTCTCTCTCTCTCTCTCTCTCTCACTCACACACAACTCTAGGGTCACATTTCTTTTATTTTATCTTATTTTTTTAGAGACAGGGTCTTACTCTGTCACTCAGGCTGAAGTGCAGTGGCATGATCTCAGCTCACTGCAGCCTCAAACTCCCAGAGTCAAGCCATCCTCCACCTCAGCCCCCCAAGTAGCTGGGACTACAGGTGTGCGCCACCGCGCCCAGCTAATTTTTTGTATTTTCTTAGAGACGGGGTTTTGCCATGTTGCCCAGGCTGGTCTCGAACTCCTGAGTCCAGGCAATTAACCTGCCTCAGCCTCCCAAAGTGCTGGGATACAGGTGTGATCCACCACGCCCGGCGGGTCACATTTATATAGGCAAAATTATTCCAAGAGGAGATTAGTCTGGATAACACACACAAAAACAAACTGCTCCAGCATAATCTGGAGAAGGCATCCAGCAAACCCAGATCGGGGAACTTTCTACAGGATACCTGGCCAGCACATCTCGACCATCAAAGCCATAAAACGTAGGCCGGGCGCGGTGGCTCATGCCTGTAATCCCAGCACTTTGGGAGGCCAAAGCAGGCAGATCACCTGAGGTCAGGAGTTCAAGACTAGCCTGGCCAACATGGCAAAACCCTGTCTCTACTAAAAAAATATATAAAAATTAGCCATGCATGGTGATGCATGCCTGTAATCCCAGCTACTCAGGAGGCCAAGGCAGGAGAATTGCTTGAACCCGGGAGGCGGAGGTTGCAGCGAGCCGAGATCACACCACTGCACTCCAGCCTGGGTGACAGAACAAGACACCATCTCAAAAAAAAAAAAAGCTATAAAAAATAATGAAAAACTGTCACAGACAAGAAATGACTGAGGATTCATGCCAACAAAATGCAGTGTGGCACCCTGGATTGGATCGTAAAACAGAAACAGAACATGAATGGAAAAGTGAAAGCCATATAAACTCTGGAGGTTAGTTACAAGCAATGCGCCAGTTCCCATCTCTGAGTTTAGACAAAAGTACCATGGCGATGTAAGGTGTTAGCAGAGGGGAAACTGTGGTGGGGGTCAGGGGAGGATTTAGCAGTCAGGTTAAGCAGGTCATACTTTGAATTTTGCCATGGTTGAGGACTACATTTAATCCAGGCAGAGTGATTTCAATAGTTCATCTGAAAGGATATCAGCTATTAATGAGGTTGGTTATTATTATCTGTCTAATGGATAAAACCTTATTAGACCTAGAAGAATAAAAAATTATTTGCTCAAAGTCACATCACTGGCCACGTGCAGTGGCTCACATCTGTAATCCCAGCACTTTGGGAGGCTAAGACAGGAGGATCACCTGAGCCCATGAATTCAAGACCAGCCTGGTCAACATGGACCCAGTCACTACAAAAAATACAAAAAAAAAAAAAAAATAGCCGGGTGTGTTGGTGCATGCCTGTAGTCCCAGTTGCTCAAGAGGCTGAGGTGGGAGGATCAATTGAGCCCAGGAGGTTGAGACTGCAGTGAGCTGTGATCGCACCACTGCACTCCATCCTGAGAGACAGAGTGAGACCCTGTCTCAAAAAAAATAAAAAAAAAATAAATAAATAAAATCACATCACTATTATAAGTATCATTTGCATATCATAATAAATTCCACCATCACATATTTGGGCAGAGCCTTGAACATTTTCAAAAAAGCTTTCACATCATCCAGTGAAATTATCACACAAGCTGTATTAGTCCATTTTCATACTGCTATAAAGAATGGCCCGAGACTGGGTAATTTATAAAGGAAAGAGGTTTAATTGACTCACAGTTCAGCATGGCTGGGGAGGCCTCAGGAAACTTACAATCATGACGGAAAGCAAAAAGGAAGCAAAGCACCTTCTTCACAAGGTGGCAGGAAGGAGAAGTCCTGAGCGAAGAGGGGAAAAGAGCCCCTTATAAAGCCATCAGATCTCGTGAGAACTCACTCACTATCATGAGAACAGCAAGGAGGAAACCACCCCCATGATTCAATAACCTCCACCTGGTCTCTCCCTTGATATGTGGGGATTATGGGGATTACAATTCAAGATGAGATTTGATTTAGGTGGGGACACAAAGCCTAACCATATTACAAGCCCTGGAACAACAATAAGATGGAATTTTGATCTCCATTTATCTGATGAAGCCCAGGTAATTTGGGTTTTTTTCTTCTTCTCTTTTGGCTTAATCCATTCTCCCTCCACATCAGACCACCCTTCCTCTTTCTGTTAATCCTCATTGACAATTTAGAATACATCCTTCCAAATTTGTCTCTATACTCATAAATCACACACAAATATATGTATTCACACACAGTATATAATACATAGGCATTTGTCATTTTATGCACGCTTCCGCAGCTCCCATTTCCTCATTCTGCAATATGCCATGGAAATCCCTCCAAGGCATCTGGTATTGCTCTAATTCATCGTTTTTTAATAGCTGCAGAAAATTCCATGGTGTGGATGTCCTGTAATTTGTTCAATCATTAATGGGCATTCACTCGTTTCTCCCTCTTTGGCTACTACAAACAGTGCTGCAATAAACATCCTTTCTACAAACATCCTTATGTACCATGGCCTTTATGTCTACGAGATAGAGGCCCAGGATGGGGATTACGGGGTCAAAGAGTATATGTATTTCTCTTTAACTATTTTTAAAAGAGCAAAGCAAGAGAACAGGGTAGTAGATACCTCTAGAGAAAGGCGGAGAAGGCAGAGAAAGTGGACTAGAGAGAAGCTTGCAGGTGGCTTCAACAGTATTGGTGACGACTGCATTCTTAGGTTGGAAATGGGTTCATTTTATCATTATTCTATATAATTTATGTGTCTTATTACCTATATTATTTGCTATATATCCAGTCCTATATAATTTCCAAAAATCTATATATTTTATGTTAATAAATGTGGCCAAAACACAGCTGAAATAATTCTCATTCCCATCAACAATATAGGTGAGATTGGTCTTTTCCATTTTTTTTCCCAGCCTGAGAGGGATATCTCACTGTTACTTTAATTTACATATCTCTGACACTGGTGAGTTTGAACATCTTTAATAAATGTATCATTCATTTCAATGAAATAAGTGACATTTTAAATCATCTACAAACCCTTTCCCATTAAGTAAAAAGGGGAAGGCTGATCTTCACTCCTTTTCATCTTACCCCTCTAAAAGATAAAGCTCAGAGTTTTTAAATGCCACAACAACAAAAAATCAACATGAATTGGTTCTCTTTTATCTAAAGTTCAAGATGCCATGACGTCAAAATGCATGATGACATGCGCTCTCCTCAGGGAAATCCCCAACTGGAACCTCAAATCCCCTAAAACTCTGGGCACAAATGTTTCTTTCCTATGAGAATCAATGAGACTAGCAGGTCATGGCCGTTGGCAAGGTGACTGTGTCTTTTTCAGAATAAGAGGCTACCTGGACGCATTGTGGGAGAACATGCAACCTTGTCCCTATCTAGCCTGGCTGGTCTCCTACCCTCCCGTTTTCTCTTCCCTCCCTTACAGGTCCTTACCCTGACCTGTAAGTTGACATTTTGACAAAACTAGAATCAAGCTCAACTCCTGTCTCTGCTCCTTCCTTTTCTCACTTTACAGCCCACCACAGACATGTCTTTGGAAAAATAGCCAGAGATCTAATTTGTTTTTAATAGCCACATAACATCACATAGTATAGCTATATCAAATTTTATCCAGTCATTTGCTGTTGACAGACAGTCAGGTCGCTTCCAAAATGCTCTGGTTTTCATTTTTGCAAACAGCGTGGTAATATATTTTCTTGTATGTGCATCTTTTATCATTCTAGACCAGATTCTTCCCCCTTCAACTATATATATTTAACCTTTTCACCATACCTTCTTCGATACCAAATGTATCGACTTTTTTTTTAGTTGGTTGGTTGGTTGGTTGAGTTTCTTTGGACCAAATTTAAGGGGTTGAGAATGAAAGGGGGAACTTCACTGTAGTACTAGCTTCCCTATCTATCCTCTACATAACAGTCACTTGTAATTTTATAGCCAGAACATAATTTGTATAGTTTCCCCTCCTTCTGATCAACTGATTTAGTTGTTCTTTTTCCTCCATTCTGAAATTAGCTATTACAGAGCCATAATATAATTTTTTAAATTTCAAATCCTCTTTAAACAATTGATTTCTTGTTGCTATTTGTAGGCAAGAAGTTGAATCTGATATGAGCCCTGCCAGAAATTAATTTACAGTGTTAGAGAAGGATTATGACATATATAAATGAGTACAATTTTAAAAAGGTAAATATCACAGTGTAAATACAAACTCATGGGATTCAGAGATAAGGGAGATCTCATTTTAGACAGAGAGATATAAAGGCAACTGGAAAGACTTGGCTTTGGAGTTAGTTAGGCCTTGGGACACTGGTCCAATTTTGACATATGGAAATAGATGGAAGGAAAAGAATTAGAAAAGAACAGAGCAACAATGTATCTTTATGTGACATTATGATTTATAATAAGAAATATATATATCTTTATCTCCAGTTCCTGGCAGATAGTGCCTAAATCCCTTGCAATTTCCTGGGCAATAGAGATGTTAGGAGCATCTTTTGTTCCAATATTTGGTCTTTAACCCTGGTTCCTGCCACAGAGTTCCTAATCCCTTGCAATTTTCTGAGTGATGGGAGCATCTCTTGTTCTAATATGGGAACTCTCAATGGGGCTTCTGGGTGGGGGCTGGTCACCAGAAAGACCAAGCCAAGAATAGAAGCTTGGAACTTTCATCCCCACTCCCATCCTCTGAGAAGGATGGAGAGAGGCTGGAAATTGACTTAATAATCAATCATACCTATGTGATAAAGCCTCCATAAAAATCAAGGGGTTTGAGGAGCTTCTAGGTTTCTGAACACATGGAGGGTGTCTTACCCATACAGGATGTATTAGTTCATTTTTACACTGCTAATAAAGACATACCCAAAACTGGGTAATTTATAAAGGAAAGAGGTTTAGTTGATTCACAATTCCACATGGCTGGGGAGGCATCACACTCATGACGGAAGGCAAAGGAAGAGCAAAGGCACATTCTTACATGGCGGCAGGCAAGAAAGCAGGTGCGGGGGAACTGTCTTTTACAAAACCATCAGATCTCATGAGACTTATTCCCTATCACAAAAACAGCATGGGAAAAACCTGCCCCCATGGTTCAATTACCTCCCACCAGGTCCTTCCCACAACACGTGGGGATTACGGGAGCTACAATTCATGATGAGATTTGGGTGGGGACACAACCACACTATATCAGAAGACATGGAATCTCCACAGCCCCTCTCCCCATACCTTGCCCTGTGCCTCATCTTTTTCATCTGGCTGTTCATCTGTATCCTTTGTAATATCCCTTATAATAAATGGGTAAACATTAAGTATGGTGATTTCCTGAGTTCTGTGAGCCACTCTAGCAAATCATTAGGGAGAGGGTGGTGGGAACCCCTAATTTATAGCCAGTTGGTCAGTTCCAGAGGCCCAGACTTGCTATTGGCATCTGAGGTGGAAGCAGACTTGTGGGACTGAGTCCTTATCTTGTGGGATCTGACTCCAAGTATATAATGTCAGAATTGAACTGAATTAGAGGATACCCAGTTGGTACCCATGGGAGTACTGACATGTAAGGAAAACCCCACCCATATGGTCACAGAAGTGCATGGAGTTGAGTAAGTGTAGTAGGAAAAAACAGTCAATTTGCTTTTTTTTTTTTTTCCTACTACACACTTTCCTTTTTAAATTTCTGGCCAGGAATAAAATCAAATAACCAAGAATTACAAATATTCATTGATTATGGGTGACTACTGTTGAAATGCATGCAGGGTAGGACATACTCCATGAATACATTACAAATGCATTCATGTCTTCATTTTCTGAGATATCAGTCATTTCATAATGACAGGGAGATAAAATAAGGCATGACTCTGCTGGGTGTGGTGGCTCATACCTGTAATCCCAGCACTTTGGGAGGCTGAGGCAGGAGGATCACTTGAGTCCGAGAGTTCAAGACCAGCCTTAGCAACATGGCGAAACCCTGTCTCTACAAAAACACAAAAATTAGTCAGGCGTGGTGGCACACGCCTGTAGTCTCAACTACTCTGGAGGCTGTGGTGGGAGAATCGCTTGAGCTCGGGAGGTGGAGGTTGTAGTGAGCCAAGATTGCGCCACTGCACTCCAGCCTGGGTGACAGAGTGAGACCCCACATCAAACAATAATAATAATAATAAGGCATGACTCATTTTCTTGGTCTAGCTAGATTACGGCGTTACACAAAAGTAAAATTAGTGTAATATTAAAAGAATCAAGAAAAAAGCTAAAACTTGTTTCAATGAACTTCATTCATTCAATAAATACTAGATATTGTATGTACAAGAGGCAACATGGTGAGAGAGACAGCAAAACCACCACGCAGAATGAGGTTTATAGCCCAATGGGGAGCTTGGGAAAGCTTACAGAGCAATAAAATTAAAGTTTGTCACCACATCCCAGTCTTCATTTCTCACTATTATTCTCCAGGAACCATGGCTCCTTGGAGAAATGGCTGTTTGTGGTCTGGGACAGAGAAAATACAAGATGAGCCTGCAGCATCTTGTAGTGATGAAAAGTAAAGACGTGCTTTAAAAAAACAAGGGGACGGGCCAGGCACAGTGGCTCACGCCCATCATCCCAGCACTTTAGGAGGCCAAGGCAGGTGGATCACTTGAGGTCAGGAGTTCAAGACCAGCCTAGTCTCTTTAGTAGAGATGGTGAAACCCTGTCTCTACTAAAAATACAAAAATTAGCTGGGTGTGGTGGCAGACACCTGTAACCCAGCTACCCGGGAAACTGAGGCAGGAGAATTGCTTGAACCTGGGAGGCAGAGTTTGCAGTGAGCCGAGATCGCACCACTGCACTCCAGCCTGGGTGACAGAGCAAGACTCTGTCTCAAACAAACAAACAAACAAACAAAAAAAGGAAGGGACAGCTTATCACAGGAATGCAAGGCCCAAAACTCACTATGATTAAAGCTGGAACAATTTGAGCAACAAAATAAATAACACAGTGTAAGGTTAAAACCCAAAGTATAAAATAAATGATTGATTGAATAAATTAATGTACTGGGGTAAAAGAGGCAAGTCTTCCTAACAAAGAACTTTAAATAATATCTGTAGACACCCCACACTTACCGATTCCACTCCTTTTGAGTGTAAGCGGGTCTTAGTAACTGGCTTCCAATAAATATGGAGTATAGCTTGAGTCTAGAAAAGGGAAATAGGACCAGGTGCAGTGGCTCATGCCTGTAATCCCAGCATTTTGGGAGGCTGAGGCAGAGGACAGCTTGAGGCCAGGAGTTTCAGACCAGCTTGGGCAACATAGCAAGACCTTGTCTCTACAAAAAGTAAAAATAAAAAAATTAGCTGGGCATCCTAGTGCACACCTATAGTCCTAACTACTGAGGAGGCTGAGGAGAGAGGATTGCTTGAGCCCAAAGGTCAAGGCTGCAGCCCAGAAGGGCTTCCAGCCAAGGCCTTCCTGGCTCTTTTTTCCTTGGGATGGGAGGCCAGGGAAGGTAAAAATAACTGGATAATGTTGCTAGAATCACACCACTGCACTCCAGCCTGGGTGACAGAGTGAGACCATGTCAAAGAAAAGAAAAGGAAAAGAAAGAGAGAAGGGGAGAGAGAGAGAGAAAGAGAGACAGAAATGAAGAAAGAAAGAAAGAGAGAGGGAGAGACAGAGGGAGAGAGAGAAGGAAAGAAGACAGAAAAGAAAGAAAGAAAGAAGGAAAGAAAGAAAGAGGAAAGAAAGAAAGAAAGAAAGGAAGAAAAGAAAGAAAGAAAGTAAGGAAGGAAGAAGGAAAGAAAGAAAGAGAAAGAAAGAAAGAAAAGAGAAAGAAAGAGAAAGAAAGAAAGAAAAAGAAAGGAAAGAAAGTGGGAAGGAGGGAGGGAGGGAAGAAGGGAAGGAAAGAAAGAAGGAAAGAAGGAAAGAAGGAAGGAAGGAAGGAAGGAAGGAAGGAAGGAAGGAAGGAAGGAAGGAAGGAAGGAAGGGGACAGTGGAGAGGCCTGGCAGACACTGCTTTAATTCCACAATCAAGGTCAGCATCAGTGATAGGCCATGTTGATAGCATGTACCTCTGTGCAATTCCTCCTAAAAATCCATTATTCCAGTCTAAATCACTAGGAAAAACTTTATACAACCCAAACTGAGCAACATTCAACAAAATACCTGACCAGTCCTCCTCAGAATGGTCAAGTTCATGAAAAACAAGGAAAGACTGAAAAGCTGTCACAGACCAGAGGAGGCTAAGGAGGCCTGAGACTAAATGCAACGGAATCTCTTGCACAGGGTCCCAGAACAGAAAAGGAGCATTCGTGGAAAAACTAGAAAAATAAGGTCCGGAGTTTTGTATAAAAAAAAACACATAAAAAATAAAGTTGAGTAGATGCTATTTTTAAAAAGTACAAGGTGCAATGTGTCTGCTAAAAATTCAAATAATAAAAGTTAATTGACTTTTATTATTATTTTATATTTATTGTGTTTTTAATCAAAAAATGAGCTTTGTACTATATGCACATTAAGGCTGGGCGCAGTGGCTCACACCTGTAATCCCAGCACTTTGGGAGGCCAAGGCACGCAGATCACTTGAGATCAGGAGCTCAAGATCAGCCTGGACAACATGACAAAACCCTGTCTCTACTAAAAATACAAAAATTAGCTGGGCGTGGTGGCGTGGTGGCATGGTGGCATGGTGGCATGGTGGTGGTGGTGCACTGCAGCCTGGGTAACAGAGCAAGACTGTCTCACGACAAAAAAGGACCAGTTAAACAATACAGGAAGATACAGAGACAAACTTAACCCTTCCCCTGCCCACCATTATTCTCCAGCCAGTCCTCTTCTAGATAAGCAGTTTGTGTTGTTTTCTACAATCTCTTTGTGTTTACGTGAGAAACACAGAATATATATAGGAGCTTTTCCTCTTTTTTCACGTTTTAACTACAAAAGTATTATCTTACTACTCATTGCTCTGCAACTGGCTTCTTTCATGCAAAAATATATTTTAACACTGTATCATAAATATCTTCCCAGCACAATGTATATAAATTGAACCTGCTCTTTCTTTAAATCAACTTTGCTGGGATAAAATTTATACAGAATAAAATGCACCCATTTGAAGCATACACTTATTATGTATGCACAGATGTGTAGACCTGGATAACCACCAGCACATAACTTATTATTTTTAAAATCAAAGTCATCAATCATCTTGCCAAATCTAGTGAAATTTCCTGGCTCTTCTTTCTTTGGGGTAGGAAGCCAGGGAAGGTAGAAATAACTGGATAATGTTGGAGAATGACCATTGCAAGACTTTGCTCCTCACATCCCAGGTGCATATTCCAAGAAAATTCTGATTCCCCGGGAAAATTCTCCATGCTTGGCATAGTGCTGGAGCCATGTGACTTTGGAAAGGTCTGAGGGAGGCATTTAGGCAGAGACTCAGCTGGGGAAATCACTGGGGGGCCCTGCACCAACAGACAGGCGCCCAGAGCTGAGGAGGAATGGCAGCGGGGCCTGCTGAGTTAAGCAGAGGCCACAGACATCACCTTCTGGAGGCTCCCTCTACCACTGCTCCATGGGCAAGCCTGCTAGATACCCAGAAACAAGACAAAAGTGCTACACTGCCCAGGATTTACTTTTAAAGATGCCAAGGAGGGGGCTGGGCATGGTGGTTCATGCCTGTAATCCCAGCACTCTGGGAGGTCAAGGCAGGTAGATCACTTGAGGTCAGGAGTTCGAGACTAGCCTGGCCAACATAGCGAAACCCTATCTCTACTAAAAATACTAAAATTAGCCAGGCATGATGGTGCACACCTGTAGTCCCAGCTACTCAGGAGCCTGAGGCACGAGAATTGCTTGAACCTGGGAGGTGGATGTTGCCATGAGCCGAGGTTTTGCCACTGCACTCCAGCCTGGGCAACACAGCGAGACCTTGTCTCAATCAATCAATCAATAAAATGAAATAAAAATAAAGATGCCAAGGAGAAAGTGTGAACCACAGACTTCCTCCCAAGCTGTCCCTTGAACCTAGGCACCATCTGTAGAAGCAAGACAGAAAAGGAAGGAATAGCCCCAAAAGAGAGTTGAATGTTTAAACCAGCTGAATATTTACCTGAAAAAAAGATTGTTTTATGGGAGGGTAAAATGGGACCACTCAAAACTTTAAGAGACCGAGACATCTCTAATTGGCAAGTTTAGCTGTTTTCCTTGTTCCTTGGCAGGACAGGGACCTCTCAGGAAATTTGATTTGGTTAGATTGGGACTTTGCAATAGAATTATAATGCAAGCCACACATATACTTTCAAATTTTCTAGTTGCCACATTTAAAAAACCAAAAGCTGGCCAGTGGCTCGTCTGTAATTCCAGCACTTTGGGAGGCCAAGGTAGGTGGATCACTTGAGGTCAGAAGTTTCAGAACAGCCTGGCCAACATGGTGAAACCCTGTCTCTACTAAAAATACAAAAATTAGCTAGGCATGGTGGTGCACACCTGTAATCCCAGCTACTCGGGAGGCTGAGGCAGGAGAATCACTTAAACCCGGGAGGCGGAGGTTGCACTGAGCTGAGATTGTGCCATTGCACTCCAGCCTGGGCGACAGAGTGAGACCCGTCTCAAAATAAATAAATAAATTAATTAATTAATTAAATAGCAAAAACTATAGGACCCAGAAATCCCACTCCTAGATATATACCCAAGAGAAATCAAAACACATGTCCACACTAAAACTTGTACATGCATGTTTACATCAGGATTATTCCCCAGAGCCAAAAAGAGAAAACAAACCAAATGTTCATCAACAAAATGTAGCATATAATAGAACATTATTCAGCAGTCAAAAAGAACAAAGTACCTATATATGCTACAACAGAGATGAACCTTGAACACATTATGCTAAGTGAGAGAAGACAAATGTAAAAAACCAAATATTACAGTATATGATTCCATTTCTGTGAAGTGTTCAGAATAGGCAAATCCAAGAAGACAAAGATTAGTGTTTGCTTAAGGCTGGAAGGGTTGGAGAATAATTAGAACTGAGAAGAGTATGGGGCTTTTTTGGGAGATGATAAAAATATTCTAAAATTGATTGCAGAGATAATCACACAACTCTTTGAATATACTAAAAATGATCAAATTGTACATTTTCAATGTTACGTGAATATCTCAATGGAGCTGTAATTTTAAAAAGCAAAAAGATACATACAGCATTAATTTATAATATTTTAAGTCAATGTATTCAAAACGTTGTTTCGACATAGTATCAAGAATTTAAAATTATTTTTGAGATAGTTACATTCTTTTCTTAAAATCTAGTGTGCATTTTACATTTGCAACACATCTCCATACAGATGCTAAATTTTCATTGGAAATACTATATAGTTAGATTTCATAAAATTTACCATTGAAAGAGTAAATTCATACGCACAAGTTGTTCCAAAAATATTTTAAAGTCTTCCAACAGCTGAATTGAGTAGTGTTAGTGAGGTAGTTTCTAGATATAGCTGTAGATATAAATGGGTAAATATAGTTATTCAGCACAGATACATACTCAGAGTATGGTATGTTAAAATTTAACTCCTACTGTGAAAATGGAGGTCATTACGTTAAGTGAAATAAGCCAGGCACAGAAAGACAAATATCACATGTTCTTACTCATATCTGGGAGCTGAAAAGTTGATCTCATGGAGGTAGAGGGTAGAATGATAGATACCGAAGGCTGGGAAGAGTGTGTGGGTGGGGGTAATGAAGAGAGTCTGGTTAATGGGGACAGACATACAGTTAGATGGAAAAAATCAGTACTGCAGTTCAACAGCATGGCAGGGTGACTGCAGTTAACAACGATGTGTTCTATACTTCAAAATGGCTGGAAGAGAGGATTTGAGATGTTCCCAAAACAAAGGAATGATAAATGCTCAAGATAATGGATATCCTAAATACCCTGATTTGGTCATTACACATGTGAGACATGTAACAAAATATCTCATGTGTCCCATAAATATGTAAAAATATTATGTATCCATTTAAAAATTAATCTCTACTATATACACCAAAAACAAAACTAAATTCCTCATATGGCCTCAAAACCCTACAACATCTGCCCTCACCTCGCTCTCTAATCTCACATCATATCACTCTCCTTTTCTTCCACAATGCTCTAGCCATACTGGTCTTTCTACTCCTCATTCACTCCTTCCCCAGGGCCTTTGCACTTGCTATTCCCTCTTCCCAGAACACCTTCCACCAAGATCTTCTCATACTTGGCTCCTTCCCATCATTCTGGTCTCTGCTCAGGAGTCATCATCCTCAGAGAGTTCCCTGTCTTGTTCAGTGTGGTCTCCATCCATCACTCTTTAACCCATTATTCTCTTTTTTTGTTGCATGTATCACCAATGGATTGTCTCCTTGTGGTTACATTTTTGGCAAGAATATTGTACAGGCATTGTATGAGGAAGCATATGATGATCAGCTTGATTACTCAGCTAAGATGGTGCCCACATATTTCTCCACTCTGAAGGTGCCTTACTATGAAATAATAAGTTATCTGTGGGGAAATATTTCAAGACTGGTACCATACCCTTCCCAGCAATATTCCATATTCCATCTTACTCTGTCACCCAGGCAGGGGTGCAGTGGCATAATCATAGCTCACTGCAGCCTCAAACTCCTGGGCTTAAGAGATTCTTTTGCCTCAGCCCCCAAGGACATGGGACTATAGGTACACACCATCGTGCCCAGCTAATTCTTTTTTTTAAATTTTTTGTAGAGACAAGCTCAGGCTGGTCTCAAACTCCTGGCCTCCAATGATCCTCCTGCCTCAGCCTCCCAAAGCGCTGGGATTACAGGCATAAGCCACTGCACCCAACAAGAGTTTGAGTTTCTAAGTCTAATTCCTTCTACATTTATTAGTTGACATTCTTCAGTAAATAAGCTCATTCCCTTCTCTCTCCCTTGTCTTTTTTTTTAATATCAGTATAAATTCAGGGATTCCATGTGTTGTTTTCCATTTCTGTCATTATTAATTTCCATGCTTAGATTACCCCAGATTTGGAAAGCCCAATCTGAATATTTTGACCCTGATTTTCAAGTTGGACTCCCTTCAAGCTGGCTCCTATATCATTGCGACATGCCCCTGTCATTTTTTCTTACCACTCCATACATTCTGATGAGAAAAAAAAATTTAGGTGTACCTTGTAGTTTTCCTGCCCCAGCCCTGGAATCAGCCATTTCTCCAATGGCTAACTATTAATGCACAATGGTATTTAAGAACCAAGATTTGTCACACCTGTAATCCCAGCACTTTGGGAGGCCAAGGCAGGCAGATCACGAGGTCAAGAGATCAAGATCATCCTGGCCAACATGGTGAAACCCCGTCTCTACTAAAAATACAAAAATTAGCTGGGCATGGTGGTGGGCACCTGTAGTCCCAGCTACTCGGGAGGCTGAGGCAAGAGAATCACTTGAACCCAGAAGGCAGAGGTTGCAGTGAGCCGAGATCACACCACTGCACTCCAGCCTGGCAACAGAGTGAAACTCCACCTCAAAAAAAAAAAAAAAAAAAAAAAAAAAAAAAAAAAAAAAAGAACCAATATCTGAGCATTAGGCGTGCCCATTCCTACTGGTATGCCATGCACCAAGGAAACAAATGCACTCATAACAAACAGGGCCTGGGAAGTCAGGTCCAGGCAACTGTGACATCAACAGGATTCAATATTGAAATTAAGTCTTATTCTCCAAGTGGAGAAGACATTTGTTGGTTTTAGTTGCCCAGCATCGAATCATTCTTCTGGTAACAGCACCCCTTTTTTCCTTTTGGAGAATTACCTCTCCCTTCTGTGAAGAGACATGGCGAACTGTAAATTAAGGTATCCTAACCCTCTCCCCATATCCAAAAGGGAGGCACTATTTTTCTAAATCAGACAGGTCCCTGATTTAGGGATGGAGTGAGACAGGTATGAGGATAAGGGGGTTTGACCACATATCCAGAATTGACAAAGCCAAGTGCCCTTCAAGGTGAAACTGAACGCCCCTTTCCAAGGTCTGTTGGCCTCTCATTTGGTGCAAGGCTTTATCTCACACAGCTAAAACTTCCCTGTCTTTGTAGAAAAATTCTAACACAACAGAGCCCATCTTGAATTTCTTTCCCCAGGATTGGTTGTTTCATTCATCCTTTCCAATTCATAGAATTCAGTTGTTTTGACAAATGTCTAGATAGCTAGCAATATATTTTCATCTCCTTCGAAATCCTCACAACAGATATGCTGCTTGTAAATCTGCGAGGGTTTTTTTTCTGAGGAAAATCTTCTAAAACTTTGCTCATCTTGTGTCAATCCCTGCAGGGTTTCTTTATTTGCCTGCTTGCTGGTTTAGTGGGGAGAAAAAAAAAAAGGCTGAAATCCTAATTTTCACACCTTCAAAATGCATAAGCTCTGTCTACCTTTCATTTTTCTTTCTTTGAATTTTTTCCCTCTTTAAGTCCTTGTTTTCTTTCTTCTCCAGCACATGGTGTTAGGCAAAATGGCAGATATAGATGAAAAGATGGAAGAGAGGGAAGAGAAGGGAAGGGAAGGGAAGGGAAGGGAAGGGAAGGGAAGGGAAGGGGAAAGGAAAGGAGGGGAAGGGAAGGGAGGGAAGAGGAGGGGAGGCAAGGGAAGGGAAGGATGAAGGAAAGGAGAAAGGGGAGGAGGGCAGGAGAAAGGGAGGGAAAGGAAGGAAGGAAAGGATGAAGGAAAGGAGAAAGGGGAGGAGGGCAGGAGAAAGGGAGGGAGGGAGGGAGGGAGAGAAAAATCAAAGAAAAATGCTTAACACTCCCCAATGCTTCATAATGCAAGAACACAATAAAATATTTTGCATCTTTCAATGCCTGGGTTTTCTGAGTCATCCAACACTCTGCCATTGGACTTGTTTATATCAAAAGGAGTTAATCGTCATGTAATGCCATTGTTCTGGGGGAGAGGAAGACACAGAGAGGCAAAAATGATGAATGCCACTTGTCTCTCTAAATGAGTAACAGGGGATTTGAACTCAATATGAGCTTTGGGAATAAACGTGGTAAACGTGGTTATTTCAGGGTTACAGGAGAGACCAACAAGCAAAGTCTAAGGGCTTCTTTGCCTGCCCTGCCCTTATAAATCTGAACTTATAGGACAAGATGGGTGGAAGTTGAGTCTCAGGTGATGAGTTCAGCTATGTATGGAAAGAAATAAAGCAGCATAGGGAGGAGATGTTCTGTAAAAGTTATAATTGGTTTTTCTGAAGTTTGGAGCAATAGATGTACAATCAAGGGCCTTGCTTAATTTCCCACTCACTAAAGGCACTTTTAGCTCATCAAACATTTACTGAGGGTCAGTGCTATCTGGGAAGGCAAAAATAATGCAGCTCTCAAGTTTTTGCTCATAAACAAGCAAGGGAAATGGCAACCTATCCCCTCACAAATGTAATAGTTTAGGTTTGTGTTGTACAATGTTTATAACCAATGGTATGCTACAAACTCTTCTAGGTGCACTGCCAAGTTTGGGTCCTTGTGCAAACGTTATTGTTTGGGTTTTTTCATTTGTTTGTTTGTTTCTACAGCTGCGGGTACTTACTGCTAGTGATTGTTGTATGACTTCCGTTGAGTTGCATGGGTCATGTGAGACTGCAGGAGGTGGAGTCTAGTTGAGACAAGTAAATACAAGTGTAGCAAAACATCAAGAGAGCCACCAGAAAAGACCATGTTTCCTACATTCTTGCTACTAAATGTGATACCTGCAGCATGGGTATGACCTGGGAGTTTGAGGAAAATGCAGAATCAATCTCCAGTCCTGCGTCAGACCCAGTGAATCAGAAACTGCACTTTAGCAAGGTCCTTGCATGTAAAAAGAGAGGCAGTATCTTCCAGTATAGAAACCCTTTCTCATATGGATGTATAAGAGATCTTCGTCAGGGCATTAAACAGCCCAATTGACATCCAAGGCTCAGCCAAATGATTTGTAGATAAAATGTAATATTTGTATTACATTAATATATAATAATATAATTTACATTTATAATGTATTTTGTATAACATTAATATATAATAATATAAAAAATAATATATATATAAAATATAACCTCTTCTAGTGCCTTGCTACGGTTCCTAACGTGAGAGAGAACAGGCGCACATTCAGATAGCTGAGAGTTACAGTTTACCCAACGCTCCCCTTATATCACCACCTTTGAGACTTGCCACATCCCTACAAGGCAAGTGGTACAGGCTCTAGTGCCACATCCATTTTACAGGTGGAGAAACTGAGGTTCTCAGAGGTGAAGAACCGGCCCAAAGTCACATGACTCGAATGAGATCCCACTGGGACTTGAACACTGATTGCCTGGCCCAGGAAAAGAGAATTCTTTTCCAGCTGACTCTGAACCAGTGTAATAAAGACCAGGCTGGTTGTCTGACTGAAAAGAAACGGGGTTGGGAGGATGAGGTGGGAGGATCACTTGAGGCCAGGAGTTCAAGACCAATCTGGGCAATATGACGAGACCCCATCTCTACAGAAAATTAAAATACAAAAAATAGCCAGGCACGATGGCTCACGCCTGGAGTCTCAGCTACGTGCAGGTTGAGGTAGGAGGATTACTTGAGTCCAGGAGTTAGAGGGTGCAGTGAGGTAGGATTGCACCACTGTGCTCCGGCCTGGACAACAGGGCAAGACCACATCTCTGGAGGGGAAAAAAAAGGAAAAGAAATGTTCTTAGTAGCGCAGTGACCTATGCTGGTAAGAAAGCAGGATTTCTCTAATGGGGAGCTGGACAAAGTAGATAAGCTGACATAATGCAGGAAGCTTCAGATACCAGATCCTGAGTGTGGAGCTCCATGAAGAATCCACCTTCACATTCATCACCTTCCTAGGTACCTGGGGGGTGAGACGAAGTCATCAGACCATCCCACTGAGGCCTAGAAACCATCCAGGATAACGCACCTCCCTTAAATCTAGGACAGGTGCCTTCTTTTGACAATAATGGCCTTTTCTCTCCTCAGCAGGGTGACTGAACTCTTTCTTCATCTCCAGGAGGGACTGGAAAAAAAAAAAAAAACAGATTTAGGGCTTCTTGCTGATATAAACCAACTTGACGGAAAACCCATTGTTCAGCCTTGTTTACTCAGCCACCTGCTAACCTGATTGTGGTCACTTAGGGAGAAGTTCCCCACAGAGAAACTGAAGAGCTTTGCTTAAAGTAATCAACAGAGACCTTGGGGGCTCCTACAGACCTCAGGAGCACAGTTTTAGCAACTGTGCCTAGGAACCTTTTTCCTTTGGTCCTAATCACTCCTCCTGACATCATCTATAAAACCGCGGAGCCTGACGGGCTTCAGTAAAAGGGTCCATGTGGATTCTGTCATCTGGGGCAAGACTGGAGGATTCAGGGCACTGTGTAGGTAGGTCACCGTTTTGTGGTGACTTGAACACTGACTGCAAGTGTAATGCAGCTTCACCCTTTTCTCACCTTCCTCCTGGGGCCACTAACTTCATGGGGAAGTCCAGGGTAGGACAGCAAGAAGCAGAATTCCTGGGTTGATGCCCAATTAACTCAATATGTCACTAGCTTATTTTGGCCTATCCTCAGGGCAAATTAGAAAGCAAAAGTCTCAAGGGACGTCTTGGTGTTGATTACCTGACACCCAAGCATTGACAAGCTATGTTCAATGCATTATGCTACTACTACTAATAATAACAGGCCAGGCACAGTGGCTCATGCCTGTAATCCCAGAACTTTGGGAGGCCGAGGTGGGTGGATCACCTGAGGTCAGGGGTTCGAAACCAGCCTGGCCAACATGGCGAAACCCTGTTTCTACTAAAAATACAAAATTAGCCGGACGTGGTGGCACATGCCTGTAATCCCAGCTACTCAGGAGGTTGAGGCAGGAGAATCACTTGAACCTGGGAGGTGGAGTTTGCAGTGAACCAAAATTGTGCCATTGCACTCCAGCCTGGTCAACAAGAGTGAAACTCTGTCTCAAAAATAATAATAATAATAAATATAATTTAAGAGCCCTCCTGGGCTTGCAGAATTAAGATTGGCCAGTGTCTTTCTCATACACAGAAGCAGACAATTTTGCATCATTCTGTTCCTCCCATTCACCCCAATATCAATTATGTCCTATGCTCATGTTTCAGAAACCAGTGGTATCAGCAAAGCAGAAACCACTCTAGATATTTCAAACCAAGGAGTTAGGTATAAGGTTTGGAGATGGATGGAAGAGCAATTGGAAAAGTGGGTGGGTCTGAGGAGCAAAAAGAAGACGTGATAACCGTAGATCAAAAACTGCTAATGGGCTGGGTGCTGTGGCTCATGCCTATAATCCCAGCACTTTGGGGGGCCAAGGCAGGATCGCTTAAGCCCAGGAGTTCAAGACCAGCCTGGGCAACATGGGGCAACCCCATTTCTATAAAAATAATAATAATAATTTGTTTAAAAAAATAAAAATAATAAATTTTTAGAAGCTGCTAATGCTCCTAGGCTGGAACCCATCAGCCTCCATCTAACATTGTGCCATTGAAGACACTGCTGATAAATCAGCTCTGAATTTATCAGAGGGCCACCTCCACCAGGGCTAGTTCTGCTAAGTGCCGCCTCTGCCTAGAATACTGGAATCTGGAATCACCCCACCTCTGTTCCTGCTGTAACTACAGAAATTTCCCTCAAATATCCAGAAAGGATCACGGCTGGGATTCAAGCCCAGTATTGTGATTCTAGAACTCACATGCTTAATCACTACAATAGGACAAACAAACAAAAGATTTTAATGTAAGTATAACTGATAGCTTCAAAGAGCTAAGAGCAGATCATGTATTCTATAAACAAGACCAATCTGACATGGAAAAGAACCACACCTAGTTGCAACAGGGTGCAATTTCAGTGAGAACAGAGTATTCTAAAAAGTTCCTAAGAGAAAAAAAAAAAAAAAAACCTCACTAAGGGATGAAGTAGCAGATCGGTAGCATATTCCTCGTTGGTAACACTGGATGCTAGAAGGCCACACAGGCGTTTTCAACTCGGAGACTTTCTGAAAGAGCGTACGTTGTTGTTGTTGTGGTTGTTGTCGTTGTTGTTGTTGTTGTTGTTGTGGTTGTGGTTGTGGTTTTGGTTTTGGTTTTGAGATGGAGTATCGCTCTGTCATCCAGGCTGGAGTGCAGTGGTGTGATCTCAGCTCACTGCAGCATCCGCCTCCCAGGTTCAAGCGATTTTCCTGCCTCAGCCTCCCGAAGAGCTGGGAGTACAGGCGTGCACCACCATGCCCGGCTATTTTTTGTATTTTTAGTAGAGACGGGGTTTTGCCATGTTGGCCAGGCTGATCTCAAACTCCTGACCTCGGGTGATCTGCCAGCCTCAGCCTCCCAAAGTGCTGGGATTACAGACGTGAGTCACCGCACCTGGCCAGAAAGAGTATACTTTGGAAAAACAGACAAAATCTAAAATTGTTTTCAGTAATATTCTGCGAGGGGAGTAGGGAAGGTGGGAAAGGGTTGAAATTACCTGTTGTGTACTATATTCATTGTTTGGGTGATGGATTCAATAGAAGCTAAAACTCCAGCATTATGTAATATGCCCACGTAATAAACCTGCACATGTACCCCCTGAATCCACAATAAAAATAAATAAGTACATAAATAACATTCTGAAACTAAAGTTCCAGATCATTTCAACGTAGGAAATAGCAGCAGATGGCTAAGGTAGAGAAGTGAAAACATGCTGCTTGTTCTTTTGCTCCGGATGAAATCCTAATTAACTCTATACTTTGAAAGAATAGTATGTTTCATAATGTGTTTAAAATGTCAAAGATAATTGCCAAAGAGACAGAACTAGCGTGCATTACTTCCAAACCACTGAAGAAAAAAAAATGCATCAAGGAAAACATAACCAATGTAACAGGGGGAAAAAAAAAAGCAGGAAAGAAAAAGAACAAACTTTAAAACAGGGTAAATGAACATTTCTCAAAAGAAAACATACAAATGGACAACAGGGATATGAAAAAAATATTCAATGTCACTAATCATAAGGGAAATGCAAAGCAAAACCATTACGAGATATTTCACCCCAGTTAAAATGGCTAGTATCAATGAGACAAAAAATAACATGCTGGTGAGAATGTGGAGAAAGGGGAACACTAGTGCATTGCTGGTGGGAATGACAATTAGTACAGCCATTATGGAAAACAGTACAGAGATTTCTCAGAAAACTAAAAATAGATCTACCATATAATCCAGCAATTCCATGCTGGGTATATATCCAAAAAAAGGAAATCAATATGTAGAAAAGATACCTGCACACCCATGTTTATTGTAGCACTAATCATAATAGCCAGCATATGGAATCAAACTAAGTGTTCGTCAATGGATGAAGAAAGAAAATGTAGTATATGCCGGGCGTGGTGGCTCATGCCTGTAATCCCAGCACTTTGGGAGGCTGAAGTGTGCAGATCACCTGAGGTCAGGAGTTCGAGATCAGCCTGAACAACATGGAGAAACCCCGTCTGTACTAAAAATACAAAATTAGCTGGGCATGATGGCGCATGCCTGTAATCCCAGCTACTCAGGAGGCTGGGACAAGAGAATCACTTCAACCCGGGAGGCGGAGGTTGCAGTAAGCCGAGATTGCGCCATTGCACTCCAGCCTGGGCAGCAAGAGCGAAAATCTGTCTCAAAAAAAAAAAAAAAAGAAAACAAAACAAAATATAATATATATACACAATGGAATATCCAGTTAGCCATAAAAAGGAATGAAATTCTGTCATTTGCAGTAACACCAATGAAACTGGAGGACGTTAAGGGAAATAAGCCAGGCATAGAAAGATAAATATTGCATGTTCTCACTAATATGTAGGACCTTAAAAAGTTCATCTCATAAAAGTAGAGTAGAAGTATGGTTACCAGAGGGTGGGGGGGTGAGTGAGGGGTGAAGAGAGGTTGGTTAACGGGTACAAAAATACAGTTAGAAGGAAAAGTTCTAGAGTTCAACAGCACAGTAGGGTGACTATAGTTAACAATAATTTATTGTACATACACAAATAGCCAGAAGAGAATATTTGAAATGCTCCCAACACAAAGAAATGATAAATGTCTGAGGTGATGAATATCCTAATTGCCCTGATTTGAAAAGTACACATTGTATGTACGTATCAAAATATCATATGTACCTCATACATGTGATATTTTGCATAATTGATGCATAATAATATATAATTATTATGCATCAATTTTTAAAACATGGTAAATTGGAATTTGAAATATCAGGAGTAAATTCAAACTTATCAATAGGCATAATAAACATAAATGGGTTAAATTTCTCTAATAAAAGACAATGCCTTTCAGTTTGGAGTGCTTCTTTTAAAAAAAATCCAGTTAAATACTGTAGACAAGACTATGCAATACAATAAACAACAAATAAAAACAAGACAACATAGAAACATTGAAAACAAAAATGTATATCACAAAAATTCTAACAAAAAGAAAGCAGCAGACGCAAAACAAAAGTAAAAACAAATTTCCCTATAATCATTATCTAGTTGTCACTCCAGAGAAGTAGGCATAAAACTGGTTAATGGGAGTTGGCAAGATAAGTCAGTTAAGTATTTAAGAGACTCATTTTTAAATTCGATATGGTGGTGGTGGTGGTGAGTCTGTGGGTGGTGGAACACGTCCATGACCAGATCTAGACAGTAGCAACAGCCATCAATGTCTGTCACTAATCTCCTGTGGATTTTAGATCTAACATAAAGATTGCATACGGCTCATTCTGGAGGGATGACCAGAAGTGACAAGCTAAAGGTCCTCACCCTGAAAGTGGATGCATCTCTGTCTTCTGAGAAACTTAGATCACAGGACATGAGCCATAGATAGGCATAAAACCTGGAGGTATAAAACTTTCAGGCCTTCGCTTATGCTGTTTTCTTTGCTTAGATGACCTCCCACTGCACTCATTTCCACCTGTCAAAATCCTCCTTATCCTTTAAGACCACCTTTTTCATGAAGCTGAATTTTACCCTTACCACCAGAGTGGTTTCCCACAGTACTCATTTTGTGTCTCTCTCCAGACATTCACTGTACTCTCTATTATAGATTGCTTTATATTTCTGTGTATCTCTTTATATAGGCTCTTTAAAGATGCATTAGTCAGCTATTGCCGCATAACAAACAACTAATATTTCAGTTGTTTACAATGACAAACACTTCTGAAAACTCTCAGTGATCAGTAGGATGACTGCAATTTAACTGATCTAGGCAGGGATCAGATGGGCAGGTCTACCTCATGCTGTGGGAAACCTGCGCTTAGCTTTAGGCTGTGTGTTAAATTCAGGTCTGCCTCACATATTTTTGCTGTGACTCTCAGACTAAAGGAGAAACCGCTATGCAGAGTGTGTTCTTCTCATAGTGGATCAGGAGAACACAAGAACATGAACTACAGCACAAAAAGCACATGTGAGGCATCTGTTTGCATCATATCTGATTCATGTTCCTTGGCCACAAGTCACATGGGCAAACCCAACACCATGGGGTGGTGCTATAGTTTGGATATTTGTCCCCAGCCAAATCTCATGTTGAATTGCAATCCCCAGTGCTGAAGGTGGAGCCTGGTGGAGTTAGTTTGGGTCACGGGGACAGATCCCTCATGATTTGGTGCTGTCTTCACGATAGTGAGTGAGTTTTCATGAGATCTGGTCATTTAAAAGTGTGTGGGCTACGCACGGTGGCTCACGCCTGTAATCCCAGCACTTTGGGAGGCCGAGGCGGGCAGATCACAAGGTCAGGAGATCGAGACCAGCCTGACCAACATGGTGAAACCCTGTCTCTACTAAAAATACAAAATTAGCTGGGCGTGGCAGTGCGCACCTGTAATCCCAGCTACTCGGGAGGCTGAGGCAGGAGAATGGCTTGAACCCAGAAAGCGGAGGTTGCAGTGAGCCAAGATCGCACCACTGCACTCCAGCCTGGTGCTGGAGCGAGACTCTGTCTCAAAAAAAAAAAAAAAAAAAAAAGGTGTAGAATCTTACCCACACTCTCTCTCTCACTCCTGCTTTTGCCATGTGACGTGCCTGCTCCCTCTTCACTTCTGCCATGAGTAAAAGCTCCCTGCGGCTTCCCCAGAAGCCAAGCAGATGCCAGCTCCATGCTTGTACAGCCTGCACAACTGTGAGCCAATTAAACCTCTTTTCTTTATAAATTATCCAGTCTCTAGTATTTCTTTTTTTTTGAGATGGAGTCTTGCTCTGTCACCCAGGCTAGAGTGCAGTGGCGCAGTCTCGGTTCACTGCAAGCTCTGCCTCCCGGGTTCACGCCATTCTCCTGCCTCAGCCTCCCAAGTAGCTGGGACTACAGGCGCCTGCAACCATGCCTGGCTAATTTTTTGTATTTTTAGTAGAGACAGGGTTTCACCCTGTTAGCCAGGATGGTCTCGATCTCCTGACCTCGTGATCCGCCTGCCTCAGCCTCCCAAAGTGCCGAGATTACAGGTGTGAGCCACCATGCGTGGCCTCTGGTATTTCTTTATAGCAATGCAAGAACAGCCTAATATGGGTGGGGAAATATGCTCTGTCCATCTGGTACACTGAAAGGTCATATGGTAGAAAAATTGTGATCACTAACCAATCTAACCAGGCTAGGTGGCTCAAGCCTGTAACCCCAGCACTTTGGTAGCCTGAGGCAGGAAGATTGCTTGAGCCCAGCAGTTTGAGACCAGTCTTTGCAACACAGTGAGACCTTGTCTCTACAAAGAAAAAAAAAAGTGTAAGTTAGCCAGGCATGGTGGCACATGCCATGATCCCAGCTACTCAGGAGGCTGAGATAGGAGGATCACTTGAGCCCAGAATGTTGAGGCTGCAGTGAGCCATGATCGCACCACTGCACTCCAGCCTGGGCAACAGAGTGAGACTCTGTCTCAAAAATAATAACAATAATAATAATAATAATAACCCAATCTACCATAAAAGGCAGAAAACAAGCCATATCCTTTCATTTCTCTATTCCTACCATTTAGTACCACGACCAGCATAGAATAAACATCAAGCAATAATTGTCAAAATGAATTGATTATTCATGGCATGGAGTAACATGAGACATACACATAATGCAGTGGTTAAGAACTTGGACGTCAGAGTCACAAAGACCTGAGTTCAATGTAAAATGACAAAGGCTCTTTGAAAAGTTTCGCAGTTTCTTACAAAGTTTAACATGAGCTTACCATAAAACCCAGCAATTCCACTTCTAGGAAACTACCCAGATGAAATGAAAACATCCGACCATACAGAAACCTACACATGAATGTGCATAGCAGAACTCTTTATAGCAGCCAAGAAATAGAAATAATCCAAATGCTCATCAACTGGTAAAATGAATAAATAAAATGGGGTATACCCAAACATTGGAATAATATTCAGGAATAAAAAGGAATGAACTATGTTGTTGTCGTTGCTGTTTTTATTGAGGCAGAGTCTTACTCTGTCACCCAGGCTGGAGTGCAGTGGCATAATCTTGGCTTACTGTAACCTCTGCCTCCTGGGTTCAAGTGATTCTCCTGCCTCAGCCCCCTGAGTAGCTGGGATTACAGGTGCGTTCCCCACACCCGGCTACTTTTTGAATTTTTAGTAGAGACAGGGTTTTCCCATGTTGTCCAGGCTGGTCTTGAACTCCTGACCTCAAGTGATCCACTCACCTCAGCCTCCCAAAGGGCTGAGATTACAGGCGTGAACCGCCACGCCCAGCCAGGAATGAACTGTTAATATACAAAACAACATAGTTATCTCACCATAAGCAAAAGAAGTCAAATGAAAAGACTACATATTGTGTGATTCTATTTATATGAAATGTCCGGAATAGGTAAATTTATAGAGACACACAGGCCCAGGCACAGTTGTCAACTGAAGCTACAGATGGGAATGAGGATTGACGGCAAATCAGCACCAGGGGTCATTCTGGACACCATGGAAAGGTTCTAAGACTGTATTGTCATGATAATTACACAACTTTTAAAATTTACTAAAAATATTAGCTGGGCATGGTAGCCCATGCCTGTAGTCTTAACTACTCAGGACGCTGAGGTAGGAGGATGGCTTAAGCCCAGGAGTTCAAGACTACAGTGAGCTACGGTTATGCCACTGTCCTCCAGCCTGGCCAACAGAGCAAGACCCTGTCTCTTTACAAAATAATAAGTGGGCCAGGCATGGTGGCTCAAGCCTGTAATCTTGGCACTTTGAGAAGCTGAGGCTGGCGGATCACCTGAGGTAGGGAGTTCGAGTCCAGCCTGACCAACATGGAGAAACCCCGTCTCTACTAAAAATACAAAAATTAGCCAGGCGTGGTGGTGCATGCCTGTAATCCAGCTACTCAGGAGGCTGAGGCAGGAGAATCACTTGAACCCGGGAGGCGGAGGTTGCAGTGAGCCAAGTTCATGCCATTGCACTCCAGCCTGGGCAACAAAAGTGAAACTCCATCTCAAAAGAATAAAATAAAATAAAATAAGTGGCTCATGCCTGTTATCCCAGCACTTTGGGAGGCCAAGGTGGGTGGGTCACCTGAGGTCAGGAGCTCAAGACCAGCCTGGCCAACATGGTGAAACCCCATCTCTACTAAAAATACAAACATTAGCCAGGCAAGGTGGCATGTGCCTATAGTCCCAGCTACTCAGGAGGCTGAAGCAGGAGAATCGCTTGAACCTGGGAGGCAGAGGTTGCAGGGAGCCGAGACTGCACCACTGCAGTCAAGCCTGGGCCACAGAATGAGACTCCATCTCAAATAAATAAATAAATGAAATAAAATGAAACGAAATAAATTTACTAAAAATTATTGACATGCACATCCAAATGGGTGAATTTTAATAAATTAAAGAAGAATCTGTGTTCAGAACTTGGCTCTACCATTTAGTATCCATGTGATCTAGAGCAACTTATACAGTGACATAACCTCTGTGAGCCTCAATTTCTCCATCTGCGAAATGGAGATGAAACAGAGGCCTGCTGAAGAGTAGATGAGATAATGCAGGTTGTTTCCCCAGCACAGGGCTTGAGAGGTGTCTGAGGAGTTCTTAGGGACTCTCTAGCACCCTGTGCTTTTAGGGAAATCATTTCCACCCAAGTCCCTCCTACGTCCAAGGTCCAACCCTTGTTTTTATTTAAGTTGCTGGTTCCCATATTCCCTTAGGAATATGTTGTTCTCTGCCTTGTCCCCAAATCCCTAGTGCAAGAATATATATATATATATACACATATTTTTTTTTTTGAGATGGGGTCTCGCTCTGTCACCCAGGCTGGAGTGCAGTGGCACAATCTTGGCTCACTGCAACCTCTACCTCCCAGGTTCAAGGGATTCTCCTGCCTCAGATTCCCAAGTAGCTGGGATTACAGGCTTCTGCCACCACACGCAGCTAATATTTTCTATTTTTAGTAGAGATGGGGTTTCACCATGTTGGCCAGGCTGGTCTTGAGCTCCTGACCTCAGGTGATCCACCCGCCTCGGCGTCCCAGAGTGCTGGATTACAGATATGAGCCGACATGCCTGGCCTCCCTGATGCAAGAATTACTCAGACTTTTTCTAGGCCAGAATAAGAGTAGGTCAACCTCGTCCAATCCACAGCTCCAGAAATTGAGGCATTTCCAGAATACTGTACAGAGATGAGAGGCCCTGGCCAAACAAACACATTACCTTTCCACTTTGTATTTTACTTCTCTTTCTTAACAACAACAACAACAAAAAAAAAAACAAAAACAGAAACAGAAACAAAAAAACCTTGGCTTGGCAGTTCTAAGCTAGGGCTGACAGATTCTATAAGAAGTCCCAGAAAACATCTCAGCCTTTGCAATGAACCTTCAGGGAACAAGTGGCCAGTGAGAAGGTGATTCACTTTGATGATAGCTTCCTGATGAGGGCTGGAACCAGCTGGAGGGTTGGTCAGTTTACGACTTCATAGAAGACTCAATAAAAGTCATAAATAAAAGGGCACGTGGGTGTGAGTGCACTTCACAGTGTTGGGAGGCCCCATACGACAGAACACAAGACCGATAATTCTGACTTGGCTCAAGGTTTATCACCTACGCAGTGAAAGGTGCAGACCCCATATGCCTGGGCTGCTTCTCTCCCAGTGGAAATAGATTGAGCCTATGGACTAGGGGGGCCATTTCTCAGATTCCTCAGGCCTTGGATCTGTGGGTAGTGCGGGGTGAGGAATGGCTGCCTTCTCTAATAAAATAAATCTTGGTGCCTCCAAGGTTGACCCTGGATAAGGACACTCCTGGGAGTACACAAGGGATGCCTCCCCTTCCAAACTGCCTGCCCCTCCACCATTCAATCCCAGAGCTGAGCGCTTAGTCTTCTAATCACCTTAGAATAGGTCTCATGTTGTGCTTTCATTCATTCATTTAATAACACTACTATTATTATCAATATTAATAAAGCTGATTCTGAGTTCACCTCCTCTCCTGCAGTAATACAAACTTCAAGGCATTCTGTGATAGTGAGAGTTAAATGAGACAGAGTTGAAAAAAAAAAAAACAACTTAGCACCTGCGGGGCACATAGTTAAGCTCCATAAATGGTAGCTATATAATTTCTGACTATCAAAACCGTTTCTTGGTCTTGCATGGCAGCTCAATCCTGTAATCCCAGGACTTTGAGAGGCCGAGGGAGGAGGATTGCTTGAAGCCAGGAGTTTGAGACCAGCCTAGGCAATATAGCAAAACTACAGCTCTACAAAAAAAAAAAAAAAAAAAACAGGGCCAGGCTCGGTGGCTCACGCCTGTAATCCCAGCACTTTGGGAGGCCAAGGGGAACAGATCATGAGGTCAGGAGTTTGAGACCAGCCTGACCAACATGGTGAAACCCCGTCTCTACTAAAAATACAAAAATTAGCCAGGTGTGGTGGCGCATGCCTGTAATCCCAGCTACTCAGGAGGCTGAGACAGAGGAATTGCTTGAACCTGGGAGGCAGAGGCTGCAGTGAGCTGAGACCATGCCGCTGCACTCCAGTCTGGGCAACAGAGCAAGACTCTGTCTCACAAAAAAGAAAAAAGGAAAGAAAGCCCCAAGACTGTGTAATTTATAAAGGAAAGAAGTTTAATTGACTCACAGTTCTGCATGGCTGGGGAGGCCTCAGGAAACTTACAATCATGGGGGAAGGGGAAGTAGGCACGTCTTACATGGTGGCAGGCCAGAGAGAATGAGCAGGAGCAGGGAAACTGCCCTATAATATCATCACATTTCATGAGCACTCAATCAGTATCACGAGAACAGCATGGGGGAAACTGCCCCCATGATTCAATGACCTCCACTTGGTCCCTCCCTCCATACTTAGGGATTATGGGGATTCCAATTTGAGATAAGACTTGGGTGGGGACACAGGGCCAAAACATACTGTCATGCTACCAGGAATTTTGTCTGTCTCATTTGCCCATATCAGCAGCAAAGGGCCTAGCACCTAGGAGGTGCTCAGAAAACATTTGGTGAATTAATTAATAAGGAAGCTAAGAATCACAGATGTATGGTACATAGTTTCAGTAAAGAACAAGACATTGGAATTGGGGTGACCTGGGTTGCAGCCCCAGCTTTGTTATTTACCTGCTGTGTAACCTCTAAACTTCATCCACAAAGTGGATGTAACTATGGTACCTATCTCCTGAAGTCTGAGGGAGGATGAAGTGAGATAACACTAACAAAAGCATTTGGCAACCAAGACCTCAATAAATGCTAGCTATCTTTATTATAGTTTCAACACATAGCCAAGTCCACATTTGAATTTAATTCATGGAAGAAGAGGAAGAAGAGGAAAAAGAAGAAGAAGGAGGAGGAAGAGGAGGAGGAGAGGAGATGGGGAGGGGGAGGGGGGAGGGAGAGGGGGAGGAGGTAGAGGAAGAAGAGAAGATTGCGGTGATCTCAGGAGTAAGTATCAATGGAAAAAAAGATCCTGGCTTGAAAGCATGTAGAAGACTTGCGAGCAGATGGAAACAACCCAGTCAGGGCCGGAAGTGATGGCTTACACCTGTAGTCCCAGCACTTTGGGAGGCCGAGGCAGGTGGATTGCTTGAGGCCAGGAGTTTGAGACCACCCTGGCCAACATAACAAAACCCCATCTATACTAAAAATACAAAAAATTAAAGTTAAAATTAACTGGGTGTGGTGGCACACACCTGTAGTCTCAGCTACTTAGGAGGCTGAGGCACGAGAATCGCTTGAACCCGGGAGGCAGAGGTTGCAATGAGCCAAGATTGCACTACTGCACTCCAGCCTGGGTGACAAGAGAGAGACTCTGTCAAAAAAGAAAGGAAGGGAAGGGGAGGGGAGGGAAGGGCAGGGAAGGGAAGGGAGAAAGAGAAAGAAAGAAAGAGAGAGAAGAGAAGGGAAGAGAAGAGAAGAGAAGAGAAGAAGGAAGGAAACAACCCAGTTGGTGCCCAATATATTCTTACTGAATTATATCAGTCTCTATAAATGCCGCCAACTGTCTTAAACATTCCAGACTTCTCCTTTTCCTACTCCGGCTAAGGGGAGTTAGATGTTATATTCTTCCCTCCACTCTACACTTTGGGAGTGGCTTTTCAAGTTTTGCATTCAATCTCTTTAAGGACACTCCACATTGATCATATCCAAAATGTCTGGATTGAATGTTCCTCAGATCCAGTGGTTCTCAAAGTGTAGTTCCCAGACCAGCAGCACCAGCATCAGAATCATCCAGGTACTTATTACACACGCAAATCTTATTTTGGATATGGTGGCTCATGCCTGTAATCCCAACACTTTGAGAGGCCAAGGCAGGTGGATTGCTTGAGCCCAGGAGTTTGAGACCAGCCTGGGCAACATAGAGAGACTCATCTCTACAAAAAATACAAAAATTAGCTAGGCGTGGTGGCACATGCCTGTAGTCCCAGCTACTAGGGAGGCTGAGTGGGGAGGATGGCTTGAGCCCAAGAGGTCGAGGATGCAGTGAGCCGAGATTGCACCACTGCACTCCAGCCTGGGTGACAGAGCAAGACCCTGTCAAAAAAAAAAAAAAAAAAAAAAGCAGATCCCTAGACCTTACCCTCGACCTCCTGAACAAGAAATTCTGGGGGGATGGATCCCAGCGATTTGCATTTTAACACGCCCTCCACGTGGCTCTGAGGTATGGGAAAGTTTTGAGAACTGCAGTTCTAACAAAAAGGCAAACAGGGCAATCAAAAGCTGTTTTCTCTGCTTAGTCCCTGAGTGGTTTCCTGGTTGGTTGGTTGATTTGAGCTGGAGTCTTGCTCTGTCACCCAGGCTGGAATGTAGTGGGGCGATCTCAGCTCACAGCAACCTCTGCCTCCCAGGTTCAAGTGATTCTCCTGTCTCTGCCTCCCAAGTAGCTGGGACTACAGGCGCGTGCCACCACACCCGGCTAATTTTTGTATTTTTAGTAGAGATGGGTTTTCACCATATTGGCCAGGCTGGTCTCGAACTCCTGACCTCGTGATCCACCTGCCTTGGCCTCCCAAAGTGCTGAGATTACAGGAGTGAGCCACTGCGCCTGGCCCGGTTTCCTGGTTTTGAATTGGGAAGAGTGAGATGAAAACAGGACTCCCTGCAGAACAAATGGCTTCTCCAACAAATTGTAATGGAATTTTACATGAGAGGAGCCAGAAAACTGCTGCTCAATTAGTCAGCCAAAAAATATGGAGTACCTACTATATTTCAGGTGCTGCGCAAAGTGCTGGGGGAACCATGGTGAACAAGACCTATGCATCCAGCTCTTCAGGATTGAACACTGGGTGCCAGCAGACTGCATTTCACACACATCAAACTGGCAAAGATAAAAAGTCTGACAAAACCAAATGTCGGAGAAACTGGAATTCTCATGTACTGCAGGTAAGAGTGTAAATTGGTACAACTGTTCTGCAGAGCAACTTGGTGAAATTGAGTAAAGTTGAAGAAGTATAACCCCCACAGCCCAGCAATTCCACTCCTAGGTACATACCCTAGACCAGGAGAAGCTCTATCAGTTTGCACAAGGAGAAATGTACAGGAATGTATATATCTGAGATGGAGTTTTGCTCTTGTTGCCCAGGCTGGAGTGCAGTGGTGTGATCTTAGCTTATCGCAACCTCCACCTCCCAGGTTCAAGCGATTCTCCTGCCTCAGTCTCCCAAGTAGCTGGGATTACAGGCATGCGCCACCACACCCGGCTAATTTTGTATTTTTAGTAGAGATGGGGTTTCTCCATGTTGATTAGGTTGTCTCAAACTCCCAACCTCAGGTGAGGTGCCCACCTCGGCCTCCCAAAGTGCTGGGATTACAGGCATGAGCCGCCGTGCCTGGCCTGTACAGGAATATTTACTACAGCACTGTTTGTAATAGAAAAATAGAAACAGGTCAGGTGCGGTGGCTCAGGCCTATAATCCCAGCAGTTTGGGAGGCCAAGGTGGGTGGATTGCTTGAGCTCAGGAGTTGAAGCCCAGCCTCGACAATATGGTGAAACCCCATCTCTACAAAAAATACAAATATTAGCCAGGCATAGCGGTGCAAGCCTGTTATAATCCCAGCTACTCAGGAAGGCTGGCGTGGGAAGATCGCTTGAGCCTGGGGGGTCGAGGCTGCAGTGAGCCATGATCATACCACTGCACTCCAGCCTGGGTGACAAAGTAAGACCCTGTCTCCAAAAAAAAGAAAGAAGAAAAAAAGAAAAAGAGGGAGAGAAAGAAAGAGAGAAAAAGAGAAAGAGGAAGGAAGGAAGGAAGGAAAGAAGGAAGGGGAGGAGAGGGAGATGGAGGGGAGGGGAGGGGAGGGAAGGGAAGGGAAGGGAAGGGAAGGGAAGGGAAGGGAAGGGAAGGGAAGGGAAGGGAAGGGAAGGGAAGGAAGACGGCCAGGCTCAGTGGCTCACGACTGTAATCCCAGCACTTTGGGAGGCCAAGGTGGGCGGATCACCAGAGGTCAGGAGTTCAAGACCACCCTGGCCAGCATGGCAAAACCCCATCTCTACTAAATATACAAAAATTAGCCAAGTGTGGTGGTGGGTGCTGTAGTCACGGCTACTCGGGAGGCTGAGGCACGAGAATCACTTGAACCCAGGAGGTGGAGTTTGCAGTGAGCCGAGATGGCGCCATTGCACTCCAGCCGGGCAAAAGAGCGAGACTCTGTCTCAAGAAAAAAAAAAAAAAAAAGGAACCTAAATGTCCATCTGCAGAATAGATAGCTTAATTATGATTGAGTTCTACCATGGATGCTAGTACTAACAGATTAACACTAACAATAGTAGAAAATAAATGAAACATAACCTGTATCAACATTAACACTTTGCAAAATCGGCCAGGCCCAGTGGCTCACGCCTGTAATCCCAGCACTTTGGGAAGCCAAGGCGGGCGGATCACCTGAGGTCGGGAGTTCGAGACCAGCCTAACCAACGTGGAGAAACCCCATCTCTACCAAAAATACAAAATTAGCTGGGCATGGTGGCGCCTGCCTGTAATCCCAGCTACTCAGGAGGTTGAGGCAGGAGAATCACTTGAACCTGGGAGGCGGAGGTTGCAGTGAGCTGAAATCACACCATTGCACTCCAGCCTGGGCAACAAGAGTGAATGAAACTCTGTCTCAAAAATAAATAAATAAATAAAAATAAAAATAAATTGCAAAATCATAACAATGAACCAAAAAGCAAGCCATGAGAACAATACATACAGTGGTAGTCTATTTAAAGTGTTTAAATATGCAACATAATGTTATATGTTGATAATGGATAACATATATTCAATAAGAATACAAAATAGGCATGAAATATAAGACACAACTGCAGGATAGAGATCCCATTGGGAAGGAAGGAAGAGAGAAAGGAGCACGAGATTAAGAGGGGTCCACAGAAGGACTTGATTGTCTTTGTTATATTTTTTAAACTGAGTGACGGGTAAATGGTTGTTCACTGTACTGGTCTTTATAGTTTTTTGTGTGCCTGAAATAGTTCAGAATAAAATTATTTTAGGTCACTTTTTTTCTGGGTTTTTTTTCTTATTTCTTTTAAGGAAAGCAACACTAGAGAATAAAATTATTTTAAATAAGCCACTTTGAGTAATTAATGTAAAATTACAAATGTGCAAAGCACTGCAAAGAGGGACTACAGGGTATCATAAGAGGAGATCTGACAAATTATTCTTCCTCTATCTCAACCCTGCCCTTAATCTGGCTTCTTAAAAGTCTTACTATTAACCCCAGCCAATTATAAGTTATTTTAGGTCAGGTGTGGTGGCTCACACCTGTAATCCCAGCACTTTGGGAGGCCGAGGCAGGCAGATTGCTTGAGACCAGGAGTTCAATCCCAGCCTGGACAACATGGAGAAACCCCGTCTCTACTAAAAATACAGAAATTAGCTGGGCGTGGTTGCATGCACTTGTAATCACAGCTACTCAGGAGACTGAGGCATGAAAATCGCTTGAACCCAGGAGGTGGAGGTGCAGTGAGCCAAGATCATGCTACTGTACTCCAGCCTGGGTGATAGAGTGACTCTGTTTCAAAAAAAAAAATTATTTAAAAAAAGTTATTTTATTTTTGTTTGTCCATATTCTCTAATTTTTCTACCCAGAAGATATGCCACTTATATTTCAAAATATCTAAATGATATTTTTAAACAAGGCAATCAAAATCAGCTTACAAAAGTTTGCATAGGATATCTCAATGTTCTATGTATCTAGTATATGCTTATAAGTATAGCTAAATAAGGGGAGGGGAATTCTGGGAGGATTTACATTAAGAAGTCAACAGTCATTATTTCTAGATGGTGCAAGTATTGGAAACTTGTCATTTGCTTCTCTTTTTTTTGTTTTGTTTTGTTTTTTGAGGCAGAGTCTTGCTCTGTCGCCCAGGCTGGAGTGCAGTGGCGCGATCTCGGCTCACTGCAAGCTCCGCCTCCCGGGTTCACGCCATTCTCCTGCCTCAGCCTCCCGAGTAGCTGGGACTACAGGCGCCCGCTACCACACCCAGCTAATTTTTTTGTATTTTTAGTAGAGACAGGGTTTCACCATGTTAGCCAGGATGGTCTCGATCTCCTGACCTCGTGATCCGACCACCTCAGCCTCCCAAAGTGCTGGGATTACAGGCGTGACCACTGCACCTGACCTCTTTTTTTTTTTTTTTTTTTTGAGATGAAGTTTTGTTCTTGTTACCCAGGCTGGAGTGCAATGGTGTCATCTTGGCTCACAGCAACCTCTGCCTCCCAGGTTCAAGCAATTCTCCTGCCTCAGTCTCCCGAGTAGCTGGGACGTGCCACCACACCCAGCTAAATATATATATATATATTTATATTTAGTAGAGACAGGGTTTCTCCATGTTGGTCAGGCTGGTCTCGAACTCCCGACCTCAGGTGATCCGCCCACCTCAGCCTCCCAAAGTGCTGGGATTACAGATGTTATATGCTTCTTATATAGCAATATCCATTGTTTTCATCAATTCATTTCCTTCTCTTTCTTTTGGAACAGAATCACCACTCCCTGTGGAGGACCTATTTAAGTGGACCATTCCTTGATTTCATCTCCCCTGGCCATTGACTCACTGATCTGGCCAATCAGAGCACCTCATCCCCAACCACAGGGATTGGTTCAAGGATGCACAGGTGGTACAGCCCCAACCACAGGGACTGGTTCAAGGATGCACACGTGGTACATCTTCACCCAATCAAGTCCCTCCCTGAGACTTTCCTATCTGAGCACTGAGAAGAGCCTCTTCCTTTCTAGTAGCATTGTTCAGTTGGTGGAGATTAATCTGGAATTGATAATGTCTACCTTTTCCACCATCTGGAGAAGGCCTATTCATGAAATAGAGACAGAGCAAGCAAGATGGCATTCCGCTAATAACGTTTGAGCCCTGGATACAGCCATGCCTGATCCACCTCTGTGACAGCCTTGTTCTGTGGGCCAATATATTCTCTTGAATCATCTAAACCAGTTTGCAATTGATTTCTGACACTTTCAGCTGAATGAGTTCTGACTTTTTATATTTTTTCTGTTAGCTTGACTATATTCATCGCTCATGACTTCTGACTTTTACACTTTCATTTTGTTCCCATCTATTTTCTATATTTTCCACAATGAGCTTGTATCACACGTAGAATATGTCTCAGACTCTCTTTTTTAAAGCAATAAAAGAAATGGCAGATTAGCATTTGACTGCAGAGGGCTGGCTCACAGACACTTTTCACCTAAGGCGTAGGTTGGGCCTGCCTAATCTGGGGGACACCATGGGTTGCCTCTGGCTCCTCTGAGGTCCCCAGGCCTGACTCACTGCTTCCAAACTAAAGACTTTACTCTCCCAAATCAAGAGCACTGCCAAAGACACCTTTGCTGGTTTCCCCCCCTCACACCCCTTGGTCCCTGCTTTAAAGTGGTAATTAGCATAGAGCTGGGTGTCTTTTTCCCTGTGGGAGAAACAGTCCTTAACAGTGTGAAGTGGAACGGAGTGTGGGTGGCCTTAACAAGGAGCTAAGGAAGCTTATGTAAGTGGCATTATTATATATGATTATATCACCGGTATAAGAGAAACTCATTCCTGTCTGGGTGTTATACCGATCATATTGTTTTAGGCTTAAGTGGAATGAAATGATGAGGAAAAACCATGAGAGCCTCCAGCAACCCAAGGTTGTTCTTGCTCCTTCTCTCAACCCCAGAATAACATCAACACTTACTCAGCCTTACTATGTTCCAGACACTGTCCTAAACTCCTTCTGTATATTAAATCCTCATTGAAATTTCATGAGGGGAGAATCATTATTATCCCCATTTTACAGATGGAAAAACTGAGTTACCAGGAAATTTCATAATTTGCCCGAGATTTCATAATTTGCCCAATATCTCATGGCTGGCAAGTGGGAGAGCCAAGATCCCAACCCATGCCATCCAATCCCGATGTCCACATTCAAAACCTCTCAGAAAAGACAACACTGAAGCTGTGCACAAAACCAGAAATCAACCAGCCAGGTCTCTCCATGTCGTCAAATACACAACAAATTTATTAATGGGTTTGGGGGGGTGGGAAAATCAACCTCACTGGGGTTTTTGGGGTGGTTTTGGGTTGGGTTTTTTTTTTTTTTTTTTTTGAGACGGAGTGCTAGGATTACAGGCATGAGCCACCACGCCCAGCTATTTTTCAAACCATTTTAGATGGTTCATGTGCTTTCTAGTTTACCATAGTCCCCACCACTCTCTAATGTCTTACACTTGGCCCACATCACTCATTTACAGGGAATCTGACTGAATTAGCAGCCTCTGATGCAGGGAATGGTTGATAACAAAAGGAGAAGAAAACTTTCTTGTTGGCTTCGAAAGAATAACTGGGTAATCATAATAGTTAAAATATGTTGAGTATTTATGCCAGATCTTGTACCAAATGTTTTACACACCTTGTCTCATTTGATTGTAGTAACAATCCCATGAGAGGTTAAGTGATGCGTGGCCACAAGAATGCACCTGCCACCGACCTCCAGCTATGGGGAGCATAAGAGAGCAAGGGCCCAGGTAGATTTAAAATCCATCTCACCCATCAATAGTGTATGGCAGCAGAGAAACTAAGGCAGCTCATTCCTAGAAAACACAGGGGCCCTTGACAACTGACTTTGGAAACCCCAATTTTCATTAGACCGCACAGCACGGACAGTTCCACCAACATTCTCTCTTCTCCTCCCTTGGAGTCAGGCTTCATCACTGTCTAACTCCTTTCACACAAGGGTTTCCCCTAACAAAACCCTTGCATGTTAGGCCAGGTGCGGTGGCTCACACCTGTAATCCCAGCACTTTGGGAGGCCAAGGCGGGTGAATCATGAGGTCAGGAGATCGAGACCATCCTGGCTAACACGGTGAAACCACGTCTCTACTAAAAATACAAAAAAATTAGCCGGGCATGGTGGCAGGCGCCTGTAGTCCCAGCTACTCAGGAGGCTGAGGCAGGAGAATGGCGTGAACCCGGGAGGTGGAGCTTGCAGTGAGCTGAGATCGTGCCACTGCACTCCAGCCTGGGCGACAGAGTGAGACTCCGTCTCAAAAAAAAAAAAAATCCTTGCATGTTGAGTCTCAAAGCAAGCTCTGCTTCTCGGAGGACCCAGACTGACACAAGGAGATTTCCTAAGGCCTCACACCAAGCAAGGATAGAACCAGGATTGGAACTGAGGCCACAAGCCAGAACTCTGAACCACTACCTCAAAATTTTCTTGTCCATGGATTCTTATTTTCTCAAATTTCTTGGTCCAGAACACCAGAACAGCTGGAGATTTCCATCTGGATCCAAGAGTGAACCAAAGGCAAAAGGGACAGTTTTTTGTTTTTGTTGTTTTGGCTGGGTTAATAGCTTTATAACTTTTTTTTTTAGACAGTGAGTCTCCCTCTGTCACCCAGGCTGGAGTGCAGTGGTACTATCTTGGCTTGCTGCAACTTCCACCTCCCTGGTTCAAGTGATCCTCCTCCCTCAGCCTCCCAAGTAGCTGGGATTACAGGCACATGCCACCATACCCGGCTAATTTTTGTATTTTTAGTAGAAACGGGGCTTCACCATGTTGACCAGGCTGGTCTCCAACTCCTGACCTCAGGTGATCCGCCCACCTCGGCCTCCCAAAGTGCTGGCATTACAAATGTGAGCCACCACGCCCAGCCTGATAGCCTTGACACCTCAAAATATCTAGCAAAGACAAACATAAAACCAAGATAAAAATGTATGTTGCCAATTCTGAAGACATTTCTATTTGTATTTACCAATAATTTTAAAGCTAGCTAGTTTCGTAAAGATTTACTTAAGTCACGTGAACCTGAAAATTGCTTGGACTTATTAAGTTATGAGCACTCTCTTACTTATAAGCCAATGTGGTAGGCACAACATATAACAGTAAGTCTACATACAAATAAACACATTTAGACATGTATACACGCACACAAATGAAGATCCAAATGGCTTTTACCTTGGAACTCTAGCCATGAGATAGCAATACAAGCTCGCCGGTTTTACATGGTTACACTCTGTTTGCCCCAGTAGGTAATCCAGTGAAGGCTGTGAACCAAAATTTTGGGGTAAAGCAGTTTCCATGCCAGTTTGATTTTTAAATTCCAAAGAACACCGGGGCCAAACAGCACCAAAAGAGAGTACCACATGCTAACCAGGCCTGACCCTGCTTAGAACAGCAGCACAAAAGCTTGGATACATACAACACCATCCCACTTTCCCATTCAACAACAAACTCCAGATTCCAAGCAATATTGGGGACAAACTATTGCAAAAGAATATCAAGCATTTCCTCCTTAGATTATTGGGGTCAAATTGATACCAGTGGTTGAGGATGCAGCCAAGCGGGGGATCAGGTAGCATAGATGGAGTCTTTCCCGTTATTGTCCCCTGGCTGGAACGCCAAAATATGTTACCAGTGGAGGGTGTCCAGGTTCTTGGCAGTTTGAACAAAGACTCAGACAAAACATACAAAGCAATGAAAGAGTAAATCAATGAAAGCACAGATTTGCCGGATGCAGTGGCTCACGTCTGTAATTCTAGCACTTTGGGAGGCTGAGGCAGGTGGATCACGAGGTCAGGAGATCAAGACCATCCTGGCTAACACGGTGAAACCCCGTCTCTACTAAAATACAAAAAATTAGCCGGGCATGGTGGTGAGCGCCTGTAGTCCCAACTACTCGGGAGGCTGAGGCAGGAGAATGGCATGAACCCTGGAGGTGGAGCTTGCAGTGAGCCGAGATCGCGCCACTGCACTCCAGCCTGGGCAACAGAGCGAGACGCCATCTCAAAAAACAAACAAACAAACAAAAAGAAAGCACAGAGTTATTGAAGCAAAAGTACACTCCACAGAGTGGGAATGGGCTCAAGCAAGCAGCTCAAGAGCCAAGAGGGAGAGTTTTGAACCCCCAAAGCCAGGCACAATATTCATTCCTAGATCCTAGTAGGCTCCACAGCAATCAGGAAAGTGCATCGGCTGCCCAGAGCACAAGAAGGAAACACAGGTAACTGACAAGTGGACATATGTCTATGATTCTCCTTTCCTATAGTCCTGCAGAAAAGTCAGCCCCTCCCCCAGGACTGGGGCAACACAAGGCCATGAACAATAAGAGAGAGCACTTGACTAGGAGTCTGGTGATGCACCCAGCCTGCCCCACAAAGATGAAGCAGATAGCAGGGTGAAGAGCTTTGTAGTCCATGAAGTATTTTCATGTCCACTATCACACTATTGGATTCTTTTGTCCACTATCACACTATTGGATTCTTTTTTTTTTTTTTTTTTCTGAGATGGAGTCTTGCTCTGTCGCCCAGGCTGGAATGCAGTGGCCTGATCTCGGCTCACTGAAACCTCTGCCTCCCGGATTCAAGCAATTCTCCTGCCTCAGCCTCCCAAGTAGCTGGGATTACAGGCATGTGCCACCACACTCAACTAATTTTTGTATTTTTAGCAGAGACGGGGTTTCTCCATATTGGCCAGGCTGGTCTTGAACTCGTGACTTCAGGTGATCCACCTGTCTCGGCCTCCCAAAGTGCTGGGATTACAGGCATGAGCCACTGCGCCCAGCCTGCTCTACACTTTGAGGCCTGCTTTCTGTTAGCTAAAATACAGAAAAGTCTTAGAAACATACTAGTATCAAATTGAGCTATTGTCCTTGGTGTAAGCAGATTAAAAGGGAACTGAAATGAGATTGATAGTTTCACTTCAAAATGCATCCCAGACCAGAGCTCTTCCTAACCTCAGCAGGGGTACCACCTTACTGCAAGTCCCCATTATCTCTCTCCTAGCTTTTAGCTACTCAAAATGTGGTCCAGGACCAGCAGCACTGGCATCACCTGGGAGCTAGTCAGAGATGCAGACTCCAGACGCAGACTCCAGGGGCAGGAGGCTGAGTTTTAACAACCCCTGCATGAAATTCTCATGCATGGTTAAAATTGAGAACCACTGCCCTAGATTACAACAACCTTCTAAGGGGTCTACATGATTCTATTCTGCCCACTACCCTGCATCCACCAACATGTCTTAGAGGTAGGAGGCAGGACTCAACTCCAGAGGTGGGGCTCAGACACCAGACCAAATTGAAGACTAGCTATAAAACAGGGCCCCTCTCCCTCCCCCTCCCCCTCCCCTCTCCCTCCCCCTCCCCCTCCCCCTCCCGTCTCCCTCTCCCGTCTCCGTCTCCCACTTTCCATGGTCTCCCTCTGATGCCAAGCTGAGGCTGGACTGTACTGCCGCCATCTCGGCTCACTGCAACCTCCCTGCCTGATTCTCCTGCCTCAGGCTGCTGAGTGCCTGGGATTGCAGGCGCACACCGCCACGCCTGACTGGTTTTTGTATTTTTTGGTGGAGACGGGGTTTCGCCATGTTGGCCAGGCTGGTCTCCAGCTCCTGACCGCGAGTGATCTGCCCGCCTGGGCCTCCCGAGGTGCCGGGATTGCAGATGGAGTCTTGCTCACTCAGTGCTCAGTGTTGCCCAGGCTGGAGTGCAGTGGCGTGATCTCGGCTCACTACAACCTCCACCTCCCAGCCGCCTGCCTTGGCCTCCCAAAGTGCCGAGATTGCAGCCTCTGCCCAGCCGCCACCCCGTCTGGAAAGTGAGGAGTGTCTCTGCCTGGCCACCCATCGTCTGGGATGTGAGGAGCCCCTCTGCCCAGCCGCCCAGTCTGGGAAGTGAGGAGCGCCTCTTCCCGGCCACCATCCTGTCTAGGAAGTGAGGAGCGTCTATGCCCGGCCACCCATCATCTGAGATGTGGGGAGTGCCTCTGCCCCGCTGCCCCATCTGGGATGTGAGGAGCGCCTCTGCCCGGCCGCGACCCCGTCTGGGATCTGAGGAGTGTCTCTGCCCGACCGCCACCCCGTCTGGGAGGTGAGGAGTGTCTCTGCCCGGCCACCCCGTCTGAGAAGTGAGGAGCCCCTCCGCCCGGCAGCTGCCCTGTCTGGGAAGTGAGGAGCCCCTCCGCCTGGCAGCCGCCCCGTCCAGGAGGTGGGGGGCAGCCCCCGCTCGGCCAGCCGCCCTGTCCGGGAGGGAGGTGGGGGCAGCCCCCACCCGGCCAGCCGCCCCATCCGGGAGGTGGGGGGCGCCTCTGCCCCGCCGCCCCGTCTGGGAAGTGAGGAGCCCCTCTGCCCGGCCGCCACCCCATCTGGGAGGTGTACCCAGCAGCTCATTGGGAACGGGCCATGGTGACGACGGCGGTTTTGTCAAGTAGAAAAGGGAGAAATGTGGGGAAAAGAAAGAGAGATCAGATTGTTGCTGTGTCTGTGTAGAAAGAAGTAGACATAGGAGACTCCATTTTGTTCTGTACTAAGAAAAATTCTTCTGCCTTGGGATGCTGTTAATCTGTAACCTTACCCCCAACCCTGTGCTCTCTGAAACATGTGCTGTGTCCACTCAGGGTTAAATGGATTAAGGGCGGTGCAAGATGTGCTTTGTTAAACAAGATGCTTGAAGGCAGCATGCTCCTTAAGAGTCATCACCACTCCCTAATCTCAAGTACCCAGGGACACAAACACTGCAGAAAGCCACAGGGCCCTCTGCCTAGGAAAACCAGAGACCCTTGTTCACATGTTTATCTGCTGACCTTCCCTCCACTATTGTCCTATGACCCTGCCAAATCCCCCTCTCCGAGAAACACCCAAGAATGATCAATAAATACTAAAAAAAAAAAAAAAAAAAAAAAAACAGGGCCAAAGTGGAAGCAGCTTTCCAACAGACACTCTCACCAGCGTGGCATGTCAGTTTACCATTGCCATGGCAACACCCAGGAGTTACTGCCCCTTACCATGGCAATGACCCAACAACCCGGAAGTTACCACCTTTTTTCTAGAAATGTCTGCATAAATCCCCCCTTAATTTGCATATCATTAAAAGTGGGTATAAATATGACTGCAGAACTGCCTCTGAGCTGCTACTCTGGGCACACTGCCTATGGGGTAGCCCTGCTCTGTGAGGAGCAGTCCCTCTGCTGCTGCTGTGCACTGCTGCTTCAATAAAAGTGTCTAGGCCAGGCATGGTGGCTCACACCTGTAATCCCAGCACTTTGGGAGGGGGTGGATCACCTAAGGTCAGGAGTTCAAAACCAACCTGGCCAACATGGTGAAACCCTGTCTTTACTAAAAATACAAAAAAATATTAGCCAGACATGGTGGTGGGTGCCTGTAATCCCAGCTACTCTGGAGGCTGAGGCAGGACAATCACTTGAACCCAGGAGGCAGAGGTTGGAATGAGCAGAGATCTTGCCATTGCACTCCAGCACAGGTGACAAGAGTGAAAACTGTCTCAAAAAAATAAAAGTGTCTACCACCACCGCTCACCCTGGAATTCTTTCCTGGGTGAAGCCAAGAACCCTCCCAAGCTAAGCCCCAACTTTGGGGCTTACTTGTCCTGCATCACCTTCTCCACACAGCAGCCAGAGTCGTCTTTCTAAAAGCATAAATTTTACCATGTTGCTTCCCTGCTTAACCTCCATAGGCTTTCACTGGATTTAAAATAAAATCCAAACTTCTTCCTTTCCCTGCAAGAGTCAAGAGTTTCCCTCTCTGAAATCTATATCTTACCACCATCCTCCTTCATGCTGTGCTCCAGACACTCCAGCCTTGTGCAAGTCCCTCACATTGCCCGAGGAACACTCCTTCCTCCGGGCCTTTGCAGGTATTGTTCTGTCGGCCTGGAAACCTACTCAGCCAGCATTCCCGTCGTTCACTCCCTCATTGCATTGAGTCCCTAACCAAATCCTACCTCCTCAGAGGACAAGACCCTGACCACTCCCATCACAAGGATGCACCTCTTAGTGTGACTAGCTCATCCCAGTTTGTCCAGGGCTGCCCCAGCCTTAAAACTGAATGTCCCCAGCAAACTGGTGGTTGTCCACCCTGCAGTCCCCTCCACTCTCTGTGACATTGCCCTACTTTGTCCCCCATCATGTAGCATCTTCATATCTGTTCTTATTTGCTCTCCTGCTCCCTCACTAGAATCAGAACCCCATGAAGGGCAAGGAGTTCAAGATGTTCTGTTCACTGCTGTATTCCTGGCACCTAGAACAGTGCCTGGCACATAACTGGCACCTAATTCATATGATTGACAAAAATATCAAAAGAATGAGCACCGTGGCCTATTTAACCTATTGCTCACAGTTTAGTTGTTTCTCCTGTTTGGCAGCAATGCATAAGGCTCTCTCCAGATTTAAAATTATTTCCTTGGGCTAGATTGCCAAAAATTGACTTATTGGGCCAATGAGGATGCCCATGTTTAAGGTTTTGCTACCCAGTGTCAAACTGTTTCCCAAAATAATCAGATTTCCAATTCCCACTGCCAGGGTTCTTGCACCTATTTCATTCCACCAAGGCCAAAGCCAGGATTCTCATTTTCAGAATCTTTATGAGGTGAAAATATAACGGTTTGTTGTTTTAATTTGCATTTCTTTGATTACTAGTTAGGCTGACTTTTCCCATGTGCTTAGCTAATTGCATTTTCTCTTTAGTGAGTTGACTGTTCGCACCCCTTTGCTTGTTTTTCTACCCAGATTCAGGGACTTGTCTTAGTGATCTGTTTGAATTCTTTGAAACATAATTATGTTAGCCCTTTCCCTTCACACATTGAAGACTTCATTCTATGAATTTTCTGGTCTCTTGTCAATTGTGTCCCTTCCATATTTCCTTACACCTTTTTACATGTTTACACCTCATTTTGCACTTCTCTTTTCACTTATCTCTTTTAGTTTTTTTTGGTTTTGTTTTTTTTTTTTGGTTTTTTTTTAGAAACACAAGGTCTTGTTCTGTCACCCAAGCTGGAGTGGCACCATCAAAGCTCACTGCAGCCTCAAACTTCAAACTGCTGGGCATAAGCAATCCTCCCACCTCAGCCTCCCAAATAGCTGGAACTGCAGGTGTGCGCCACCACATCAGGCTAATTTTTTGTTTTTATTTTTGCAGAAACAGGGCCTCCCTATGTTGCCCATGGTGGTCTCAAACTCCTGGCCTCAAGTGATCCACCTGCCTCAGCCTCAAAAAGTGCTGGGATTACAAGCATGAGCCACTGTGCCTGGCCCAGATTTTCTTTCATAGTCAGTTATTGAACAGGTGCTTAGAGAAACTGTCTTATGGTTTTCCGTCTCATTCAGAGGAAGATATTTTTCTCACAATCATCTATAAGGCCTTTCATGACCTCTCCCTTACCCCCACCCATAGGACCTCTTTGACCTCAGTTCCTGTCTTTCTGCCCCTGGATCTCCCTGCTGTGACCTTTCTGGCCTCCCCGCTGGTCCTCAAACACAGACACTCATTGCACTCTCTCCTCAGAGCCTTTGCACTAACATTTCCTCTCCCTGGAAGGTTCTCTCCCCAGGTGTCTATCCGTCACTTCCTTCAGGTCCCTACTCAAAAGTCACATCAATAAGTTCTTCTGGGAAGGCGTGGTGGCTTGTGCCTGTAATCCCAACACTTTGGGATGCTGAGGCGGGAGTATCACTTGGGCCTAGGAGGTTGAGACCAGCCTGAGCAACATAGCAAGACCCTGTCTCTACAAAAACAGAAAATAGCCGGGTGTGATGGCACACACCTATAGTCCCAGCTACTCAGGAGACTGAAGTGGGAAGTTCACTTGAGCCCACAGTTCAAGGATGCAGTGAGCTATGATTGCACCACTGCCCTCCAGCCTGGGTGACAGAGTGAGACCCTGTCTCTAAAAACAAATAAATAAATAAGCTATTTCCTGGCCACCTTATCTAAAATCTCTGTCCCTGTGGTAGACAGAATAATTCACAACTACCCCCTCCCCAAATATGTCCACATGCTGATACCCAGAACCTGTGAATGTTACTTTACATGGTAAAAAGGAGGTTGCAGATGTGATTAAAGTAAGGATTTTGAGATGAGGAGATTATCCTAGATTATCTGTATGGCTCAATCTAATTGCAAAGGCTCTTATAAAAGGGAAGCAAGAGGGTCAGAGACTGAGGAGTGATGTAGATCAGAATGACGTAGGGCCATGATCCAAGGAATGCAGGAAGCCTCTAGAAACCAGAAAAGGCAAGGAAATGGTTTCTCCCCTAGAGCTTCCCGAAGAAATACAGCCCTGCTGATCCATTTTAGAGTTCTGACCTCCAGAACTATAAGATAACACATATGGGTTGTTTAAAGCCCCTAGATTCATGCTGTAATTTGTTATAGCAGAAAAAACTAGGAAACCAATATCCCTAACATCCCCTCATCCTCCTTCTCTGCTTTGTTTATCCTTAGCTTTCACAGCTCTCTAAGTTCCTATAATATTATCTATTTCTTTTTTACTTTTTCCTACCGCAGTAGAATCTCAGCTCCATGAGGGCAGGGGCTTTTGTCTGTTTTGTTCACTGTTATATCTCCAGTACCTTGGACAGTGCTTGGCACACTTAGGTGCTCACTGTGCTGAGTGAATGGATAAAGGAAGGAGAATGAAGGAACCTTTTGCTTTCTTTTTATTTCGAGATGGAGTCTTGCTCTGTCACCCAGGCTGGAGTGCAGTGGCGTAATCTCAGCTCACTACAACCTCCACCTCTTGGGTTCAAGCGATTCTCCTGCCTCAGCCTCCAGAGTAGCTGGGATTACAGGTGCCTGCCACTACGTTCCACTAATTTGTTAATTAGTGGGGTGTGGTGGTGCATGCCTGTAGTCCCAGCTACTCAGGAGGCCGAGGCAGGAGGGCCACCTGAGCCCACGAGGTTGAGGCTGTGGTGAACTATGATTGTGCCACTGTACTCCAGCCTGGGCAAGAGAGTAAGAGCCTGTCTTTAAAAAAGGAGAGAACTAGCTGGGCGCAGTGGCTCATGCCTGTTACCCCAGCACTTTGGGAGGCTGAAGTGGGAAGATCACCTGAGGTCAGGAGTTCAAGACTAGCCTGGCCAACATGGTGAAACCCCGTCTCTACTAAAAATACAAAAATTAGCTGAGCATGGTGGCGGGTGCCTGTAATCCCAGCTACTCGGGAGGCTGAGGCAGAAGAATCCCTTGAACCTGGGAAGCAAAGATTGCAGTGAGCCGAGATCGGGCAATTGCACTCCAGCCTGGGCGACAAGAGCTAGACTCCCCATCTCAAAAAATAAATAAATAAATAAAAATAAAAAATAAAAAGGAGAGAACTGAACTGACATTGTTGAATACCTATTGTGTGCCAACACTACACTTCAGATATTCAATCTCACTGGAACTTCGCAACTAGTCTGCAAGATGGGCATTATCGCCACCCACTGCTCCACTGCCCTGAACTGCCCTTCCCTGATTAGGGAAGCCAGTTTCCCTACTGGGAGTGGGAAATGGCTAACAGAAACCCTTTGGGAAAACCCCACCATGCATTTCAGTTACCTTCAAAGACATCCACCTGGGAGGCTGTCTGCTGGCTCTTCCTGCTCATTTTTCTTCTCCCTGACCTCCTTCTTTCCCTCCCACTCTCTCCTCCTCTCCTTTGCCCTCTCTTTCCCCCTTCTCATCCTTTTCCAGGAAATCCTGGAGCCACTTCGCCAGTCTGTTCAGATCCTGCCAAAGTCTTGTCTCAGAGATTTTTTAACACAGGAAAATCTGTGTTTTCCCCCACAGGAATGGGTGATGGCAGATGGCTGCACAGATCCACTCTGAAAAGGGGAGGGCCACCTCCCACAGGCCCCGCCACATCTAGACTCCAGCTTCCTGAGACATGAATCAGAGGAACTCAGCAATGGAACTCCCAGAAAAATCCATCTGATAACTTCAGCTTTCAAGATGTTCTTGCAGAAGATGGGGACAGAGCTCTGGACTTACCCAAATACCGTGGTAGAAAGTCTAAAAGACTGGGTTCACAGGGCTAGGCATGGTGGCTCACAACTGTAATCCCAACATTTTGGGAGACAGAGGTGGGAGGATCACTTTGCCACAGGAGTTTGAGGCCAGCTAGGCAATATAGTGAGACCCCCATCTCTACAATAAAAATCTAAAAATTAGCCAGGCATGGTTGTGTGCACCTGTAGTCCCAGCTCCTCAGGAGGCTGAGGCAGGAGAATCGCTTGAGCCTAGGGTGTTGAGGCTGCAGTGAGCTATGATCACACCACTGCATCCCAGCCTGGGTGACAGAGCAAGACCCTGATATATATATATATATATATATATATATATATATATATATATATATATATATATATAGAGAGAGAGAGAGAGAGAGAGAGAGAGAGAGAGAGAGAGAGAGAGAGAGACTGGGTTCACATCCTGACCCCAGCTCATAACTTCATGACTTCAGGCAAGTGGCTTAATTGCTCTGAGTCCAATTTCTTCATCTGTAAAATGAATGTAATGATTCTTTCTGGAAAGGTCACCACAAGGATTAATAAAAACATCACTAGCACCATGTCTTGCATACAGTAAATGCTCAATAAGTGGTAACAATAATCAGTGATCTGTCAACTCCTTGAGGTCAAGGACCATGGCTGAGAATGTCTCATTCCCAGCCTGTATTAGTCAGGGTTCTCTAGAGGGACAGAACTAATAGGATATATGTGTATATGAAAGGGAGTGTATTAAGGAGAATTGACTCACACAATCACAAGGTAAAGTCCCACGATAGGCCGTCTGCAAGTTGAGGAGCAAGGAAGCCAGTAGTGGATCAGTCCAAGTCCCAACACCTCAAAAGTGGGGAAGCAGACGGTGCAGCCTTCAGTCTGTGGCCTAAGGTCCGAGAGCCCCTGGCAAACACTGGTGTAGGTCTAAGAGTCCAAAAACTGAAGACTTTGAGTCTTATGTTGGGCAGGAAGCATCCAGCATGGGAGAAAGATGAAGGCCAGAAGACTCAGCAAGTCAAGTCCTTCCATGTTCATCTTCCTGCTTTTATTCTGGCCATGCTGGCAGCTGATTAGATGGTATCCACCCAGATTGAGGGTGGGTCTGCCTTTCCCAGTCCATTGACTCAAATCTTCATCTCCTTTGGCAACACCCTCACAGACACCCAGGAACAATACTTTGCATCCTTCAATCCAATCAAGTTGACACTCAGTATTAACCATCACACAGTCCCATCCCCAGTGCTCAGAGTTTTGTAGATTCTGAATAAGTATTGGTAATATATACACATTCATCTTTTTCTTTAAATACATATAATGATGCTGAGCTCCCTCCAGACAAATGAGAACTGATGTGTTGCTTCTTAGGTGCCAGGACCGGGATGAGGGAGAGGCAAGTGAGACATTCTCCCCGGGAGCAAAATTTAAGGAGGCACCAAAAACCCAGTCATCAAGATAAATAACACTTGGATGCAATATGTTTAAAAACGAAAAAGAATGAAAAAATTAATGCAAAATTAATGCAAAAATACCCATGATAAACAAATATCACAGTCTTCAGGAAATGATTGGTATTACTAACTTTTCCTTTGGCTCCTGGCACCAGAGTGCCAGGCATCATTGAAGTGCTTTTAAAATACAAACTCATTCTTTTTTCTTCTTCTTCTTTTAAGACAGGGTCTCACTACATCACCCAGGTTGGAGTGCAGTGGCTCACTGCAGCCTCAAACTCCTGGGCTAAGTGATCCTCCCACCTCGGCCTCCTGAGGAGCTGGGACTACAGGTGGATTCCACCATGCCCAGTTAAGTTTCTTTTTTTTTTTTGAGATGGAGTCTCTCACTCTGTCACCCAGGCTACAGTGCAATGGCATGGTCTCGGCTCACTGCAACCTCTGCCTCCCAGGTTCAAGCGATTCTCCTGCCTCAGCCTCCTGAGTAGCTGGGACTACAGGCACGTGCCACCACACCCGGTTAATTTTTCGGCTAATTTTTGTATTTTTAGTAGAGACGGGTTTCACTATGTTGGCCTGGCTGGTCTCAAACTCCTGACCTTGTGATCCACCTTCCTCGGCCTCCCAAAGTGCTGGGATTACAGGCATGAGCCACTGCACCCACCCATTCAATCCTTATAACAAGGCTGCAATGTAGCCATTTTTTCAGATGAGGAAAGGGAGGCCCAGGGAAGTGAGATAACTTGCCCAAGGTCATTCAGCTTGTAAGTGGCAGAGCTTGGACTTGAACCCAGGCAGTCTTCATTCAGAGTCCAGGTTCCTAACCACTCTCCTGTGGCTGTGTGTGATATATCTCTGCCCAAAGGGTCCTGTGTCAGTACATCCTAGACAAAGCTTTGGTGTTTGAGCAGTACCCTCGTCTTTCATTCAAATTGCAGACATGCAGGGGCCCCTGCCATGCTCCAGCCCCTGGGCTGGACTCTGCAGACAGAGAAATAGCTACAAAACAGCACCTGTTCTTAGACGCACCAGTGTCTCACATGACAAGTGTAGGGCTCCTGTCGACTGCTCTCAGAGATCTGGACAAGTGGTCTGTGAGGCTAGAGGAGGACATGACTAATTCTGCTTTAGCCAGGAGGTCCCTTGAAATTCAGAGGAGCTTTCCGGCTTCCCCATTCTGTGACAACTGACGCACTTTTGAGAGATGAGTAAGAGGTTGTCAGCCAGAGAAGACAAAACAGTGCTGTCCCCATTTGACAAAGACGGAAACTCAGCTCCAAGGCACACCACTTAAGTGTGCCTCGAGTGACACTGTGACGACCTCTCCATGTTTACTTCCAGTTCATTGTGGGTGGCTAACTGGCCCTCAACTCTTCGATCAAGACCCTGAATGAACGGCACAAAATGATGCTTAAGAGCATTAAGTCAGAGAGCTATGAACCCAATCCACACTCAGCACTTTTTAAACTGGGTGACCTGAAGCAAGCCACATAGTCTCTCTGAGCCTGTTTCTTCATCAGTATAATAGGGACAGGGATGCTGACCCCACAATCGTTGTGGGGATTAAATAAAATAAAGTACTTAGCACAGTTCCAGAGAAATGGAAAGCACTCAATATGTGGTAGATACACATTTATCACAAATACACAAAAACCCATTAGTTTCAAAAATGGGTTGCAAGCCAGGCACGGTAGCTAAAGCCCCATCTCCTCAAGAGGCTGAAGAGAGAGGATCACTTGAGCCCAGAAGTTTGAGTCCAGCCTAGGCAACACGGCGAAACATAGTCTCAAACAAAAAGGAAAAAAATGGGTTGCAGTGTAACCTGTGCTTATACAACAGTCCAGCAACTCAGTCCCTTGATGAGAAAGTGAAATTGCCTGTTGGATGTAAGGAGCAGTACGCTCGTTGAGAAATTCAAGCACAAATATGGCATTCACCTGAAAAGCTAGGGCAGCTAAGGTCGCACATTAGAATCACCTGTGCGCACTCCCAGGGAATATGTTTTCATTGGACTGGAGGAGGCTCAACTGCATTGTTTTGTAAGGTTTTCCCAGGCGATTCCATAGGCAGCCAGGGGTTAGAGCGCCCCAGAGAATGGGAGGGAAGCAATTACTCTGGGGCAGAGGTTCTGACAGAGGGCAGGAGCCGGTAATGACCTGGTAACAGATTTATGGATGTCCACTTGAACTAATGCTCATCACAACACCTTCCTGTTTCATGCATTTCTTTTTCTTTTTTTTTTTTTTAGTTTGAGACAGAATCTTGCTCTGTCGCCCAGGCTGGAGTGCAGTGGCGTGATCTCAGTTCACTATAACCTCTGCCTTCCAGGTTCAAGCAATTCTCCCTGCCTCAGCCTCCTGAGTAGCGGAGATTACAGGCGCCCACCACCATGCCCAGCTAACTTTTGTATTTTTTAGTAGAGACGGGGTTTCGCCATGTTGGCCAGGCTGGTCTCAAACTCCTGACCTTAGGTGATCTGCCCACCTTGTCCTCCCAAAGTGCTGGGATTACAGGCATGAGCCACTGTGCCCAGCCTGTTTCATGCATTTTCTATGTGAATATTCTATATCATCATCTTAGGTTTTTACTGTGGGGAATTTGAAACATATACTAAGTAAACAGTATACTGTGTACTGTGTCTGCCTGGGTCGTGACACAGTTCCCCATACCATCAACTCACAGTCATTCGTGCTGTGTCCAAACGTCAAGACTTTGTCTAGCTCCACCAGTATTTTAAAACAAATGCCAGCATGAAATCATTTTATCTCTAAGTATTTTCATGTGTAACTCTAAAAGAAAAGGGTTTTTTTTTTTTCTCTGAAACAGAGTTTCACTCTTGTTGCCCAGACTGGAGTGCAGTGGCAAGACCTCGGCTCACTGCAACCTCTGCCCCCCAGGTTCAAGCAATTCTCCTGCCTCAGCCTCCTGAGTAGCTGGGATTACAGGCACCTACTACCACGCCTAGCTAATTTTGTATTTTTAGTAGAGACGGGATTTCACCATGTTGGCCAGGCTGGGCTTGAACTCCTGACCTCAGGTGATCCACCCACCTCAGCCTCCCAAAGTGCTGGGATTACAGGCATGAGCCATCGCGCATAGCCAAAAGGGCTCTTTTTTTTTTTTTTTTTTTTGAAATAAAACCTCCCTATCACCTAGGAAATGAATAATTCCTTAATATCTGCAAATGTTCAAATCTCAAATTATCTCATAGATAACTTCTTAACTCTCTCAGGATTTAAATAAGGTCTGCATATTGGCATTTGGCTTCTTTGTCTTCTAAGTCTCATATGTATGTTCAATTTCAGTGCCTCTCACACATCAATATGCATATGAATTCCTGATGATCTGGTTAAAATGCAGATTCTAACTGAGTAGGTCTGGGGTGGGGCTGGAGTTCTGTATCTCTGACACATTCCCAGCAGATGATGCTGTGATGCTGGTGCATGGACCATACCCTAAACAGCATAATTCTACTTCATGATAAACGAAAATCTTTTTTTTTTTTTTTTTTTTTTTGAGATGGAGACTTACTCTGTTGCCCAGGCTGGAGTGCAATGGTGTGATCTCAGCTCACTGCAACCTCTGCCTCCCGGATTCAAATGATGATCGTGCCTCAGCCTTCTGAGTAGCTGGGATTACAGGCATACACCACCATGCCAAGCTAATTTTGTATTTTTAGTAGAGACAGGGGTTTCTCCATGTTGACCAGGCTAGTCTGGAACTCCTGACCTCAAGTGATCTGCCAGCCTCGGCCTCCCAAAGTGCTGGGATTATAGGAGCAAGCCGCCATGCCTGGCCCACAATAAAAGAAAATCTTCTATTAAAAAAAGGAATGTTGACATCTTGTGGTGGTAGGGGGCCAGCTTGGTATAAAATCCTGGAAGGCAAGCTGCTGCTGGCTGGGAAGGGGCCTCGCCTTCCCCTGAATTGCAGTTGCTAATCACACCTGCTATGGGTATTTAAATGTAAAAGGCAACACCTGACCCTCCAGAATTGGTACCTGACACCCTGGCCACTCGAGAGTTTATCCCTGCAGGGTCTGGCCATCCCAAAACCAGAGGCCCCCTTGTCAAGATCCTCAGAACCTCTGGAAGTGCATTGATTTGTTCAGTTTCTGGCAGGCAGACAGAAACACAAGCTGCAGAAATAAGGCAGTTACCTTTTCTCGCAGTTATAGGTTTAATTAAAAAGCCCCATGCTGCCAGATTCCAAGCACCCTCCACTGATATGCGAGACCTATTGATTGCCTAGCTCTCCCTGCGAGACATAGCAGAGAGAAGACTTTATCTTCCTTTAATCAGACCTGCTTCCTTCCAATCTGGCTCCAACAGGACTGCTGAGTTCTTGTGTAGAACGCTTCCATGGCCCCACCTTCATCCAGCCCCGAATACAGTGGGTAGAGCCAGCATCAGCTACAGAGAGCTGTGATCTGTGCTCGCAGTGTAGCCGGAGAGATGGCATCATCATCATCATCACCGTGGCCAGCACAAATGGAACATACACCACGTACCAGGTGCCGAGCTGATACTTCAAATACATTCTCTCGTCTTATGCATCAATATTGTTCATTTCTGTCTGTATTATTACCTAATTGCCCTATTTAATGTCACCTGCACCAGGCATTTGTTCCCTTTCATATCACCTGTACTATTTTCTTCATTGCCCTTAGTATTATCTGAAACCGTTATTTACTTATCTGTCTCATTATTCATTGTCTCTGCCCCCGAACTGTAAACTCCAGAGGGGCAAGGATTTTGCCCTTCTCATTCGGTCCAGCATCCTGGCACCGAAAATGGCCCTGAGCACATCAAAAGTTCTCTACAAATGTGTGTTGAATTTGATTTGTCACATTTACTCTTCCCAGCACCCTAGGAGCTCACTGTCTTACACGCATTTTACAGTTGAGGAAACTGAGACTCAGGAAAGAAAAGGAATTTACCCAAATGCACCCACACAGGAAGCTATAGAGCAGAGATTGAAACCCATGTGTAGCCTGGGATGGTGGTTTATGCCTGTAATCCCAGCATTTTGGGAGTCTGACGCAGAAAGATCACCTGAGCTCAGGAGCTCAAGACCAGCCTGGACAACACAGTGAGACTTCGTCTCTACAAAATAAAAATTTTTAAAAAGCCACAAAAAAGCAGGGCACAATGGCTCACGCCTGTAATCCTAGCACTTTGGGAGGCCAAGGAGGGGAGGGGGCATATCACCTGAGGTCAGGAGTTCGAGACCAGCCTGACCAACATGGTGAAACCCTGTCTCTACTAAAAATGCACAAATTAGCTGAGCGTGGTAGCACATGCTGTAATCCCAGCTACTCAGGAGGCTGAAGCAGGAGAATTGCCTGAACTCGGGAGGTGGAGGTTACGGTGAACCGAGATCGTGCCACTGCACTCCAGCCTGAACGACGAGCAAGACTCCGTCAAAAAAAAAAAAAAAAAAACTCACAAAAAAGAAAGAAACTCAAGTCTATATAACTCTAGCAAGGGCCAGTAACCTGCAATCAATGAACTCAATGAACTCGGAAGAAAAAATAGACCTCTTAATTTTACTAACATCAAACTGCAATGTAGCAATTCTTTCCATTATGAGTGTAGGCAGCAAACTGCCATCGTGTCAACAGAACCTGTAACTTTGTCACCAACAGGAATCACAGATATTTTCATGTCCTGTTACATTTGTTGCAAAGATGTTGGAATATCATTTACACTCATCACTGCTTTAAACTGCAATCGTAATAATGTTGCCAACCCACCACCAGATCGCCTTATTTGGTGTGTTAATAAAGAGGCATGGGTATTGCTATATCACAGTTTGGCTTTGTAATATTTTTGTAATAATTTTGTAATATTCATATCAGCTGTATTTCCATATAATCAGTTGTCTTCACAAGCCTTTGGATTTCATATTTAGAAACATTGCTCAGAGGCTGGGAGCAGTGGCTCACACCTGTAATCCCAGTGCTCTGGGAGGCCAAGGCAGGCAGATCACTTGAGGCCAGGAGTTCAAGACCAGCCTGGCCAACATGGTGAAACCCTATCTCTACTGAAAAACACAAAAATTAGCTGAGCGTGGTGGTGCATACCTATAGTCCCAGCTACTTGGGAGACTGAGGCAGGAGAAGCACTTGAACCTGGGAGGCGGAGGTCAGTGAGCCGAGATGAAGCCACTGCACTCCAGCCTAGGTGACAGAGGGACACAGGGACACTCCGTCTCTAAAAAAAAAAAAAAAAAAAAAAAAAAAGGCCGGGCGAGGTGGCTCACGCCTGTAATCCCAGCACTTTGGGAGGCCAAGGCGGGTGGATCACCTGAGGTCAGCTGTCTGAGACCAGCCTGGCCAGCATGGTGAAACCCCATCACTACTAAAAATACAAAAATTAGCCGGGCGTGGTGGCAGGCACCTGTAATCCCAGCTACTCAGGAGACTAAGGCAGGATAATCACTCGAACCCAGGATGTAGAGGTTGCAGTGAGCCAAGATCATGCCACTGCACTCCAGCTTCAGTGACAGAGCGAGACTCTGTCTCAAACAAAAAATGAAAGAAAAGAAAAGAGAAGAAAAAGAAACATTGCTCTGAGAAGGGTAATAGGCTTCCCCAGATACCAACAGGGCCCACAGTGCAGAAACTATTCAGGACTGGGCTCTAACGCCCATGCTCAGACCACAGGCTGCACATAACGTGTGGCTCAGACAGAAGAGAAACATGAAAATGACCGCAGGTGAGTTTCCAGCTCTCCTCCCTCCAAGGGCAGGGATGCTGAGGCTCAGTGTGGGGATGTGACCTGGGAGGACACATAGCAAGGTAGAACCTGGGTCTGAACTGGACTCCGAATTGTCCCATTAGCAGCCTGGCACCTTTTCAGCTGCACCAAGCTGCCACCTAAGGACACAAAGCATTCCAAGCTCAGACGTTTGTGGGCTGTAGCCCATGGTGATGAGCCACTTGGAGGCAGTTTGTGCAGTGGAGAACGCTCTGGTTCACTGACCTGCAGTGACTGGTAGTCACTTGTTCACACAAAACAGTCATTATTCGCTCACACACTGCCAGCAGGATGTAGATCAGTTCAGTCACCTTGAAAGGCAATTGGGCAGAGCCTGGTAAAACACGGGGTTGGGTTCTTCTTTTGGCCCAGTCATTGCAACACCAACATCCCCAATGTACACCCCAGAACAGCAGGTCTCAACCCTGAATGCACATTTAGAAGCACCCTGGAGCTTCTAAAGCTGCCGATGCCTACCCTGAACCATTCAATTAAGAATTTGGGGAAAGGCAGAGAGTTGGTGTGATTGTAAAAAAAAAAAAAAAAAAACGTTCAGGTGATTCTGTCTGCAGCCAAGTTGAGAACTACTGGCCTCAGGAAACACTTCACGGTAGTACACAGAGGCCTACGCGGTGCACGCACTGAAGTGCTATTTTCAATAGCAAGGCAGTAGACACAACACAAATGCCCATCAACACAGAAATAGCTTGAGAAAACAAAAGGCAATTAATAACATAGTGAGATGCTATGCAGAAGGCAGGAGGAATTAACTAGCTCTCTATGTATCAGCGAGGATTGGTCTCAGAAACACAGTGTTGAGTGAAAAAAATTCAAGTTGCAAACTATACACATAGCGTGCTATATCTTGAGGTTTTCAGAACAAAACTAAAGATGCATACAAATGGATGCAGAAGTATTTGAAGGTCCTTAAGGATACACGATGTTCATAAAAACAAGGGCTGGCCGAGCGTGATGGCTCACACCTGTAATCCCAGCACTTTGGGAGGCCAAGGCAGAAGGATCACTTGAGGCCAGGAGTTCAAAACCAGCCTGACCATCATGGGAAACCCTGTCTCTACTAAAAATACAAAAAATTTAGCCAGTCATGGTGGCACATGCCTGTAATCCCAGCTACTCAGGAGGCTGAGGCAGGAGAATCGCTTGAACCCAGGAGGTGGCGGTTGCAGTAAGTTGGTATCATGCCACTGCACTTCAGCCTGGGAGACAGAGCAAGACTCTGTCTCAAAAAAATAAAATAAAATAAAATAAAAAAGCGACAAGGTGCAGGAATTTGGTGTGATCACTAAAAGGACTTGAGTTTTCCTTTTTTTTTTTTTTTTTTTTTTTTTTGAGATAGGATCTCACTCTGTTGCCCAGGTTGGAGTGCAGTGGTGCAATCATGGCTCACTGCAGCCTCGAACTCCTGGGCTCCAGCCATCCTCCCACCTCAGCCTCCCAAGTAGCTGGGACTAGAGGCATGCCCCACTAAACCTGGCCCAGTTTTGCATTTTTTTAAAAAAGCAAAATATGTATATCTTTTACAGAAGGAATTAAAATTGATTCTAAACATTAGTATTTTTAAAAATATCCCAGCACTTTCTATGTATTATTGTACTAGGCTCAGGAGAAATGAACTGGAATGGAAGACTTCAAGAGAGATACAGTCCAGAGGAGGATAAAGACAATGCTACCAGAATACAGCATTTTAGCTGGTGATGAGAAAGAGCTGCAGAAGATCTAAGAAGCAGCTCCTAGGCCAGGTGCGGTGGCTCATGCCTGTAATCCCAGCACTTTGGGAGGCTGAGGTGGGCAGATCACTTGAGCCCAGGAGTTTGAGACCAGACTGTGCAACGTGGCAAAACCTCCATCTCTGCAAAAAATACAAAAAATTAGCTGGGCACAGTGGCATGCACTCACTGCACACAGTGGCATCCAGCTCCTCAGGAGGCTAGGGTGGGAGGATCACTTTAGCCCAGGAGGTTGAGGCTGCAGTGAGCCATGATCACACTACTGCACTCCAGCCTGGGTGACAGAATGAGACCCTGTCTCAAAAAGAAAGAGAGAGAGAGGGGAAAGAAGGAGGAGGAGGAGGAGGAAGGGAGGCAGGGGAGGGGAGGGAGGGAGGGAAAGACAGAGAGGGAGAGGAGAGAGAAAGAAAGAGGATGGAAGGAAGGAAGGAAGGAAGGAAGGAAAGAAAGAAGGAAGGAAGGAAGGAAGAAAGGGAGGGAGGGAGGGGAAGAAAGCATCCCATGCACAGGAAATAATAAGGTCAAAATCGTAGAGTGCAAAATGAGGGCAGCAGCCCCATGGCATTCTTAGGTCACTGGTCCTTCCTTTTGCCTGGAGAAAATGGTGAACAGTGAGGCTGAGAAGTGGGCAGGGGCCGGATGGTTGTGGGATCTCTTGAGCCATGTTAAGGATTTTGGTCTTCATCCTCAAGGGAATGGGACCACTGAAGTGTGTTATGCGGGGAACTGTCACCATTACATGTATGCTCCCAGGTAGAGGCAAAGGGAAGGGAATAAGAGACAGAGCAGAAGCTAAGCAGTGTCTGTGGTCACCAGGTGAAAGCAGGGGGTGGCAGTGGGAGTGGAGAGAAGTGGACAGAGCTGACAGATGCTTTAGAGGCAAAACTGACACACTTGGTGACAGGTTCAAAGTGAGGAGTAAGTAACGAGTCCAAGAAGATACCCCTCAACTAGGCACTTCTGGCCCCCAGGGGTCCAGCCAGACCTCTGGTGGTCCCAGCCCAGGTCTGCATCCCTCTAGATTGTCTCCGGTCCAGAACAAAACTCTGGCTAAACAATGAACCTTCCACATGCCTGTAATCCCAGCATGTTGGGAGGCCAAGGTGGGAGGATCGCTTGAGCTCAGGAGTGTGAGACTAGCCTGGGCAACATAGTGAGACCCCCGTCTCTACAAAAAATAAAAAAATTAGCCAGGCATGGTGGCACATGCCTGTAGTCCCACCTACCTGGGAGAATGAGATGGAAGGATAGCTTGAGCCTGAGAGGTCAAGGCTAGAGTGAGCCGTGAGCACGCCACTGCACTCCAAGTCTGGGTGACAGCGTGAGACCCTGTCTCAACAAAAAAAGAATGAGCTTTTCAGTCAGGTGCAGTGGCTCACACCTGCATTCCCCACTACTTGGGAGACTGAAGTGGAAGGATCACTTAAGCCCAGGAGTTTGAGACCAGCCTGGGCAACATAGCACAGAAAAACATCATCTCTTAAAAAAAAAAAAAAAAAAAAAAATTTAAAGGGATGGAGCCTTTCGGTAAGGAGGGTCATCTGAGTTCCAGCACATCTCAAAACAAAAATCAAAATGATACCCTTGGCTCACCACATCCAAGTCTCTTGTGCCCCAAAAGTCATTATCCTGTTATGGCGCCCAGTGACAATTAGTGAGAAATTGTATGGACAGCTCCCGATTAGATGTAACACCCCTGACACGCAGCATCGTGAATCAATTACTCTGAGTAACTCAAGTCTAACACTCTGACACTCCGCCCCCCAGGAAAGTGCCTCCTTCTTTCCACATACACTTCTTTCTTCCCAATGAATAAATTGAGAGCTGTTTGTTTACAGAGACAAGGTTATTTTCATTCGTGACTGAAGAAGCAGCTCTGCTCACCCTGTTAGCTGTGAGTCACATTTGATTCCCTCAAGGATGGGACTGAGTTGGGATGAAGGGCCCCAACCTCCCCAGGTACTGGTCCCAGTCATTGCCCAAGGAGTGGACTGTCTTACCCTGGGTCCTGGGGACCCACGAAGCCAGAGCTCCTCAGAACAGGGCTCCCAACATAGCTCCAGGGAGTGAACCCCCATCCTTCATTCAAGAGCAAATCCTGACCGCCTGCTCCATACCAGGCTCGGTTCGGGAAACCCCCGTCCACATGGAGGAGGGAGATACACAAGAAACAGAGATATGTAGCATGAAGATGATGAGAAGTTCTGTGGGGAAAAAAAAAAAGCAAAGACATGAAGAGGCATTCCTGGGAGGGGATGGGATAGAGGGAGCATTGCAAATGCTGTAAATGGCATCATCAAGGATGTCTGGCTGAGAAGGTCACATTTGAGAAAAGTCTCAGCCAGGCGCCGTGGCGCATGCCTGTAATCACAGCATTTTGGGAGGCTGAGGCAGGCAGATCACTTGAGGCCAGGAATTTGAAACTAGCCTGGCCAACATGGCGAAACCCCATCTCTACTAAAAATACAAATATTAGCCGGGCATGGTGGCATGCGCCTGTAACCCCCGCTACTCAGGAGGCTGAGGCAGAAGGATCACTTGAACCCAAGAGGTGGAGGTTGCAGTGAGGCAAGATCACACCACTGAACTCCAGCCTGGGCAACAGAGTGAGACTCCATCTCCAAAAAAAAAAAAAAAAAGAGAGAGAGAGAGAGAGAAGCCTGAAGGCAGTAAGGGAGCAAGTTGTGGGGATGTCTGGGAAGGGCACGGAAGAGAGCAAAGGCAAGTGTCCTGGGGCAGGAGTGGCCAGCGTTTTGGAGCCGCAGCCAGGGTACCAGTGAGGCTGGGGAAGAATGAGCAAGGTAGGAACAACAGATGAGGTCAGAGAGGCCACAGGGCGGGGTAGCAGGGGAGGGAGGGCAGAGGGCCTGGGGCCTTTTAGGACATTGAGAAAACTCTGGCTTTGACGCTGAAAGAATTTAAAAGATCAGCCTGGCAAGGTGGCTCCTGCCTGTAATCCCAGCATTTTGGGAGGCCGAGGCAGGAGGATTGCTTGAGGCCAGGAGTTCAAGACCAGCCTAAGTGAGACCCCATCTCTACACTTTATTTTTTTTTAAATTAGCCTGGTATAGTGGCTTGTGCCTGTAGTCCCAGCTGCTCTAGAGGCTGAGGCAGGAGGACTGCTTGAGCCTGGGAGGTCGAGGCTGCAGTGAGCTATGATCACACCACTGTACTCCAGCCTGGGTGATAGAGCAAGACCCTGTCTCAAAAAAAGAAAAGAAATCACTCCAGCTGCTATTGCTGCTGATGATAATTATGATGACAGTTGTGATGGGCTTTGCTGCTGTCACGCTGGAGTTTTGGTCTGCTTTTCTTTTTTTATGCCAGTCCAACATCTCATCTCTTCCTCTTTTACCCTGGTGGCTCCTCTGGGAGTTCCCCATTATAAACACCACAATGAGGGGATGGTGGCCTCCTCTTCCACTAGGAAACCCTCAGTGGGCTGGGTGCAGTGGCTCACGCCTGTAATCTCAACACTTTGAGAGGCCGAGACGGGTGGATCACTTAAGGTCAGGAGTTCAAGACCAGCCTGGTCATCATGGTGAAACCCCGTCTCTACTAAAAATACAACAATTAGGCAAGCATGGTAGCACGCACCTGTAATCATAGCTACTGGGGAGGCTGAGGCAGGAGAATCACTTGAATCCGGGAGGCGGAGGTTGCAGTGAGCTGAGATCACACCACTGCACTCCAGCCTGCGTGACAGAGCGAGACTCTGTCTCAGAAAAAAGAAAATGGAAACCCTAAGTGGCCAGGCCTCCCTCCCTGCACCCCAGCCTGAAGGTCATGTGGCTTGGTTGAACCAATGAGCTGCTCTCCTCAGACTCTGCATCATGAGCGGTGATCCCAGCAAGGGGCCGCAGGAGGTCCTATCCACATGGTGGCCATGGGGATTTTAGGACCGGATTGCTCCTGCCGGGGCCTTTTCTGTGACTGCCGCTGCTCAGATCTTCACAGCCTCCTTGGCCCCCACTCATTTCCCCAGCCTGGATCCCCCAGCTTCCTGGTGGGTTTGTGGACCCCTAGAGTTTTCCAATAATTTCCGTTTTTGCTCAAGGCAACTAAGTTTTCTTTTTCTGAGATGGAGTTTTGCTGTGTCACCCAGGCTGGAGTACAATGGTGCAATCTCAGCTTACCCAAACTCTGCCTCCCAGGTTCAAGCGATTCTCCTGCCTCAGCCTCCTGAGTAGCTGAGATTACAGGCACATGCCACCACACCCGGTTAATTTTTGTAGTTTTAGTAGAGACAGGGTTTCACCGTGTTGGCCGGGCTGGTCTCAAACTCCTGACCTCAGGTGATCCACCCACCTCGGCCTCCCAAAGTGCTGGGATTACAGGCGTGAGCCACCATGTCTGGCCTGCAGCCAGGTTTTCTGTTACTTGCAACCAAGAGCCACTCTTGATGCAATAATGAAGACAGCCAGGCAGGTGCTAACGACAGCTCCCAAAACCAGCTGTCTGGCCCAGGCTGCTCTGCTGGACTCCAGGCATGGACATCTACCTGCTGACCCCACATCTCCTCCAAAGCTTACATTTCTCACGCTCAACGTGTCCGCCATACTCCTGATACTCCCTTCTCAATCGGTGGCAACCTCATTCTTTAAGGTGCTGAAGCCAAAAACCACAGGTCACCCATTATTTCTCTTCTTCTCTCTCTCACCCCATCTGCACTCCTTTCAAAATACATCCAGAATCTAATAACCTCGTCACACCTCTTACTACCACTTTAGTCCAAGCCACCACCACACTTACCTGGATGACTATATGGTAGCCACCAAATTCACCTTCCTGCTTCTGACTCCCCAACCCTACCCCTACCTTCATACTATTCTCAACACCACAGCCAGAGAGAGCCTGTAGAAAGCTACATCCAGTGAAGCCACTTGGGATGGTCAATTTGATGTGTCAGTTTGACTGGGCCACGGGCTGCCCAGATTTTTTTTTTTTTTTTTTTTTTTTGAGACAAGGTCTTGCTCTGTCGCTCAGGCTGGAGTGCGGTGGCACAGTCAGTCATGGCTCACTGCAGCCTCAACCTCCCTGAGCTCAGACGATCCTTCCACCTTAGCCTCCTGAGTAGCTGGTACCACATGTGGTGCCATCATACCAGCTAATTTTTGTATTTTTTTTTTATAGATACAGGGTTTTGCCATGTTGCCCAGGCTGGTCTCAAACTCCTGGCCTCAGGTGATCCACGCATTTTGGCTTTCCAGAGTGCAGGGACTACAGGTGTGAGCCACCATGCCTGGCCCCCAGATATTTTTGTTCAAACATTATTGTGAGTGTGTGTCTGTAAGGGTGTTCCTGGGTGAGATTCACATTTGAACTGCAGACTGAATAGAGCAAGTCGCCCTCCCTAATGTGGGTGGGCCCCATCCAATCCGTTGAAGGCCCATATAGAACAAAAAAGCACAGTACAAGAGAACTCCTGCTGCCTGCCTGCTTGGGCTGGGACACTGTGTTTTTCCAGCCTGAGACTTGAACTGAAACATTGGCTTTTCCTGCATCTCAAGTCTGCTCGCGTTAGGACCAGAACTTATGTCATTGGCTCTCCTGGGAACTCACAGGGTCTTTGGGCCTCACACTGGAGCTAAATCATCAGTTCTCCTGGGTCTCCTGTTTGCCAGCTGCCGATCTTGGGACTTCTCGGCCTCCATAATCATGCGAGCCAATTCATTATAATAAATCTCTGTAAAGAAATTAATATAGGCCGGGTGTGGTGGCTCATGCCTGTAATCCCAGCACTTGGGAAGGATGAGGCGGGTGGAACACCTGAGGTCAGGAGTTCGAGACCAGGCTGGCCAACATGGTGAAACCCTGTCTCAAGTACAAAAACTAGCCAGGTGTGGTGGCGGGCACCTGTAATCCCAGCTACTTGGGATGCTGAAGCATGAGAATCACTTGAACCCAGGAGACGGAGGTTGCAGTAGGCCGAGATCGCGCCACTGCACTCCAGCCTGGGTGAAAGAGCGAAACTCAATCTCAAAATTAATTAATTGATTAATGTAGACATGTGTATATCCTGTTGGTTCCCTTTCTCGGGAGAACCCCCTCAAAATAATTAATTGATTAATGTAGACATGTGTATATCCTGTTGGTTCCCTTTCTCTGGAGAACCGTAATATGCCACTCCTCTGCTCAAACTCCTGCACTGGCTCCCCTCTGACCCAGAAAAAAAGCCAAAATCCTTCTCACAGCCTCCAAAGGCCCTGCAAACTCTAACCCACCCGTCATTACCTCTTTGCCTTCATCTCCGACAACCTTCTCCCTTCTGTACTGGGCTTCAGGCACACTGGCACTCACTCTGTTTCTTGAACCCCAAGCATGCTCTGGCCTAAGGGCCTTTGCACTGACTGTTCCTTCTCCCCGGAATTCTCCTCTCCCAGAGATCTACACGGCTGGTTGCGTAATTCCTGCCAATCTTTATTCAACAGTCAGCTTCTCAATGAGCCCTTCCCAGGCCACCCTTTCTGAAATATTAATCTCCCCACCCACCCCAACACTGAATAGTATGTCTTTCCTACTTTTCTGTTTAGCATGCTCTGTGTTGATCTTATCTGTCTCACTTACTTCCTGTCTCTTTTTTTTGTTTGTTTTTGAGATGGAGTTTCACTCTGTCGCCCAAGCTGGACTGTGGTGGCTCGATCTCGGCTCACTGCAACCTCCACCTCTCGGGTTCAAGCGATTTCCCTGCCTCAGCCCCCCGAGTAGCTGGGATTACAGGTGCATGCCACCATGCCTCGCTAATTTTTGTATTTTTAGTAGAGATGGGGTTTCACCATGTTGGCCAGGCTGTTCTCAAACTCCTGACCTCAGGTGATCAGCCCACCTCAGCCTCCCGAAGTGCTGGGATTATAGGCATGAGCCACCCTGCCCAGCTACTTCCTGTCTCTTCTGCCAGAATGTGGGCTCCTAAAAACCGAAGACTGAGGCTTGTTCACTTCCAGCTGTATCCCCAAGGTAATGCCTGACACAGACTTAGCACTCCATAAATATGTGTGGAATTTAGCCATTCATCCATTTACTCATTCATTGCACACCTTCTCTGGGCTAGGCACACAAGTAATTTTATAACAACATAGCAAGGGAGGTCTTATCATCGCTAGTTTAGATAAGGAAACTTCGATTCAAAGAGAAGGGTGCTACCCCAGGTTATCCACCCAGAAATTGCCAGAGCCAAGAGGGACACTTGCATAGCTCCAAACCACTCCTTCTGTCTTTTGTTTTCTTATCTTTTGTAAGGATGGAGTCTCGCTATGTTGCTCAGGCTGGTCTCAAACTCCTGGGCTCAAGCAATCCACCCAAAGTGATCCTCCCAAAGTGCTGGGATTACAGGTGTGAGCCCCTCACCCAGCCCAGCTTTTTTTTTCTTTTCTTTTCTTTTTTTGAGACGGAGTCTCGCTCTGTCACCCAGGCTGGAGTGCAGTGGTGCAATCTCGCCTCACTGCAACCTCTGCCTCCCGGGTTCAAGCCATTCTCCTGCCTCAGCCTCCCAAGTAGCTGGGATTACAAGCGCCCGTCACCACGACCAGCTAATTTTTGTACTTTTAGTAGAGACGGGCTTCACCATTGGTGAAGGCTGGTCAGGTTGGTCTCAAACTCCTGGCCTCTATTGATCTGCCCACCCCAGCCTCCCAAAGTGCTGGGATTACAGGCATGAGCCACCATGCCCGGCCTGGCTTTCCTTCTTTCTGTGTAGTCCCATGAAGTAAGATCTGAATTGAGATGGAGTCCTGCTGGCAGTAACTGGCTATGAGGCCCCAGCTGTCACGTACACTCTCTGTTCTTCAGGAAACAGGACACGGTGGCCAAACCACCACCAGGTCCCCTTCTCTCCATATCGTGAAAACCTGGTGCCATCCTGTGGCTGCTCATCAGCTCAACTCAAGGTCCTCTGACCCACTCCACATGAATGTAAAACCTTTCTCTGGGGAATATCACTCAGCTTCGGTGACTTCCAGCCTCACTCTGCAAATCCCTGCTTCCTTTGCAAAGTCTGCATTTGTCTCTGTTTTAATAAGAAAAACCTGACCTCCTTCTGGTTTTCTGTTGAAAGAGAAATTGCTGGTACTTTCCAACTACTAACCAAAATCTAGCGTTTCCTGTGGTCCCACCGAAGCACCACTTCCCTTCTCCCACCTACCCCGCCTACTCCTTCATACAAGCTGGCAGATGGGCACCCACAGCCAGGGTCCTCTCCCCCAACCAGCCTTGGGCCCGCATCTGAGTTTGGTGGTAGCCCCTGCCACTTCCTCACCCCATGGCTCCATGGGACCCAGGACCAGCTTGCAGCCCCATGATTCGGGCTCCTCTCTCTGGGGTGCTCCTCTCCCACCACTTCCCTTCTTCTAGACCAGGTATGTGGGGCTGGATGAATCCTCTACAGAAAAGAGCCCAGCACCAGGTCAGACATATATGGGTTCAAATCTCAGTTCTGATCCAGTTAGCTGTATGGCCTCAAGCTAGACACTTAACCTCTCTGAGCTGCCTTTTCTTGTTTTGTTTTGTTTTTTTTTTGGTTTTTGTTTGTTTGTTTGTTTGTTTTGAGATGGAGTCTTGCTCTGTCATCCACGCTGGAGTAGTGGCGAGATCTCCACTCACTGCAACCTCCATCTCCTGGGTTCAAGCAATTCTCCTGCCTCAGCCTCCCGAGTAGCTGGGATTACAGGAGCATGCCACCACATCCAGCTAATTTTTGTATTTTCAGTAGAAACGGGATTTCACCATGTTGGCCAGGTTAATCTCAAACTCCTGACCTCAGGTGATCCACCTGCCTCGGTCTCCCAAAGTGATGGGATTACAGGCATGAGCCACTGCACCTGGCCAACAATAATAAATTTTAAAAACAAAGAATATGATATGCTGCAGGTCAGAAATATCCTACTAGGAGCCAAAGCTCTAGAGGCAGAAAAGTCAGGAGTTGACAGAAATCCAAGGGAAGACTTGAGATGCCTCAGGAATGGGATAGAGGAGGAGGAGGAAGACAGGACGTTGGGGAAAATTTTATTGAAATCAGAAGGGGCAAAAAGGGCCCCAGATGACATCTGCTTTATATTCGGAAGTAAAGGAGTGAATAATAATATTGGGAATGGGATGCTAGTAATGGATGCTACAGACAGGTGCAGAAATCTGTAGTACCAGCTGGAGAGATAAAAGCAACCTTGACACTCAGCAAAAGGCGGTACCTGTTATTCTCCGTGTGTGTGTATGCATGTGTGTGATATATATCAGTGTGTATGTATGTGTGTGCATAGATATGTGTGTGTGTATATGCATTTAGCACAGGTGCTCAAAAATATTTATTGGATGGATGAGTGGATTGGTAGATGGATGGATGAATGAACCCATGGACGGATGGGTGGGTGGATGGATAGATGGGTGGTTGGATGAATGCGTGGATGGATGGATGGATGGATGGATGGATGGATGGGTAGATGGATGGGTGGGTGGGTGGATGGGTGGATGGGTGAGTGGGTGGGTGAGTGGAGAGTAGGTGGATGGATGGAGGGTAGTTGGGTAGATAGGTGGGTAGGTGGATGGAGAGATAGACGGATGAGGTACACCAACTATTCCTGTCCTTCAGCCCTCAAATCAACTCTCTTTTGCCTCAAGACTGGCAATACTTCTACTTTCCTTCCTCCTCCGTCCGGCGTCCTCCTCTTCCCCACGGCAAGTAAATGCTGTACCCCAGCTCCAGTCTGGGCTTGCGCTCAGGGACCAATATTCCAGGACATTTGCAGTCCTACCCTGCCACCTACAGGGAGCTCTGTGGTACTGCAGAGAGGAGCCCCTATTTGACTTCGATTCAGGGCAGCGTCAAGTATCTCACCCTATTCAGAAAGAGAAAGGGTAGCACTCAGAGTGCTTGGCAAGGAGTGGGCAAAGCCCACGGGGAACTGGGGGCTGGTTTCGGCTTAGAATCTTCTTTCAAAGGGTGAAAACATTGGGCTAATTCAGGTAGGCAGAACTCAGAGCTGTTAGGTAGGGAAGGCAGGCACATCAGGGAGAGCGGGGGAGGGAAGAGGAGGGAAGAGGAGGGAAGGGGAGGGAAGGGGAGGGAAGGGGAGGGAAGGGGAGGGAGCGACCAGGAGGCGCGAAAGAGCACCCGCCTGGAGTTCACGTCCCCACTCCCCTTTCACCCCTGACCGCCCGTGCGACCTGGAACTGCTCACTTCTCCCCTCTCTAGACCTCACTTTGTTCAACTGAAACACAGGCCAGAAGATTCCTTTTTTTATTTTTTAAGACGGAGTTTCACTCTTGTGCCCCAGGCTAGAGTGCAGTGGCACGATCTTGGCTCACTGCAACCTCCGCCTCCTGGGTTCAAGCGATTCTTCTGCCTCAGCCTCCCGAGTAGCTGGGATTACAGGCGCCCGTCACCATGCCCGGCTGATTTTTGTATTTTTTTTAGTAGAGACGGGGTTTCACCACGTTGACCAGGCTGGTCCGAAACTCCTGACCTCAGGTGATCCACCCACTCCGGCCTCCCAAAGTGCTGGGATTACAGGCGTGAGCCCCCGCACCAGGCCAGAAGATTCCTTTAAATCATTCACCAAGCTTTTCCACTTATGTGCTGGCTTATGTCACTTCACAACAGACCTGTGAGGTGTGGGTCAGGTTAGGGTTATTACTTTAACAAGATAAAAATATCTGTAGGAAGGCTACAGTTGGCCCTCTGCCTCTGTGAGTTCCGCATCTATGGATTCAACCAACCGAGAATTAAAAAAATATTCAGGAAGGCTGGGCACAGTGGCTCATGCCTGTAATCCCAGCACTTTGGCAGGCTGAGGCAGGAGGATCACTTGAGGCCAGAAGATCAAGACCAGCCTGAGCAACATAGCAAGGCCCCGTCTCTATAAAATATATATATATTTTTAATCGACAACAAAAACCATCTGTACTAAACACATACAGACTCCTTTTCTTGTCATGATTCCCTAAACAATGCAGTATAGCAACTACTTACACGGCATTTACATTGTATTCATTTTTATGAGTAATCTAGAGATAATCTAATGTATACAGGAGGGCCAGGCATGGTGGCTCATGCCTGTAATCCCAGCACTTTGGGAGGTCGCGATGGGCAGAACACTTGAGGTCAGGAGTTCAAGACCAGCCTGACCAACATGGTGAAACCCCATCTCTACTAAAAATACAAAAAGTAGCCGGGCGTGGTGGCACACACCTGTAGTTCCAGCTACTCAAGAGGCTGAGGCATGAGAATCGCTTGAACCTAGCTGAGGAGGAGGTTGCAGTGAGCCAAGATTGCACTACTGCACTCCAGTCTGGGTGACAGAGGGAGACTCCATCTCAAAAATAATAATAATAAATAAAAATAAAGTATACAGCAGGATGTGCATAGTTAAATGCAAAGACTACATCATTTTATATCAGGGACTTGAGCTTCTATGGGGTTTGGTATCCATGGAAAGTCCTGGAACCAATCCCCCATGGATACCAAGGGATGACTCCATTCGGAAACTCTCAGAAAGAAAACAGAGTTGAATAAACTGGCCTCAGAAAACACAGGAGCCGGCCAGGCATGGTGGCTCACGCTTGTAATCCTAGCACTTTCGGAGGCCAAGGCGGTCAGATCACCTGAGGTCAGGAGTTTGAGACCAGCCTAGCCAAAAATGGCAAAACCCCATCTCTATTAAAAATACAAAAATGAGCTGGGCATAGTGGTGCATGCCTGTAATCCCAGCTACTCAGGAGGCTGAGGCAGGAGAATCACTTGAACCCAGGAGGCGGAGGTTGCAGTGAACCGAGATTGTGCCCTTGCACTCCAGCCTGGGTGACAGAGCTAGACTCCGTCTCTAAAAACAAAGAAAACACAGGAGCCTGGACAGCTTAGAATATCCCAGAACCCAGGAACTCTCTCAGGGTTTCCACCTCCTGACCTAAAGGCAAATTTCTACAGTGAGGCTCTGACGGGCCCGGCCTGGATTATGTGGCCACCTTAGAGGTAGAATCCTGTTACTGGCAGATGTCAAATAAAGGCTGGTATCCCCAAAAAAGGGATGCTAAGCAGCCCAAAGCAAGTATACAAGGTAACATATATGTTAATTAGCTTGATTTAGCCATTCCATGCTGTATACATATATCAAAATATCATATATACATATAATTTTTATTTGTAATTAAAAAGTAAAATGAGTCTCTTGTAGACAGAATATAATTGGCTCTTGTTTTCTCAACCCATTCAACTTGTATATTTAGCTGTCCCCATTTCACAGGCAAGAAAACTGAGTCTCAGAGGAGTTTGATATGGGTAGTGTGTCAGTCAGATTCTTGTAAGTTGGCCAGAAAGAGAAATATTCTCAGTTTACATTATGAAAGCTGGAAGGCCAAAGTCTCACCACCCAGTCAGGGCTGCCAGAGGCTGGAACATCTTCAGGTTACACTCATCACTGACAGCAGCTCTGTAATTCAGGGGACCATCCTAGCTCTGCCCTCTAGGCTCCACCAAGATGGTGACGCAGCATCTCCGGGTCTTGGCCTATTCCTCTGCTATCTCCATGCTACTCTCTATCTCATAGTTTCTGCTGACTTGTGGCTCTTGCCACGACTCAAGTTTCTGCTGACTCATAATTCCTGTCAATTCATGGCTCCTATTCACCCATAGCTTCTGCTGACTCAAAGCGTCCTCTTATAACTTTCCTTCTCTGTGTTTCTGTTTCTGCCCTCAATACTGACTACTAATCCTTTCTCTGTGTCTCGTATTCAGATTCTTCAAAAGAAAGCAACTGAATTTTTCAGTTGGTCCTCTCTATTTGTTGGATTTTTCACCTTAGGTTCAGTGTCCACTGCTGTCCAATTAGCTGAATCCTGCACGTGTAAGTTGCAAAATGGGGTTTATCAGTGTGAATAACCTCTCAGAAGGGGCAGCAATGCAAATGCAATGGGATCCTTCAAACCAAGTAAGACCAAGATTTTGAGTCAAGGTTCTCTGGTTGCAAGTGTTTCCCACCGGAGTATCTGGGTTGCCCTATCCCACAGGATCAAAAAATAATAATTAACACTGGCTGTCAAGCACCATCCTAGCCTTACACAGACTATCTCAACTAATCCTGACCCCAGTCCCAGGAGGCGGCCTCTTTAATTGTGCCCATTTCACAGAAATGAAAACTCATTTAGAAAAGGTAAATAACAGGCTCAAAGTTATACTTCTACTAAGTAAATAATTTATCTATCAATAATAGATAGTAAATAAATTATCTATCAATTATCTATCAATAATTACTTTAAGTATAAATGAATTAAATTCCCCAATTAGAAGACATAGAGTAGGTGAATCGGTTGAAAAAACAAGATCCAACTATACTCTGTCTACAGGAGGTTCACTTTACTTTTTGTTATAAATAAAAATTATGAGCCGGGCACAGTGGCTCACGCCTATAATCCCAGCACTTTGGGAGGCCGAGGTGGGCGGATCACCTGAGGTCAGGAGTTCGAGACCAGCCTGACCAGCATGGATAAACCCCATCTCTACTAAAAATACAAAATTAGCTGGGCATGGTGGTGCATGCCTGTAATCCCAGCTACTAGGGAGGCTGAAGCAGGAGAATCGCTTGAACCCAGGAGGCGGAGGTTGCAGTGGGCTGAGATCGTGCCATTGCACTCCAGCCTGGGCAACAAGAGTGAAACTCTGTCTCAAAAAATAATAATAATTATATTTATGGTGTACATGATTTTTTGATATACGCAGTGTGGAATGGCTAAATAAAGCTAATTAACATATATGTTACCTTGTATATGGATCATTTTTGTGGTTAGAACACTTTTATTAACTAGTCACAATAGACCTCTTGAACTTTTTCCTCCTGGCTAATTGAAATTTTTTATCTTTTGACCAATGTCTCCCCAACCCTCTCACAGACACCCTCACCTTGCTTCTGGTAACCACCATTCTACTCTCTACTTCAGTGAGTTCAACTTTTTTAGATTCCACATATAAGTGAGATCATGTGGTATTTGTCTTTCTGTGCCTGATTTATTTCACTTAACATAATGTCTTCCAGGTTCATCCACGTTGTCACCAATAACAAGACTTCCTTCTTTGTTTCCTTAATTTTTATGGAGATGGGTTAAGGCTGAAGAGTATATATACCACATTGGTGTATGTGTATCACATTTTCTTTATCTACTCATCCACTGATGGACACTTAGGTTGATTCTATACCTTGTCTATTGTGAATAATATTGCAGTGAACATGGGAGTGCAGATATCTCTTCAACACAATGACTCCGTTTCCTTTATTTATTTATTTATTTTTAATTTATTTATTTATTTATTTTTTGAGACAGAGTCTCACTCTGTCACCCAGACTGGAGTGCAATGGCACAATCTCAGCTCACTGCAACCTCTACCTCCAGGGTTCAAGCTATTCTTGTTCCTCAGCCTCCCGAGTAGCTGGGATTATGGGCGCGTGCCACCACGCCCAGCTAATTTTTGTATTTTTAGTAGAGAAGAGGTTTCATCATGTTCACCAGGCTGCTCTCAAACTCCTAACCTCAGGTGATCCACCCGCCTCAGCCTCCCAAAGTGCTGGGATTACAGGCGTGAGCCACTGCATCTGGCCCAGGATGGCTATTTTCAAAGAAGCAAAAAGATAACAAATGCTGGCCAAGACGTAGAGATCTTTCACTGTACTTCTGACAAAAAAAGGGTTGTTATTTGTGTGTGTGTGATTTTTCTTCCCTGAGCAGCCCAGGCAGAGCACACTGGGCCCTGTGCACTGTCCTGTTACCTTCACATTTTGTCTCCACTGACTCCAGGCCCAACCCCTACTAGAGCTGCAGCTGTGCCTGTGCCCAAAGTCAATAGACTGAAGAGCAGAAAGAGGGAGTGGACTCTTACCCCATGGCTGGCGGACATTAAGATTTATCTCTAGGCCAGGCACAGTGGCTCACACCTGTAATCCCAGCACTTTGGGAGGCCAAGGCAGGCAGATCACCTGAGGTCACGAGTTCGAGACCAGCCTGGCCGACATGGTAAAACCTCCCATTTACTAAAAATATTTTTTAAATTAGCCATTTACTAAAATATTTTTTAAATTAGGTGTGGTGGTGCATGTCTGTAGTCCCAGCTTCTTGGAAGGCTGAGGCAGGAGAATAGCTTGAACCTGGAAGGCAGAGGTTGTAGTGAGTGGAGATCGCACCACTGCACACCAGCCTGCGCAACAGAGCGAGACTCCATCTCGAAAAAAAAAAAAAAAGAAAGAAGAAAAAGATTCATCTCTAGCTTGCAAAGCCAAAGTCTGCCAACTGCCATTGAGAAGCCCCTAATCCATGAATGAGGGGCTTTAGCTTCCTTCATAGCCAGACAAGGACAGAGGAAACAGAAGAGAGGAGACGGATCAACTACCCAGAGAAGCCAGAAAACCCTCTGCCAGGGAAAATACCACTTGTAAAAATAAGAGGATTATTTGGCTGTGAAATTTGCTTAATAATTGAATAGAAAACTTATTTTGATTCCCCAGGAAAAACCCAGACATTAAGTAATGTAAATTCCTGTTCAGCCAGGAGCCAAATAAGCAGAAAATATGAATTATTAGAGTCCTCCCCAATGCCAGACCCACATTCTATTTCACAGGAAATAAACAAAGAAAAAAATTCTCTGACATGGGGATTTTTCTCTAACCAGCAAACTGTCAGAATGGGTTGGGGAGGGAACTGCCCGCATTTTCCCATCCTCCTTCCCCTCTCTCTCTCTATACCACGGCCCCTCAGAATCACTCACAGAGGACTAATCATATTCCTTGTGTCCATTTGTGAATCACTTGGATCCTCCAAGGGCTGGCGGAGGAGTGGCTCATGACCAGTCAATGTCATGAATAAGTGATCAATGTCCCAGAAGGGGGAAGCCATCAAGAAGCTGAGAATGGGCCGGGCGCGGTGGCTCACACCTGTAATCCCAGCACATCGGGAGGCCGAGGCGGGCAGATCACCTGAGGTCAGGAGTTCAAAACCAGCCTGGCCAACATGGGGAAACCCCGTCTCTACTAAAAATACAAAAATTAGCTGGGCATGGTGGCGGGCACCTGTAATCCCAGCTACTCAGGAGACTGACACAGGAGAATCGCTTGAATCTGGGAGGCGGAGGTTGCAGGGAGCCACAATCATGCCATTGGACTCCAGCCTGGGTGACAAGAGTGAAACTCTGTCTCAAAAAAGTAAAATAAAATACAATAACAAAAACAATAAATAAACAGAGAATGGGGTCAGCTCACCCAGCCGCATGTGGAAGCAGGCCAGGGCAGGATGAGGGACGGCTTGAGCAAATTTTACCTTTCACATGGTACAAAAGTGTTTTTATTTGTTCCAAGTAAATATCCAAGAGTTCAAAAAATAGTTGCAAAACATGATGTTCCCCACTCTCCTTTAAAAGTGATTAAGGCCAGGCACGTAATCCCAGCACTTTGGGATTAAGGCTCACGCCTGTAATCCCAGCACTTTGGGAGGCTGAGGCAGGCGGATCATGAGGTCAAGAGATCGAGACCATCTTGGCCAACATGGTGAAACCCCGTCTCTACTAAAAATACAAAAATTAGCTGGGTGTGGTGGCGTGCACCTGTAGTCCCAGCTACTTGGGAGGCTGAGGCAGGAGAATCATTTGAACCCAGGAGGCAGAGCTTGCAGTGAGCCGAGATCGCGCCATTGCATTCCAACTTGGGTGACAGAGCAAGACTCCATATCAAAAAAACAAAAAACAAAAAACAACAACAACAAGTGACTGATTAGCCAGGCGCAGTGGCTCATGCCTGTACTCTCAGCCTTTTGGGAGGCTGAGGCAGGATGACTGCTTGAGTCCAGGAGTTTGAGAACAGCTTGGGCAAGATGGTGAGACCTCATCTCTACAAAAAATAAAAAAAAAAATATTAAAAAATAGCTGGGCGTGGTGGCACATGCTGTGGTTCCAGCTACACAAGAAGCTGAGGTGGGAGGATCGCTTGAGCCCAGGAGGTGGAGGCTACAGTGAGCTGTGTTCTCACCACTGCCTTCCTGCCTGGGTGACAAAGCGAGAACCTGTCTCAAAAAAAATTTTTTTCATGAAAAAAACAGTGGCTGATTATACAAGCACATGTGATGTTAGAGAGTTAGCGAAAGTCCCACCTGTTTGTTTGGGTTCTGAAACTGATAGCAGCTGTTAGGATTTTCTGAACATTGATCCTGTGCCAGACACTGAACTAAACACTGAGCATGTTCACGCGTTTAATCCTCATGATAAGCCCATGAAGCCAATGCAGTGACTAAGACCGAAGCCAGGGTTTGAATCTGCCTCCTCCACACACTAGCTGTATGATCAAGTGACTTGACTTCTCTATGCCTCAGTTTCCTCTTCTATAAAATAGGTATAAAAATAGTACCCATCTTGGCTGGGAGCTGTGGCTGACGCCTATAATCCCAGCACTTTGGGAGGCTGAGGCGGGTGGATCACGAGGTCAAGAGATCAAGACCATCTTGGCTAACATGGTGAAACCCTGTCTCTACTGAAAATACAAAAATTAGCTGGTATGTGCCTGTAGTCCCAGCTACTCAGGAGGCTGAGGCAGGAGAATTGCTTGAACCCAGGAGGCAGAAGTTGCAGTGAACCCAGATTGCGCCACTGCACTCTAGCCTGGCAACAGAGCGAGACTCCATCTAAAAAAAAAAACAAAAAAACAAAAACAAATAGTACTCATCTTGTAAAACTGCTATGAAAATTATACGAGTTATATGAACAATATCTGGAACATAGTATGTGCCATAGAAGTATGGCATCATCTTTATCATCATCGTCATCATCACCACAGGCGAGATAACTGAAGCTCAAAGAAAGAAGGCTACACTATTTCCCCACAGTCCAGTTGACTCTCAGGCTCATCCTCAAGCCCTCCTTCCCCACATTCTTACGCACATGGTTGCTAGGCTGCATTCTTCAAGCCCCGTCCCTTGGATGCCTTGGGAAGTTGGAACATCACCTCTTCGCTCTGCTTTTGGAGCCATCGTGCTGGAAGGACAGCAGGCGTGGACCTCCTCTCCCTAGGCACCTACCCACCACCCGCAATGCAACCTCTTCACCTGGCACGAGGCACTCCTAGGAGCTCTCTCCAGCTTCCTCTTGCCATATTGTGTGCTTTTCGAAGAGGACGCAGACATGCAACCCCATCCCACAGCAGCCCACAACTTAAACAACAAAAGAGAACGCATCAAGCAGTGGTTTCTCCGTGTCTTTCACCACACCTGGGCACACTAACTCAGAACACATGCCCATCCACTCAGTCCCAAAGACACGACTCTTTTTTTTTTTTTTTAACTCTGTGCCTATGCTTACCCAAAGACAATACCGTTCTTCTTTCTTTTTTTTTTGTTTTAAACAAAAAAAAAAAGACAAAGTCTCGTTCTGTCGCCCAGGCTGGAGTGCAGTGGTGCCATCTCGGCTCGCTGCAGCCTCTGCATCCCTGGGCTGAAGCGATTCTCCTGCCTCAGCCTCTCGAGTAGCTGGGATTACAGGCGTGCACCACCACACCTGGCTAATTTTTGTTTTTTGTTTCTTTAGGTTTTTTATTTTTATTTATTTATTTATTTATTTTTTTCTTGAGACAGAGTCTCACTCTGTCCCCGAGGCCAGAGTGCAATGGCATGATCTCAGCTCACTGCAACCTCTGCCTCCCAGGTTCAAGCGATTCTCCTGCCTCAGCCTCCCAAGTAGCTGGGAATACAGGCATGCACCACCACGCCCAGTTTTTGTTTTGTTTGTTTTTTTTTGTTTGTTTTATTTTTTGGTATTTTTAGTAGAGACGGGGTTTCCCATGTTGACCAGGCTAGTCTTGAACTCCTGACCTCAGGTGATCCACCAGCCTCAGCCTCCAAAAAGGCTGGGATTACAGGAGCGAGCCACACAGCACCCCACCTAATTTTTGTATTTTTAGTAGAGACAGGGTTTCACCATGTTGGCCAGGCTGGTCTCGAACTCCTGATCTCAGGTGATCCACTTGCCTTGGCCTCCCAAAGTGCTGGGATTACAGGTGGGAGCCACCATGCCCAGCAAAGACTGTTCTTCCTAGTGAAGAAAGGAGACAGGAGAAAGATATCTGCTAACTCAAGATAATTTTGGTTTGCTCTTCCTCTGTGCCATTGTTCCCATTCCCGCAAACCCCATCACAAGGAGGAAAAAAAAAAAAAAAAAAAGAAAGGAAGAAAATTTTGACTGCTAGAAAGACCTTACCCAACATAAAAGCATTATGGATGCATTTGTTTACTCTAAAACTTTCTTGAAGACCTAGTATATGCCAGACACTGTGCCGAGTTCAGGACTCCACCTCTGCTGATGGAGCCCTTGTGATACAACAAAGACTTCTTGTTCTCTGAGGGTTTTTGCTATTCATGTGATTTGAATTAATAATAGTAATAACTCAACATCTCACTGGCCCACTGCCCTGCTGGCTCTCAAGGCGCTACGACTTCTGCAAAGTGCTCTCTCTTTAGGACTTTGTCCATGGTTTCCTTCATCTCTTTGAGTATATTTAAGACAGTCAATTTACACTCATTGTCGGCTGAGCATGGTGGCTCATGCCTGTAATCCCAGCACTTTGGGAGGCTGAGGCAGGCAGATCACTTGAGGTCAGAAGTTCAAGACCAGCCTGGCCAACATGGTGAAACCCTGTCTCCACTAAAAATACAAAAATTAGCTGGGCATGGTGGCGGGCATCTGTAATCCCAGTTACTTGGGAGACTGAGGCACGAGAATCACCTGAACCTGGGAGACAGAGGTTGCAGTGAGCCGAGATTATGCCACTGCACTCCAGCCTGGGTGACAGAGTGTGACTCCATCTCAAAAAAAAAAAAAAAAAAGTAATTGTCTAGCCTGGCATTGTGGTGCACACTTGTAGTTCCAGCCTACTCAGGAGGCTGAAGCAGGAGACTCACTCGAGCCCAGGAGATAGAGGCTGCAGTGAGCTATGATTGCATCACTGCACTCCAGCCTGAGTGACAGAGGGAGACCCTGTCTCTAAAAAAAAATTAAATAAATAAATTTTTTTAAAAGTCATTGCTGGGCTGGGCACAGTGGCTCACGCCTCTAATCCAGCACTTTGGGAGGCTGAGGCGGGTGGATCACGAGGTCAGGAGTTTGAGACCAGCCTCACCAACATGATGAAACCCCGTCTCTACTGAAAATGCAAAACTTAGCTGGGCGTGGTGGCGCACACCTGTAATCCCAGCTACTCAGGAGGGTGAGGCAGGAGAATCGCTTCAACCCCAGAGGCGGAGGTTGTAGTGAGCCAAGATCGTGCCATTGCACTCCAGCCTGGGCGACAGAGTGGGACTCTGTCTCAAAAAAAAAAAAAAAGTCATTGCCAGTAAGACCAATACCTGGGTTGCCACAAGGACAGTATCTAGTCATTTCTTTCTTGCCACAAATGAGTGGAACTTTATTATTTCTTTCCATGCCATGAGGGTTTTTGTTGACATTTTCAATTTATGGCAACACTGAAAATCAGATTCTCCTCCCTCCCCAGGGTCTATTGTTGCTCTCTATCGTGGGTTGCTGTGGTTTGCTTGTTTGGTAAATTTTCCAAACTATTTTTGTAAAGTCTGTATTCTTTGTGTTTCTGTTTCTGTTTTTTTTTTTGTTTTGTTTTGTTTTTTCTGTTCTGTTCTTTTTGCTTGTTTCTGTCCTTTTTGCTTGTCAGTCAGCTGGTATTTTGAGAGCTACCTAAAATGGCTGAAGCCAACAAATAAAGAAGAATAAAAGGGAAGAAACAAGAAAACAGGAGAAATAAAGAGAAAGAAAGAGAGAGAGAAAGAAGGCAGGCAGTCAGAAAGGAGAGAAAGGAAGGAAGGAGGGAAGGAAGGAAGGAAAGAAGGAAGGGAGGGAGGGAGGGAGGAAGGAAGAAAAGAAAAACACTATCCTAGTCTTTGCAAATTGGATCTGTTTGGGGCACTCTCTCAACCCTTAACCAAGCCATTTATACTCTGCCTTAGCCTTCACTTCCTGCTTGCACAGAGACTGAAGGCCAGAAAGAGATGAAAGCCCAGGGTCTTCTTAGGCCTTTTCTTTTGTTTTTGTTTTGTTTTGTTTTGAGACAGAGTCTCACTCTGTCACCCAGGCTGGAGTGCAGAGGCACAATCTCAGCTCACTGTAACCTCCACCTCCCAGGTAAAGTGATTTTCTGCCTCAGCCTCCCGGGTAGCTGTCATTACAGGTGTGTGCCACCATGCCTGGCTAATTTTTGTATTTTTAGTAAAGGCAAGATTTCACCATGTTGGCCAGGCTGGTCTCAAACTCCTGACCTCAGGTGATCCAACCACCTTGGCCTCACAAAGTTTCTTAGGCCTTTTCTGAGCATGCAACTGACTATGGGCCTGCACACAGCTTTCTTGATTTCCTGGTTTATGTGGACACTTTTAAAAGCCTCTACAGACACACATCTCTTTTTCCAAACTTTTCCTTCCCAGGCTGCCCGGTCTGTCTATTGCTTGTCCCAAGTGTTGTCCCCTGCCCCAGGGTATTGAGGCCAGTACCTATGTCTTTCAATGCTTTTGTCTAAAGCCACCTGGGAAGCCATGCCAGCCCTGAAAATGCCCTGGGTAAAAAGCTCAGAAGCCTTTCTGCTAGTCCTTGGGGAAGTTGTCAGACCTATAACCCCAAATTTATTTATTTATTTTTTAAGACGGAGTTGCCCTGTCACCCAGGCTGGAGTTCAGTGGCACGATCTTGGCTCACTGCAACCTCTGCCTCCCGGGTTCAAGTGATTCTCCTGCTTCAGCCTCCTGAGTAGCTGTGATTACAGGTGCCCACCACCATGCCCAGCTAATTTTTTGTATTTTTAGTAGAGATGGGGTTTCACCATGTTGGCCAGGTTGGTCTCAAACTCCTGACCTCGTGATTCACCTGCCTTAGCCTCCCAAAATGCTGGGATTACAGGTGTGAGCCACCACACCCAGCCTACAACCACAATTCTTTGAGAGTAAATTCTGTGTACTCCCCCTACGCTAGCAACCAGCCCCAGAAGGGCAGGCTGACATCCTCATGGTCCCTGCTGATCTGGAGTTGGGGGGATGTTACGTGAGCAAGCAAAAACGCCATCAATCACACTCTCTTATCACAGGAGAGCTTTCTTTCCTTCCTTTTTTTTGAGACGGACTTTTGCTTTCACCCAGGCTGGAGGGCAGTGGCACTATCTCGGCTCACTGCAACCTCCTCCTCCTGGGTTCAAGGGATTCTCCTGCTTCAGCCTCCCGAGTAGCTGGGATTACAGGCACATGTGCCACCATGCCCAGCTAATTTTTGTATTTTTAGTAGAGCCGGGGTTTCACCATGTTGGCCAGGCTGGTCTCGAACTCCTGACCTCAGGGGATCCACCCGCCTTTGCCTCCCAAAGTGCTGGGATTATAGGCGTGAGCCACCATGCCCAGCCTCAGAGCTTTCTTTCTCCAAATTTTCCCGTAGTAGTTGTAAGTTTGTTTGTTTCCCTTTTTAAAAACTAGAAGGCTGGGTGCGGTGGCTCAAGCCTGTAATCCCAGCACTTTGGAAGGCTGAGGCTGGTGAATTGCTTCAGCTCAGGAGTTCAAGACCAGCCTGGGCAACACTGTAAAACCCTGTCTCTACAAAAAATACAAAAATTAGCCTGGCATGGTGGCTTGCGCCCATGATCCCACCTACTCTGAGGCTGAGGCGGGAGGTCAAGGCTGCAGTGGGCTGAGATTGCACAGTGGCACTCCAGTCTGGGGGACAGAGTGAGACCCCATCTCAAAAAAATGAAAGCTAACAAAAAGCTAGATCCCAGAGTACTTCAGAAGTTGATTCTGACAGTTTTTGCCACCTTATTAGTTGTGTTGGGGGAGGGATGGAGCCCTGGAATTCCCTACTCCACCATTTTGGGCCGCACAGTACCTTTAAAGTGCTCCTCTGTCTCCGGGGAAATTCCTGCACTGTGAGTCTATAGATCCCCTAGGTGGAGGCCAGGACTTGTTTTCCCCATCTCCCTTGCAGCCAGTAACCCCCTCAGTTCCTAGCAAGATTGGCTCTCGATTTTTTTAAATGGATTTTTCTTTTATTCTTTTCTTTTTTTTTTTTTTTTTTGAGATGGAGTTTTGCTCTTATTGCTCAGGCTGGAGTGTGTACAGTGGCGCCATCTCGGCTCACTGCAACCTCCGCCTCCAGGCTTCAAGCAATTCTCCTGCCTCAGCCTCCCGAGTAGCTGGGATTACAGATGCGTGCCACCAGGCCCAGCAAATTTTTGTATTTTTAACGGAGATGGGGTTTCACCATTGTTGGCCAGGCTGGTCTCAAACTCCTGACCTCAGGTGATCCACCTGCCTCGGCCTCCCAAAGTGCTGGGATTACAGGCGTGAGCCACCACACCAGGCCAAGAGGTTTTTTTTCGTTTTTTTTGTTTTTTGTTTTTTCAAACACATTATCTGTCTCAAATAGGCTGGAGTGCAGTGGCACAAACATGACTCACTACAGCCTTGACCTCCTAGGCTCAAGCCATCCTCCCACCTCAGCCTCCTGAGTAGCTGGGACTATAGACTCATGCCACCACACCCAGCTAATTTTTTTCTTTTTTGTAGAGACAGAGTCTTGTTTCGTTACCCAGGCTGCTCTCAAACTCCGGGCTCAAGTGATCATCCCACCTCAGCCTCCCACAATGCTGGGATTACAGGTGTTAGCCACCACTCCCAGCTCTTAAAAACAGATTCACTAATGACCACAAAGGTGTTCCTGTCCACTCAGGATCTTATGTTCAGTACTGGCTCAGCACAATCTGCAGCCCTAAACATCCATTTCATAACAAACACTGTTCAGGCCCCAAAGAATGTCTCATTTCTGCCCAGCGTGGTGGCTCATGCCTGTTATCCCAGCACTTTGGGAGGCTGAGGCGGGGAGATCACCTGAGATTGGGAGTTCGAGACCAGCCTGACCAACATGGAGAAACCCTATCTTTACTAAAAATACAAAATTAACTGGGCATGGTGGCACATGCCTGTAATCCCAGCTACTCGGGAGGCTGAGGCAGAATTGCTTGAACCCGGGAAGCAGAGGTTGCAGTGAGTCGAGATCACGCCATTGCACTCCAGCCTGGGCAACAAGAGCAAAGCTCTGTCTCAAAAAAAAAAAAAAAAAAAAGCATCTCTTGTCCTAAAATCTCAAAACAAAAGGCAACTATGGCCAGGTGTGGTGGCTCACGCCTGTAATCCCAGCACTTTGGGAGGCCGAGGCAGGCAGATCAGTAGAGGTCAGGAGTTTGAGACCAGCCTGGCCAACATGGTGAAACCTCGTCTCTACTAAAAAATACAAAAATTAGCCGGGCGTGGTGGTGCGCACCTGTAATCCCAGCTACTCGGGAAGCTGAGGCAGGAGAATGGCTTGAACCAGGGAGGTGGAGGTTGCAGTAAGCTAAGATCGTGCCACTGCCACTCCAGCCTGTGCGGCAGAGCAAATGAATGAATGAATGAATGCAACTATTTTATGTCAGGAAGGTTTGTGGGTTGCAGCCGCTACCAATGTTGGAGACACCCATTGCTTCAGAGTATGCAAAGGACTTGAGTGTTGAAACACTTAAGTAAGAGGAAGCAGAAATTAATTCTTAAATTCCTCTTCTCAGGGAGGCTGAATGCAGCAGATTCTTGTATAACAAGTATCATTTCTCAGAAGTGCTGAGAGTCCATTTATCTGTTTCTCCTCATGTTCCAAATTGTGCCTCCAGACATACTCATGAGTTAGAGAGTAATATGGGTCAGGCGTGTTAGTTCATGCCTACAATCCCAGAACTTTGGGAGACTGAGGCAGGAGGATCACTTGTGGCTGACCAGCCTGGGCAACATAATGAGACCCTGTCTCTACAAAAAAAATTAAAACTTTGTTTAAATAAAAATAATAAAAATTTTTAAAAGAGACCAATATGGCTACTCACTGTAGCTGAGGAACATTTAGCCATTTAAACAATTTGTATCACTCTCTAATTTGTATATAAGATCGAGACACAAAATGTATGTTGTACTATCAGTCCTTTAGATGAGCAATTAGACTGACATTGAACACTAGAACTGGGAAAAGTTATTTAATAATAATATGCAATAAGATTTAAGTTTTCAAAATATTAAATATAAATTTTTCAGCTTTTATTTTTTATTTTTCATTTTCATGTTTTTTGAGACAGTATCTCACTCTGTCGCCCAGGCTGGAGTGCATTGGTGCGATCGCACCTCACTGAACCCTCAACCTCTCCAGGCTCAGGTGATCCTCCCACCTCAGTGGAGTATCTGGGACTACAGGTGTGTACCTCTATGCTTGGCTAATTTTTGTATTTTTTGTAGAGATCGTATTTCATCACGTTGCCCAAGCTGATCTCGAACTCCTGGGCTCAAGTGATCTGTCCACCTCAGCCTCCCAAAGTGGTAGGATTACAGGCGTGAGCCACTGCGCCCACCCAGTTTTCAGCTTTAAGCAATTTTTATTTAAAGCTTTGTAAAAATATAAAAATTAGCCAAGCGCGGTGGTGAGCACCTGTAGTCCTAGTCTCCCGAGTAGCTCGGATTACAGGCGCCTGCCACCCCACCCTGCTAATTTTTGTAGTTTTAGTAGAGACAAGGTTTCACCATATTGGCCAGGCTGGTCTGGAACTCTTGACCTCAGGTGATCCACCCGCCTCGGCCTAAAAAAAAAATTAAAAATAAATTAGGAGGATCAGTAGTGCCGTTCCCAATTATCTCATAATTTCCACCATTTTAAAGAGACAACCCTCACATCTCCCAGGTTCAAAATATCCTAAAGTATCTTCAACCTGGGTTGAGTCAGGTGCCCCACCCCGGGACTAAACGCATGTGTCAGAGGGTTTGGGGTGGGGGTGAGTATTTAAGAACCATGTGGCTGGGCACAATGGCTCACACCTATAATCCCAGCACTTTGGAAGGTAGAGGCAGGAGAATTGCTTGAGCCCAGGAGTTTGAGACCAGCCTAGGCAAAATAGTGAGGTCCCATCTCCACAAAAAATAAAAAATTAGCTAGGTGTGGTGGTACATGCCTGTAGTCCCAGCTACTGGGGAGAGTGAGGCAGGAGGATCACTTGAACCCAGGAGGTCGATTTGCACTCCAGCCTGGGTGACAGAGTGAGACCCTGTCTGGGAAAAACAAAAACATGTGGAGGGAGGGGGATACAGGCCGGTCATGGAAGACAGGCATGTTGACAGCAGAGGGTGCTACAGATAATCTCTTGACATCCCCTAACTGACAAAGAGAAGGCTAATCCCTTTTATTACTCTAGATCTCATTCTTTTCTATTCTGCCACTGAATAAGCCCTTACTAAATATCAGAGGTTGCTCTAAGCATTTGTATCAGTCAAGATACGTTAGGTTATAAAAACGCCAAATTGCAGTTGCTTAATTCACAAAAGCGTCATTTCTTGCTCTTGCTACACACCCATTGCTGGGTGGCTGGATCTCTGCATTGTCACCCTCACTCCTGTGCCAGGCAAATGAAGCAGCCGCTCTTGGGCATAATCGCCCATCACCATGGCGGAAAGAAAGAGGAGCCATATCCACTCTGATGATAGTTTCTTTTGCTGTGCAGAAGCTCTTTAGTTTAATTAGATCCCATTTGTCAATTTTGGCTTTTGTTGCCATTGCTTTTGGTGTTTTAGACATGAAGTCCTTGCCCATCCCTATGTCCTGAATGGTAATGCCTAGGTTTTCTTCTAGGGTTTTTATGGTTTCAGGTCTAACATTTAAGTCTTTAATCCATCTTGAATTAATTTTTGTATAAGGTGTAAGGAAGGGATCCAGTTTCAGCTTTCTACACATGGCTAGCCAGTTTTCCCAGCACCATGTATTAAATAGGGAATCCTTTCCCCATTTCTTGTTTTTGTCAGGTTTGTCAAAGATCTGATGGTTGTAGATATGCGGCATTATTTCTGAGGGCTCTGTTCTGTTCCACTGGTCTATATCTCTGTTTTGGTACCAGTACCATGCTGTTTTGGTGACTGTAGCCTTGTAGTATAGTTTGAAGTCAGGCAGTGTGATGCCTCCAGCTTTGTTCTTTTGGCTTAGGATTGACTTGGCAATGCGGGCTCTTTTTTGGTTCCATATGAACTTTAAAGTAGTTTTTTCCAATTCTGTGAAGAAAGTCATTGGTAGCTTGATGGGGATGGCATTGAATCTGTAAATTACCTTGGGCAGTATGGCCATTTTCATGATACTGATTCTTCCTACCCATGAGCATGGAATGTTCTTCCATTTGTTTGTATCCTCTTTTATTTCATTGAGGCAACCTACAGAATGGGAGAAAATTTTTGCAATCTACTCATCTGACAAAGGGCTAATATCCAGAATCTACAATGAACTCAAACAAATTTACAAGAAAAAAACAAACAACCCCATCGAAAAGTGGGCAAAGGATATGAACAGACACTTCTCAAAAGAAGACATCTATGCAGCCAAAAGATACATGAGGAAAATGCTCATCATCACTGGCCATCAGAGAAATGCAAATCAAAACCACAATGAGATACCATCTCACACCAGTTAGAATGGCCATCATTAAAAAGTCAGGAAACAACAGGTGCTGGAGAGGATGTGGAGAAATAGGAACACTTTTACACTGTTGGTGGGACTGTAAACTAGTTCAACCATTGTGGAAGTCAGTGTGGTGATTCCTCAGGGATCTAGAACTAGAAATACCATTTGACCCAGTGATCCCATTACTGGGTATATACCCAAAGGACTATAAATCATGCTGCTATAAAGACACATGCACACGTATGTTTATTGCGGCACCACTCACAATAGCAAAGACTTGGAACCAACCCAAATGTCCAACAATGATAGACTGGATTAAGAAAATGTGGCACATATACATCATGGAATTCTATGCAGCCATAAAAAAGGATGAGTTCATGTCCTTTGTAGGGACATGGATGAAGCTGGAAACCATCATTCTCAGTAAACTATAGCAAGGACAAAAAACCAAACACCGCATGTTCTCACTCGTAGGTGGGAACTGAACAATGAGAACACATGGACACAGGAAGGGGAACATCACACTCTGGGGACTGTTGTGGGTGGGGGGACGGGGGAGGGATAGCATTAGGAGATATACCTAATGTAAATGACGAGTTACTGGGTGCAGCACACCAACATGGCACATGTATACATATGTAACGAACCTGCACGTTGTGCACATGTACCCTAAAACTTAAAGTATAATTTTAAAAAATTAATTAAAAAAAAAAAAAAAAGAAAGAGGAGCCATAGAGGTCTCCTGCCAGCCACTAAAGGCCCCCGCCTGAAGGAGGCACTTCTGCTCCCAGCTGACTGGCCAGTTAGTCACATGGACAAGGCACTCCCACCATGTGCCAACCGGGGAGAATCTGAATATTTGGTGAACAGCTCTAATGACCACTCCAGCAGGTTACAAACATTATGTATAATCTTCACAACCACTACAGGAAATGTTACTATCATCTCTCTACTAAAGACAAGGAAACTGACGCACAGAGGCACAGCAAGTGGCCCGAGATCACACAGCAAGCAACCAGTGAAGCCACTAGATTCCAAAGCCCATTCTCTTAACCCCATTTTGTTTTTTTGTTTTCTGAGAGATGGAGTCTTGCTCTGCTGCCCAGGCTGGAGTGCAGTGGTGCAACCTCGGCTCACAGGGCGAGACTGTCTCAAGTAAAAAAAAAAAAAAAGCCAGGTGGGGGATAGGTGTAGGGGCAGAACCTGGGTGTCCTGTCCATATCTCAGCCTATTCCAAGACTGATTTTTGGGTCCACGGAATTCTGTGAATGCAACACTGTGGCAGAGGCACCTAGATTGGATTATCCATTTTTTTTCTTTTTTTTTTTTTTTTAGACGGAGTTTCACTCGTCACCCAGGCTGGAGTGCAATGGCGCAATCTCAGCTCACTGCAACCTCTGCCTCCAGGCTTCAAGCGGTTCTCTTGCCTCAGCCTCCTGAGTAGCTGGGATTACAGGCACCTGCCACCACGCCCAGCAAATTTTTGTATTTTTAGTAAAGACGGGGTTTCACCATGTTGGCCAGGCTAGTCTCAAACTCCTGACCTCAGGTGATCCACCTGCCTCAGCCTCCCAAAGTGCTGGGGTTACAGGCGTGAGCCACCGCACCCAGCCGGATTATGCTTTAAAAGGCATGCTTTCCCATAGCCGTGAGGGTCAGGGATTATTTTTTTTACAGCATAGTGCCATGCCCGTGGAGAGTCTAGATGCTGGGGATACACAGGTGACTAACAGGGTTCTTGCTGCAGGGAGGCTTAGCCCTTTAGGGATTAACAGGTTCCAATAAGGGCACAGACTGTTTGTTTGTGCACCCTTGTGTCCCGTCTGCCTAACATTGTCTGGACACTATAGACATCTAATAAACACTGGGAAAGACCAGGAAAACGCAGTACAAAACACGCTAAGGGCCTGGAGTAGGCTGAGGCTTAAAAACATTTAAATGCTCACGTGACCACTTCCTAGCCTCTTGGACAAATGGCTTTCCAATTCTGTGCCTCACCTTTTTCACCTGAACAACTGGAGCTGGGCCAGGCGCAGTGGCTCACGCCTGTAATTCCAGGACTTTGGGAGGCTGAGGCGGGCAGGTCACCTGAGGACGGGAGTTCAAGACCAGCCTGGCCAACACGGCGAAACCCTGTCTCTACTAAAATACAAAAAAAATTAGCCGGGCGTGGTGATGTGTGCTGGTAGTCCCAGCCACTCAGAAGGCTGGAGCATAAGAATCGCTTGAACTCATGCCACTGCACTCCAGCCTGGGCGACAAAACGGACTCCGTCTCAAAAAAACTGGAGCTGGTAATAGTACCCATGATGCAGGATTGCTCAGATTAAATAATATATGTAACACTCTTAGCTCCACGCCTGGCAAGCACTAACAACCATTATTAGTCTCATTAAGGCTTCCACATTTTTAGGAGAAAGATGAAGTAAAACACATGTTCCTTTTGGAGGAAGATAAATGGAAGTGACATTTAACTTGGCTCTTGGGAACATCTTTGGAGAGAAAAAGGCATTCCAGGTGGGATGAACCGTGAGCGAAGGCTGAAGCGCAGCACGTATGGAGCCCTCTGAGGATTCGGGATTGCCAAGTATGTCTTTGGCAACAACGGATTAGACTGAAAAGCCAAGTGAGATTCAGAGTTTAGGTCTCCCAGAGCTTGCTTTCTCCCTGGCCAGGAGCTCAAAGTGAACTTCCTCGCCTGGGGTGAAGTCATCCTCTCAGACGTTGGTCCAGACCTAGCTTCAAACTCTGCCTTGCCCAGAGACCTGTGTGCTCTTTCACCTGGCACTCCTGACCCTGAGGTGAGACAATAGCCTCTAAGTGAGGACACGTGGCAGGCACGAGTATAGATGTGTTGCTGAATGTAGGGGTCCTTGGCAGTGGTTCCCTGGTCTTTTGAATGACACATTTCTTTCAGCCTCTGGTCAGAGGCTCCACGGGGTCTCTCCATGAAAATGCAGGGGTGTTAAGTTTTGCATGTCTTTTTGGACAGTGCATCATATCCCTGACACCTGCAGCTCCGAGGCTGAGCAGCGGATAGGTGCTGGGTCCCTTTTACTATGAGCCAAAACCACCTAGGTAGGAATGGATGATCCAGATGCTATCACCCTCTCCCCACTCCGGGGTCTCTGCCTAGCAACAGCAGCAGTATGCTGGGAGGATGCTGGGATCACCCCACAGAAATACTTGTCTCTGAGCCAAGACATCCTGCCAGCACGAACCTAAATTGTCTTCAGACCCTCAAACCCTGGGGTCTAGTCCCACACCAAGCAGCCCTGGGTCATGTTATAAAGCCATTTACAGGATCTGAGGAACAAGGGGTAAGGTCATCCGCTTCCTTGCCAACATAAAAGAACACATGTTAAATCCATCAGCCACACCACTCCTTCTTCCCCTGTCACGTTTCTCCCACTCCTGACCACTTCAAAGGACATAGGATCCCCACAAAATGGTGACAACAAATGGAGCCATTTTCATATCCTATTTTATTTTTGAAGTCAGTGTCCAGAAAGAAACCGACGATTCACTCAATCAACATGTAAGCGACTGAGGCATCCCTACACACCAGGTTTGCAGGCTAGGGACCAGAGACACGATGGTTAAACAAGCCAGAGCCCTGTGATCCTAGGGCTTACAATGCTGGCATAAGAAAATCCTTCTGGACTCACTGTCCCCATGCTTGTGACTGTCATGTGCCAAGTGCGCTTTACACAATCTCATTTTTCCCTCAACTTGGGGATAGGTTTTGTATCATTCCCATTACAGATACGGATGCTGAGGTTACTGAGTGGAAGAGGAAACCTGAATTCTGCTGCTGGACCCCAAAACTCATGTTAATTACCCACAGCCTCCCAAACATCAGAGGCCCCAAACATGCCTCCCAACTCACTTCTCACAAATGGGGGCCGTTATCTGCCCCATCTCTAGGGCCGTTCTGTAACATTCTCAGCGACTTCCCATATCTTACAGAGGCAGGCCCTCCTTTCAGGAAGCTGATCCATGCCCCTTAATAAGGTAGCTTCTCTCCCCACTTGGCACACCACCTAGCTAGCCAAGGGCAAAGCAGAGACTAGGGGACAGGCCCCAGCACCGGGTCAGCACCCACTACCTCCTCAGTGATCAACAGTGCCCATTGCACTTCAATGGGCACCTGCAAGTGGCACCAGATTCTCTTGGAACAATTCTTAAGGCAGGGCGTGGTGGTCACACCTGTAATCCCAGCACTTTGGGAGACCAAGGCAGGCAGATCACTTGAGATCAGGAGTTCGAGACCAGCCTGGCCAACATGGTGAAACCCCACCTCTACTAAAAATACAAAAATCAGCCAGACATGGTGGCACACACCTGTAATCCCAGCTACTCAGGAGGCTGAGGCACGAGAACTACTTGAATCTGGGAAGCGGAGGTGCAGTGAGCCAAGATCATGCCACTGCACTCCAGCCTGTGTGACAGAGCGACTTTGTCTTAAAAAAAAAAAAAAAAAAAAAAAAATTCCTAGCAAGTATTTATTACAGCAGTCAGTGACAAAAGCCAGATCTAAAATCCTATCTACAGAATAATCCTAGCCAGGCAAAACAAATTCATCAAAAACTAATAGAAAATACTGAAATATAGGCCAGGTGTAATGGCTCGTGGCTGTAATCCCAGCACTTCGGGAGGCCGAGGTAGGCTGATCACTTGAGGCCCAGAACTCAAGACCAGCCTGGGCAACATGGCGAAACCCTGTCTCTACTAAAATATAAAAATTAGCCGGATGTGGCGACACACACTTGTAATCCCAGTTACTCAGGCGGCTGAGACAGGACAATCACTTGAACCCGGGAGGTGGAGGTTGCAGTGGGCCAAGATCGCGCCACTGCACTCCAGCCTGAGCAATAGAGTCAGACTCTGTCTCCAAAAAAGAAAAAAAAAAAAAAAAACTGAAATACAACTAAAATATTTAGTGTCAAATACCTGGTTTTGGCAGACAGCAGGGGTGACTGTTTCTTAGGCATACTGGTTTCATAAGAACTTTTTCCCTTGGCTGTATTAGTCACTTCAGGGAATCGCATTCACCGATAAACGAAGCAACTGCATGCTGCCGCAGAAGCTGTGGCTACACTGCTGTAAAGGCTCAAAACGACCAAGTGGAAGCACCAGAGTCCATGAGGCATTTTATTTGTAAATATATGTATTACATCCCTAGAAAAAGAATCCCAGGATTTTCCCTCCTGTGTGTTTTCGTCTTGCTTCTTCATGGTCCATGATGCCAGCTGAGGTTGTCAGTACAATGAAACTATGGAGTGGAAAAAGAAAGTGCTGGTAAGTTTAATAGTTCAACATAGTGCCTTCTAGTGCAGAAAAACATCAACACTCATCAGTGGTTAAGGGCGCTTTCCTGTGGGGCACATAGGAACTGACAGTGCCTACATGAGCTGGTGCCTCATGTAGCGTATGAGCCATGACTCCTGCAACCCAAAGAGCCAAATCCAGAGAGCCCAGCCACACAATCACACAGCCCTGACTTCTGCCTACACCATGAAACAAACTGCACTGAAAACAAAGGCTGGGAACTCCTTTAAATTTAAATGTCACTTTCTGCTCTCAGGTAAGGAGACTTGAAAGTATTCGTATAAACTTGAGTTTGAATTGTGTTTCTGCCATGTACTGTATAATAGCTAAACTATTATATGGAGACGTTCATTTGTACAATGAGTGGCTGCTTCATGAGTTACTGTGGGGATCACTGTAACAAGCATATAGTATGCAAATGTGCGGCATTAAAATCAGTATCATAATTACAAAGAGAAATGATTTTGGTGAGAATACCGTACCTGTAATACAGCAACCATGAAGTGAGAATACTTTCAACCAAGGCACCAGACGCATAATTTGGAGGGTATAAATTCTTAACCACAAAGATACACATTTACTGTGTCAGCTCATAAAGTGCTTTACCAAAATTAAATCAGGTGATAAACAGAGGAACTATTACCACTTTTACGGATGAAGAAATCAAGGCTGTGACTTGCCCAAGATCTCATGGCTTTAAAGCAGAAAAACAAGGGTTTGAACTCAGATAGGCTTTTAAGGACAAAGACTCCCAAACTAAGTTTTCCCAAAGGCCTAGGCTTAGAACTGATTCTGGCCCTCATCTGGGATCACAGGGAACTATCTGCAGTGAGCCAAAAGGGCAGACATGAAAGTGGACACGACCCCCCTTTTCTGCCAGTCTAAGCTCTCATGTGCCTCTCAGAACCTGAAGCTCAACACATGAAATGTGGCAAATAGCCAGGCACGGTGGCAGGCGCCTGTATTCCCAAATCCACAAGAGGCTGAGCGGGGAGGACTGCTCGAGGCCAAGAAGCCAAGGCTGTAGCGTGTTATGACCGCACCTGTGAACAGCCACTGCACTCCAGCCTGGGCAACAAAGTGAAACCCTGTCTCTCTCTCTTTTTTCTCGAGACAGAGTTTCACTCGTTGCCCAGGCTGGAGTGCAATGGCACAATCTCAGCTCACCGCAACCTCTCTCCCGGGTTCAAGCTATTTTCCTGCCTCAGCCTCTCAAGTAGCTGGGATCACAGGTGTGTGCCACCAGGCCTGGCTAATTTTGTATTTTAGGTAGACACGGGGTTCTCCATGTTGGTCAGGGTGGTCTCGAACTCCCAACCTCAGGTGATCCGCCTGCCTCAGCCTCCCAAAATGCTAGGATCACAGGCGTGAGCCACTGTGCCTGGCCAACCCTGTCTCTTTTTAAAGAGAGAGAAAAGAAATATGGATAACACTTGAGCTATTAGGTCAAAATGGTTAAGAGTAGACAAATTACCACTGCTTTGTTTTAAACAGAAAAAAAGAAAAAAACCCTTAAGTCAAACTGCACCACAGAAATTCTTAGCATTAACTTCTTTTAATTAAGGAAAGGCCAACTTACCCAAACTGGCGGGATGGAAGCAGATTATTCTGCCATTTTTCCAGGTCTTTGAGTTGCACGTCAAATCTGGGGCTGATCACCCCACACTATAAAATAACAACAACAACAAAAACATTCTTCACTTTACCAATAACAGAAAAACTGAGTAACACAAGATGACATTCATAAATAAACAGTCCTCCAAACCAACCAACCCAGCATTCAGATGGGTACTTATTCTGTGCACAATGCTTGACATACTTTTCAAAAAATACACCTAAGTAAGACTACGCCTGCCTAGGAGAAAAAGCAAAGGCATGCAAAGAGATGGAACAAGGCAATACATGGCAGTGTCAGGCCACTGGCGTGCTCCCTGTTGGCTGGAGAGCTGTCCAGGATGATCAGATTTTACATAGCCTAGAGATCAAGTCTCGACAAGAGAGACTACAGCCAACCCTTTCTTACATAATAAGGCTGAAATAAAATCATAGGGTCTCAAATCCTGAAGCTCTACAAATTATTAGAATATCTAAGGAACACGCTGTCCAGGCACTGAACTAAGAACGCTGCTCCCACCAATGAAGTACCGTTACATATTTCCAAGAAACAATGTCCTACAGCCCCAGACAAATTTTTCCAAACAAATCTGACAGAATGATGGAAGGCAGAAAGAGCAAAGGGCCTGCAATTATCTCATCTCGTGGCTACTGGGACATGGCAACAATGATCCTCCCAAGTAAAAGCTCGCCAAGGGCTGCCATCACTCAACTACATGCCAGCCCTAAAACACTACTGAAGAAAGTCCACTAACTGATGTCCACTAACTGAAGACCCTCTGCTCACAAAATCTGCTCTAAAATCACAGGCACACTTGAAAAACACTTCCAAAAGCAGAGATTGACCCACAGAAACTGAAAATGGGCTTGTCAGAAAGGCCCAACTGCTCTACGCCAGGAAGCCTGCTTAAGTTCTCCTACTATTACCCCATCAGCTATGCTGTGACTTGACTAACAAGGACAATCTCACGGCAGATGAAAGAAATGCAGGGATAGGAATATGGGAAAACCAGTTTTATCCAAGCAAGCTATAGTGAAAGATCTTTCCAAAGTCTGCCGCACGCTGCATCCAAGTTTTATGTTGATTCCAGCAGCAAAAATTCTTCTCATTCTGGTAGAATTAAAACAGCATACCCTCCCCCAACCCAGAAGAATCGTAAGAGGATGTGATCAAGGCCAGAATTTTAATCAATCTAGTCTTTACACACTACCTTACTTCCAAGCTCAATTTCCACGCTAAGGGTAGGTCCATGTCTTGCATGAAAGCGATGGAGGGGGACGTTCTCTTTTAAATGGGGAGAAATGAAATTCCAAGAAACCAAAAATTGTTTGCTTTGTCGAAAGTCACAGAACAGGCCAGGCGCGGTGGATCACCTGAGGTCAGGAGTCCCAGACCAGCCTGGCCAACATGGCGAAACCCCGTCTTTACCAAAGATACAAAAATTAGCCGGGCATGGTGGCACTCACCTGTAATCTCAGCTACTAGGGAGGCTGAGGCAGGAGAATCGCTTGAACCTGGGAGACAGAGGTTGCAGTAGCCAAGATCGTGCCACTGCACTCCAACCTGGGTGAGAGTGAGACTCCGTCTCAAAAAACGGGCAGAGAGCAGCAGGGCCTGCATATCAACTGTTGTAGGCTAGAATTTTTCAAACTAGCATACCACAGAACAAGGGTGCCACAAATAAGTTCCATTTACAGAATGCTCTGTTCAAATTTATTTCTCGGCTGGGCCCAGTGACTCACACCTGTAATCCCAGCACTCTGGGAGGCTGAGGTGGGAGGATCACTTGAGCCCATGAGTCCAAGACAAACCTAAGCAACATAGCGAGACCCCACCTCTACAAAAAAGTTAAAGAAAAATCAGCAGTCACAGTGGAATGCACCTGTATTCCCCAGCTACTCAGGAGGCTGAGGTGGGAGGATGGCTTGAGCTAGGGAAGCTGCAGTGAGCCAAGATGGCGCCACTGCACTCCAGCCTCAACCAGAGCAAGACTATCTCAAAAGAAATATAAATAAAAATAAATCAATCCTATTTTGAGGTGGGGTTCTAATGGCTACAACTAGAACAAAACATGACATACTGAAAATTACCCTTGCAAGTTCTTCAAATCTTAGGGAGTCTTGCCCTGTTACCCAGGCTGGAGTGCAGTGGTGCGATCTCAGCTCACTGTAACCTCCGCCTGCCAGGTTCAAGCAATTCTCCTGCCTCAGTCTCCGGAGTACCTGGGATTACAAGCGCCCGCCACTGCGCCTGGCTAGTTTTTCTATTTTTAGTAGAGACAGGGTTTCACCATGTTGGCCAGGCTTGTCTCAAACTCCTGACCTCGTGATCCGCCTGCCTCAGCCTCCCAAAGTGCTGGGATTACAGGCGTGACCCACTGTGCCCAGCTAGTTCTTCAAATCTTTAACAAATACTTCAGCAACTCACCTTCTGGGTCTCTTTCCCCCCTATCTGTTGCAATAAACACAGGGGTGTCCAAGGGAGAGAATACAGTCATGGGTTCTTAGTTTCTGTTTCTAGTTGGGCCAGTAAGGCCCCTTCCTCATCCCTCTTTTCCATTTATCACTAGAGACAGAAACTAAGTACCATGGTTTCAGGCTGCTACAAGTCTAAAACAATACAACAAAATAAGGCAGGTTGGACAAGCCTGAACTAGAGGATCTGCCTCCTTGCAAATCTGAAAGCTACAAACCTGACAGGAAGCACAGTGGACACCTCAACCAGCTTAAGACACCTGCCCCCAAAACACACGCAATCACTTAAACCACAAAGTCAGTTTTACTTGGTTAAGGTGTTGACAAGTCAAACTGAAAAGCAGCATAGACCCCAAAGACCTATGCCAGCAAAAACAGAAAAAGTATTCATATTGCTATTTAGAAAGCCCCATTTACTCAAAGATAAAGATTCCATTCAAAAAACCCAACACATCACTGAGAGGAAGGACACAGCACCTTGGACAAAAGGCTCAATGGCCTTGAGCCACCCAAGTTCAAGCCAGTGAGGTGGGTAGCGTTAACATCCAAATACCAGTACCAGCGTTGGTTTCACCCCCCATCTCTCCTGAGACAGCTTATACCCCATAAAAACACTAGGTCAACTGACATAATCCTAGCACAATCAACCCAGGAGAGCAAATGAAGTTCCATGTGTCAATTTTTAAACCTTTTTAAAGTAACTGGATAAATCAAGTATGGCACCACTACTCAGTATTTCCAAAGGCAATTACAACATTTAACGCCACAGTAAAAAATTCTTAAAGCTTTGAAATGTGTAGATCACTCGTTCTTACCTTGTTTAGCCTGCCTGTGAGGTTCACAACAATTTTCCCAGCTCTGTGGTCATCAATGATTTCAAATTCGCCAATGTAACCTACAAAAGATAACTGACTGGATTAAATAAAAGACATCAACTTGAGAGCTAAACCTCTGTGCTCTAGCCTACTCAATTCTTCACTCTCCCATCACCTCAGTGACTGCTTCTCCAAAAAGTTGGGGGGAAGACAGTTGCTCTGTATCAGAACTAATTTTTACAACCTAACATATAAGAATTGGGAGACAATACCCAAAACAATCCACCTTGCAATTCTGAAAGAAACTATTTTCCCCTTGACCCTTCCTTCACTGCTTCCCATTCCCAAAGACTACTTTGTGCCAAAGAAGTGCAATAATCCAATCTTTCCTCTCAAAGAGCTCTGAGAAGATCTCAAGAGTCCTTTCTTTCTTTTTTTTTTTTTTGAGATGGAGTCTTGCACTGTCGCCCAGGCTGGAGTGCAGTGGCCGATCTCGGCTCACTGCAACCTCCACCTGCTGGGTTCAAACAATTCTCCCTGCCTCAGCCTCCAAAGAGCTGGGACTACAGGCGCCTGCCACCACGACCGGCTGATTTTTGTTTTTGTTTTTTGTTTTTTTAGTAGAGACGGGGTTTTGCCATGTTGGCCAGGCTGGTCTCGAAATGAGCTCAGGAGTCCTTTCAATGACTTAGATTCATTTAGCTCCCAAACACCTAGCAGAGCTCCTTTTTCCAGCAGTCCTACTCTAAGTGACTCTTCAGCAGTTTCAGACTATCCCCTCCTCCACAGCCCACAGGTCAATTGCATTCGTTCTCAGGTATGACAGACATACTTTGGTCCCCCATAATTAATTTCTACAGGACTGATTTCTTAGAGAGTCTCACATGAAAACATAAAACACAGCGGCAGCAGACTTACCATGCTTCATCATCACAGTGAGAAACCGGACGATGACTTTGGAGCACGGCCTAATAAGCACCTGGCGTTTGCCTCTCTTTTCGGCATTGTTGATACTCTTGAGAGCATCTGCCAGGACATTCATGCGCACCATTGTGGCTGTTCAAGGAAGACAAAACAGGAGGTTTTACTGGCATTGCCAACATCAACAGACACCAACCATTACACTGCGGAAGTATCCTTTCCTTTCTGGCCCCACCTTGGCGAAGTTTTCTCAAGTCTAAGCAGGCTGCTTCTCCATTTCCCACCACCCAGGAAAATTCCTATTTACTACGGTTGTTGAAAACAGGTTATCGGGACGTCAGCCTGCACATTTTGAAACTCATTCATTCACTAACCACTCTTCTTCGAATCGTGCCACACACCAACGTCTGGAGATAATAAAATGTGGGACAAAATCCACTTGACACAAGACAACGTGAGAACTGGCAGAAACTGCCAGCTACCGGAAGGAAAACATCGGGTATAGTCGATCAGTGATTCAGAACAGAAGCAGA